>NC_000004.12:43767288-44076712 GCF_000001405.40 Homo sapiens | reverse complement strand
TTTGATAATTATATTAGGTAATATGTGAAAAGCACTTAGAAAGTCCCTGTTATTAGTAGGTGCTCAACAAATGTAAAAAAGTAATTGTTCCTTTATCCTTCTCATTCTCTTCCTCCTAATTATTCTTTTTCTTATTACCAAAATATAGACTAAAAAAATACACCAATTTATGATAGTGCTTGTCTGTGGAGATGAAGATGAGACCAGGAAAAAATTATAAATGGGACTTGAACTTTATTAGGAATATTTATTTCATTTATCTAAATCTAGAAAACAAATTTAATAAATTATTAATATTAATTTATTCTATGTAGTGGGGCAAGGATATTTGTATATTATTCTCTAAACTTGTTTGTACAGGTCAGGCATGGTGGTTCACATCTGTAATCCCAGCACTTTGGGAACCTGAAGTGAGAGGATTACTTGAGCCCAGGAGTTTGAGACCAGCCTGGGCAACATAGTGAGACCCCATCTCTATAAAACATGAAAAAAAATTAGCCCGGCATAGTGATGCATGCCTGTAGTCCCAGCTTCTCAAAAGGCTGAGGCAGGTGGATTGCTTGAGCCTGGGAGGTTGAGGCTGCAGTAAGGTGTGATGATACCACTGTACTCCAGCCTGGGTGACAGCAAGACCTTGTCTTCAAAAATAAAAATAAATAAATAAATAAACCTGTCTGTACAAAGCAATTACATCAAAATATGATGAAGCATCTCAAAATTTTAAATATTAGTTTCACACTGGCTGTGTTTTACAGCAGTGAATAAATAGCTAAGAAAATGAACTTTAGCAAATTACTAATACAAAAGATCGGAAAAGGAGCATCCGTATTTCCTGTTAGCCAATTGAACAGAGTTAATTGTGAGTCTATGAATACAGTATTACATATGGTATGAAATACATTTTGTTGAAGCAAGTTTGAGAGTATCCAGTCAAGCTTGATAGAGAAGGCCTGAAGTTAGCATTTTTAGAAGGAAAACAGTGTGACGTTTGTCCCCAAGTACCCTTCAAAGAACTAAAATAGCATAGATAGAGGTACTTGCTCACATCAGCAAGAAAGGCAGAGCCAAGCCAGCTGGGCCCATCAGCCCTGCAAGGGACATTTATTTACTCTATTTTAAGGTGAGGGTCCTACATTCTGGAATTTAATAAACAGCCCTGATTTTAATGAACTCATCCTATTCTCTCTGTAAATACAATTTCATTTTTAGTCTTATAGGCTTTTTGCCCCAAATTTTGGTTTCAAAACTATCAATGCAGTGTCTATCATGAAGTTCACAGTGGCAAGATGGTTTATTAAGATTATATTGCAAGCTGATTATTTTCTCAGTCCTTAGAAAACACATTTGGGGTGATTGCTCTTTTGAAAGAGTAAATCGTATTGCTAAGTTGTTGAAGAAATATAGCCTCCATTCTCATCTTAAATGTTACCTCACTTTATATATTGAGATGACCCTGAGGCATTCTAAGCCCTTTCACTGTTTGCCAGAAAGGAAATAACTGGGTGTTACTGTAATGGGAGGAAAGGGGTGGTTGAGTTTACTTTCATTTGCATTTCTTACAACCTTTATTTTAAAACATTTGATCAACTCTAATTATATAGTGTATTTAGCCTGTCAATCAGAAAGAATTTTAGCTTGCTAAGTAGAGTAAGAAATTAATGACAATATCTAATATTCTTAACATTCATCCAAATGAAATAGACAGGAATATGTGTGTTCTGAAATGCAAGGGAAACATATATATTATATATAAAACAAGTACACTATCTATATAAAACACATATGTTATATATAATATATGTTTTATGTATAATTGGAGTTGATCAAATGTTTTATGTATTATATAATTTATGTATATAATATATAGGTATATGTATATATTATATGTGAGAACCATATTATATAGTATATATAGGTTTCATATGTACTATATATGACATATATATATGTTGTTTTCTTATATATGAAAGAAACATGGGCTTCCAAACCAACTCAGCCAATGCATAGAAAAGAAATTAGGATTAGAGACTACTTTTTTTAATGAATGAAAGCTTTCAATTAAAAAAATTACTAAAAAAACTAAAAGAAGCAATTTTAGCCATGGGAATTATATAGAATAAGTATAGGTTTTACAGTGATATTCAGCAAAAAGAGATAACAGAGAGTAAGTAAATGAGAGATAAGAAATTAATATTGGCTCTACAATGTCTAAGAGCTATTTAATTATCTTTTATGTTTATCTTTAAAAGACATTTAAAGAATAAATTGTGGCACAAAGTAACCATGTTAAAATAATAAAGATATATGAAAAACAGAAACTTAATTTAAAGGGAAAAGCACATAAATCTTAAAGTTTATTTAAAGAAGATAAAAGCTGGACAGTGAAAAGATCAATGTACTTTTAAAAATTGACTGTCATATAATAATTTAGTGGTAGGAGTTATGAATTGAAGTAGGTAAGAATTATGCTAATGGAAAAATGAAAAACTCCTAGAAGGTACCAAAATAAATATAGTATAATGAGAAAAATATTTCTACATTCTAGAGACCAATAGAAGTATAAATATTCAGTAACACAAATCCTAAAATAAAAAAATCCTCTAAAACTCCAAAATCGTTAACATTGTATAATGAATAGAGTAAAAATTACACAGTATTTAGATTTCTTTAATCCTTTTGATACAAGAAATGGCATTTTAACTTCATTTTAGGTCTAAGGAAGATTACAACATAGGCTATCAACTGAGTTGAAGGCTGTAAATTGAAAATAAAGTGAGTAATGAGAGAAGACTCTAGTTATGTTTTGAGGCCCTAAATTGTTTAAAATTGATTAACTTTCATGAGACTAAAATGTCTTACTTGGCAAAATGATAAACAAGAGCTGATTTACCATTCTTGAATTAATATTTGGAAATGCAAAGTCAAGGGGATACAGCTCTCCTAACCTAGCTGATGAGGGAAACCATCAGAGTAAGAGGAGTTACTTTATGATGCATCATTTCTCTTCTTTCTTCTTTAAGATGAATCATATTCTAATCTGAAAGGCTGAGAGCTACTGGCTTCAACAGGAGGCATAAAAGGAAATAAAATCCTTTAAAAAAAGACTCCATTAATTGCTAAGTGGAGGTGAAGTTAGGAGAATAGATACAAAATAGAGGTGCTACTTGATATAGAGAGTGGATAAAAAAGAAAAAATAAAAAGACCTCATTTATTATAAGCGATGGAAATGGATATAAAAATCAATGTCAGTTATTTGGTGAGTCTTCGACTCCATACACAATTCAGTTTAGCCAACTTTTATCATGGATGTGACACTGCATGGCTGAGCCGTGGGATTGCTTCAAAGAGCTAGTAGTCTAAAATAAGACACACAAATGAAAATGACCGTATAGAATACAGTAGGTTAAGAACATGTGAAATGAACTAGATGAGAAAGAATAGAGAATAGAAAGGATTACAGGAAATTTAGAATAGAGATACCTCTAAAAGGAATGCCTGCTACTCAGGAACTAATTGTTACCAAAAAGTGATGTTGGCTCAGAGGTGCTAACAGTATTCTGTTTTTTTGTCCTCTTTTCTTTGCCCCATGCTTTCCTCTCATCATTCCCTTTCCTTCTATTTTCCCATCCATTCATTCCCTTCTCTTCCACCCCTACCTTCTCCTATTTTTTTACTTTTTCTTTTCTCTTCCTTTTTGCTTGCCTTTTCTTCAGTAGAAGTCAGAGTGACTGATCCTATACAGCCTCCCAATTTTCAATGCTACCAACTCAATATAAGAAAACAAACACTGGAAGGCCGTATAAAACATATATGTAGGAGTAGATATAATCCACGTGCTGCTATTTTCAAACCCTGTTCTAAATAGTTTAATTGCCACTGATGGCAATGGTGGCCTGTATGGAGTGGCTGCTGCCATCATGCTGGCTGCAGCAGGGAGGCGTTGCCATGGCTACACATTCTGTGGAGCTGGAGGGAGCCAGGGACAAGTGGGAGCGCTGCCCCTTCTGGGTTGGTGAAGCAGAAGCTCCTCAAGTGCAGCTTCAGCTACCCAAGTCGTCACTGCAGACCTGGGCTTCCCACTCCACAGAGCAGGCAGGAGACCCACCCTCCTAGACCCAGCTGCAGCTGCTCAAACCATGGCTGTAGACCTGGGCCTCCTGCTCCACAAAGCAGGTAGGAGTCCCGCCCCACTGGGTGCAACTGCAGCTGCTCAAACTGTGCTGCGGACCAGGCATCCTTGCACTTTTGGGGCCCTGGAAGGCTCCCTGCCCTCGCAGGCTCAAAAATGCCTGCTCTCACTGCCTGGTCTCTCTCCACTGTCAGCACCCACTCAGATCCTGGAGCAAAGTCAGGACCGAGCCTGGGCACTATCACATCCTGGCTGAGTGTGCACATGCTTGAGGCAGTGCTAACACACCAGTGCCCTGCTCCCTCTGCCCCCTCCTGACTTTGGGTGCCCATGGATATAGAAGGGAAGCTGATGCGGGCTGAGGGCAGCTCAGTGCTGGCCTGTAGGTACCCCTTGGCACCTACAGCCTGGGCACTGTGAATGGCAGCAGGAGGCAGACAGGTTCCTCAGCGAAGGGGACAGGTCCTTATTGAGGCCCCACTTTTGGACCAGGGAGAGCCTGAAGGCTGGGAACCCGGCTACCAGTCCCACAGATCAGAGTGGGAACTTGTGGTGCCTTTTCCAGGCCCAGCCATGGAAGCCCAAGGACCTGTTGGTGCACCTGTCCTACCCTTTGAGGAGCATAAAAGTGCAGGGCTCACTGAGCAGATGTTGGGAAGACCAGCTGCAGAGAGGAGCTACCCACTCCAGGGCCTCCTCTCTGCTGAGAGCTACAGATGTTGGGACCACCAGCTGCAGAGAAGAGCTACTCACTCTAGGGCTTCCTCTCTGCTGAGAGCTGCAGAGATGACAGAACTACCTGCCTGCAGAGATGAGCCACCCACTCTAGGGCATTGCTTTCTTCCTAGAGCTGCACATGCTAGAAGAACCAGCTGTAGAGAAGAGCTACCCTCTCTACTGAGAACTGAACGCTTGTTGAGATAACCTGCCTGCAGAGAGGAGCTACCTACTCTAGGACCTCCTCTCTGCCTTGAGCTGCAAGGGAAAGGACAATCAGCTGCAGAGAGGAGCTGCCCTCTTTGCTGAGAACTGAAAACTTGTTAGGACAACCTGCCTGCTAAGAGGAGCTACCCTCTCTGTGAAGAGCTGAGCACTCCTCAGGACACGCTGGCTACAGAGAAGAGCTGCTCACTATGAGATTCCTCTGAGCTGTTCTATTACTCAGTAAAGCTCCTCTTTGTCTTGTTCACCCTCAGCTTGTCTGCATACCTCATTCTTCCTGGTCACAGGACAAGAACTTGGTACCCGCCAAATGGTGAGGCTAAAAGAGCTGTAACACAAACAGGACTGAAACATGTCCCTTGCCTGCCACATTGAGGGCTAAAAGGAGAGAAGAGCAGCAGCACTTTGGGGATCCCAGACCTGGGAGCTCTCTGAGCCAAGGCTGTGACTCCCTCTTTGGGACCCTGCGGTTCCTGGCATCTCTAAGCTTCTGGGTGCCACCACATACCCCAGTGCCAGCCAGCAAAGCTGTCTTGCAGTGCTCCTCGTCCAACCACAGCTTTGCAGAGAGCCAGCGCCCATGCCAGCACCTGGAGCTGCCTGCCCCACGGCAGCAGCTAGTGTGCCTGACTGCACAGTGGCCAGACCCCATGCTCACTCACATACCCCTAGCTGCTCCACGCCTGACTCACAGTCTCTCTTGGAGGTATGAGATCCAGGCTGGTAGTGTGTGCCAAGCACAGCCTACCAGGCCAAGCGGGTGGAATGAGCCCAGTGGGCCTAAGCAAAACTTGGGCAAATGTGCCACTGGCCACAGACATTTTTGGACAGAAAAGTGACACCCCAAGGATCCTGCAACACCACTATTTAAATTATGTAATTACTTTTGGATTGAGGACAATTCAAAACACTGCTGGTGAATTGCTTGTTCTGAGACAAATAAATGTTAATGAAGTGGAATGGAGACAATCTATAGAAGCCAATTTCTCTCTGCATTCTCTGATGGAAGACTGAGAGAATGGTACTTATGGTAGGTTCATAGGTTAATAATGTTTTACTTCACTGACTACTAACAAAATAACATGGTCTTTTGTTATTACCATTGCTTAATTTAGTATGTGGCTGTAAATTGGGAATTGTCACAGATATATGATTAAGAGAATAAAGAAACGATTCAGAAGATCTCCAAAGATTTCCTAAGAGTAAGTTCAGTTGTGCCAAGATTGCCTTTTGAAAGGGACATTGTGGAAACCCCACTGCCCAGAGCATATGGAGTTAGACTGCACAGAATCAAAGATATTAACTTGTACAGAACAATCCTGCTGGTCCCCCGGGGTGTGGCCTAGATAAAGCAATAGTTAGGTTTCATCTTTAATTTAAATACCTCTAAGACAGGGTGAGATTTATCATTAAAATCTTCATTGTAGCACAATGTATTTTAAACTATATGTTTAACCAAGCTGGTTATTCAAAGTGTGAAGATATAATTCTTTTCATTGTATGTATACCCTTTGAAAAATCTTCATCTTTTGCCTCATCTTATAGTATTAAAAACAGTTAATCGTATTCTAACTCATTAAATATCTGCTTCATGTCCAGAAGTGAAAAGAGCTTTATAAATTAAATTAACAAGTTTTATCTTTTTAGGTCTAGTTTTCCTCATCTTTTTTTTAGATCCTTCAGTCTAACATAAAACACAAAACATCTAGGGGCTCAGTGGAGCTTTATCAAATGGAATAATAAATTAAAACTTAGCATGTGAAGTAGTCAGATTCTATTAGGAACCACGTGAGTCTTAGGGCAGATCAGAAATGAAACAGAAATGAAGATACTTATTTTTATTTTAGGTAAATAATGTTTATCGCAATTAAATAATGACAAGTATATTTAATATTTTTTGGAAATTGAAGTTTCATAGTTTCTATTTTTGACTGCCGCATTACACTATTTATAAAAATGAAGTAAAAATATTTCATTTCATTTTAGGTAAAGGGACACATCCATAGTGATAAACTACTAACTTTTTTATTGTTATTGTTTATGTTGAATGGTTCTTCTGTTGAAAACCTTGCAATTTACTATATCCTGGCCTTTTACTATATCCCTTTTCTATAGTAAAAAGAATATTAGAAACTAGCTAATAAAAATGTGGATTCTTACCCTTTTTAAAATCATGTTCCAGTGAAATGGCCTGGCTATGTCAGTCACGTTTCATTTTTCTTTCCTTTTTTTTTTTTTGAGACGGAGTCTTGCGCTGTCGCCCAGGCTGCAGTCCAATGCCACGATCTCCACTCACCACAACCTCCGCCTCCTGGGTGCAAGAGATTCTCCTGCCTCAGCCTCCCTAATAGCTGGGATTACAGGCGCGTGCAACCATGCCTGGCTAATTTTTTATATTTTTAACTCCTGACCTCGTGATCCACCTGCCTTGGCCTCCCAAAGCTCTGGAATTACAGGTGTAAGCCACTGTGCCCAGCCAGTGTCAGTCACCTTTCTAAGAATTAACTTCTTGGCAGTCTAGAAGAAAAAGGTTTACCATTTCTGTGTCTGAAATGGTTGAGATTTAGATCAAATAACATAGTTGATGCGAAGTGCCCTTACTATCAAAAACATGTTGTACTTTTCCTTCATAGCCATATTACAAATATAATTATGTGACATTTAAGAATATTTGCTAATCTTAATAATCTCTGAGCACAGACAGGCAGCATTCACAATAGATTAGGTTATGCTGTATAAAAACACAGCCCAAATGTCTTTCTTGAACAAAAAGTGTTTACTTTTTGCTTCTGTGATGTCCATTGCAAGTCATTGGGACTATCTACTGCATCCTATTTTATTTATGACCAAGGCTGATGAAGCAGCCACCATGTGGAGTCCTGCCGTAGTTTTGGCATACTGGATGGAACACTGCCACTATGGCAAGGGAAGGGCATGCTGGACTGGTTTAATGCTCACAGTTCACAGGGAATGAATTAGTTTGCTAGGGCTGCCACAACAAAGACTGAAGTTGATTTTCTCTCACTGCTTCAGGCTGAAAGTCCAAGATCAAGATGTTGGCAGGGTTGTTTCTTCTGTGTCCTCTCTCCTTGGCTTGTGGATGGTTGTCTTCTCCTCAGGTATGCAAATGTGGAGGCTAAAGCAACTCCATCTTGGATGCAGATTCATCATATTGACTTCTGGTTAACTCCTGTTCTGGGAAGACCACTAAGATTTCCAGTTTATCTATTGTTTCCTGTGTAAGAGCACATTCTTACCATAAATTCTGCCCTATGGTCAAAACAACACTGATGCTATCATCCTTCAATTGTCCTGCACATCCCTTCTGAATCATGATTATCCTTTCCCTATGGTATGTAAGCCCTGGGTCTGGGGTAATTGCGAGGATCCACCATCTTGTCTCACTGCCATCTAAGACGGAGGCATGGCTTCTGTTTGTAAGTTTGTATTACATGTTTCTTTCTGAGAAACTGGTTATGTCAGCATCTTTCTTCGGTCTCTTCATTTCTTCAGATTTTTGGGAGTAGGTTTGCATAGACCTATACTGTGGAACATCACATTATCTTCTCTTTGTGTATATCTGCGTCCTAATCTCCTCTTCCTATGAGGACATCAGTCATACTGGATTAGGGCCCACTTCAATGACCTTATTGTAATGTACTCACCTCTTTAAAGATCCTATCTTCAAATACAGTCACATCCCAGGTACCAGGAGTTAGGACTTTGACATATGAAATTTGACGAAGGCAGGAAGTAGATGCACAACCCTAATATCTACTACAACTACTGTGTTAAAGTAGTTACTGAAATGTTGTTGGTATTTAAAACAAAAAAAAATGCTAGTAAAGTATTAATACACCAGACATTTTAAAATGAAATCGTAAATGTATATTTTCACATATAAGTATAATTTTGTATATAGTATATTTTATGCCATCTGCTTTAATTAAAGCATGTTTCTGTCATCCTATTATAAATGAATTTCTATGCACCCCTTTCTAAGCATAGGACTTAAGCTATATATGTTTTCTGTAAATCACTTGGCACTGATGATAAGAAATCTATTTCAGAGAGGGGAAAAAACACAAAAACCATCAGTAAGTCAGCCTTACAGGCCTAATATTTTAGCTGGTTTATTAGAACATGAGCTTGCTCAACTTAAAATGAAATGAAGCTCTCTCAATGAGGTAAGTTCCAGAGAAAGTGGCAGGGAGTAACTCTGTGGGACAATGTATTCTCCTACTATTCTGTTTCAAATATAATATAATATTAAGTGGGACATTATATTAAAGTATTAAAGAATGTTAAAGCACATTTTTTCACCTACGTGGAGTACTTTGTTAATGATTTGTGCCATCCCTTAAGAAAATTAGAAACCTCAGGTCAGGCACGGTGGCTCATGCCTGTAATCCCAGCACTTTGGAGGCTGAGGCAGGTGGATCATGAGGTCAGGAGTTCGAGAACAGCCTGGCCCACATGATGAAACCCCGTTTCTACTAAAAAAATACAAAAAAATTAGCCAGGTGTAGTGGTGTGCACCTGTAATCCCAGCTACTTGGGAGGCTGAGGCAGGAAAATCGCTTGAACCCAGAAGGGGGAGGTTGCAGTGAGCCGAGATCATGCCATTGCACTCCAGCCTGGGTGACAGAGTGAGACTCCATCTCAAAAAAATTAAAAAAAAAAAAAGAAGAAGAAGAAAATGAGAAACCTCAGGGAATTACTTTAGATATATCAATACAATAGAATCATTACCTTATGTGGGGCTCATTTATGATATAATGACATCTATGCTCCAACAATCAGAGGATGGAAATGGATATTGGCCATTTGTTTCAGCAGTGGAATAAGAATTTCAGTTTAATAATTGTGTAATAACATTATAATGGCAAAGACTGGGAACAAGACTGGCTTATTATTTCACATGTAGGACAAATAGCCTTGGCTTTCTTATAGTGTTAATTTCCAGATGATTTAATTATTACAGTCTCATTCAATATAAATAAACTGTAGTGTGCAGATAGCTGAGTCCTTTAAAAATAGAAAAGAATGGCAAACTTAAACAGCCCTGTAATCAGGAACTCTTAGATTATTTTATTTGAAATATTAGTCCTTTAATTTTATTACTTTTGATATGCATTTTCCAAGTAGCAAAGTTGTCCCAGGAAAGCAAATTTTCTTTATTTTTATAAATCTGAATGCAGTTTCTATATTAAGATCACATTCTGTATGATGAGAGAAAATGTAATCTAGTAAATGTCACTAGTTATGAGTCACTTCTGAGTCTTGTAAATCATTTCAGGTTTCAACTAAGTCAAATCTGGAATCACCAGAAGGAATGAAGAAGTTTCATCTGGTCCATGCCAGTCAGTTGGAGCCTTCGTGGCTTGCAGCTTCCATCAAGCTTTCTTTCTCTCTTCATACCTCACATAGACTTTTCTTCTCCCAAAGGACAGATGTCAGAGTTAGGGTTAACCTGAGTCTGGGTAGCTACCTTCCAGAGTTCCACTGCACAATTCTACTGTAACTATTTCCTGGAGTTCTCCAGAGTGCAGGATACACTGCGCAGAAGACTTTCCTACATGGCTTGGTATTTCCTGGGCCTTAACCCAGGAAGTTAGCCATACATTATCTATTTTCTCCAATGGATCCATAAACTTAAAGGAGCTACAGATTAGGCCTTGGTTTGGGGTGGAAGATAGGGGGTATGGCTTTCAAGTATGTTCAAATTTCTTGTGACTGCCTTTACAACTCTTTTCTCTGCCTTCTTCTCAAATAATCTTACTTAGTCTGAGAATACAACTGGGTAGATGAGTCTAGTAAAACCAGTACGTCTCTCATTTTTCAGTCTCTTACATAAATAAAGGCTTTTGAATATAAATGTAAAATTATAGTGTCATTGTTTTCTGGTTTGCTGTATTGCCCCTGCCTTGGGAGAGTGGCTATCACAGAATAAGTGGCAGAAGGAAGGCCTCTGGCCAGTAAAGAAATTATCAGGAATGAAAAGCAAAAGCAATATTGAAATATTGCTTCTGTACTCACTCAAGGGTAGAAATTGGGGAGGGGGTATTTGTTCTGGATTTGACAGAAGGAACGTGACAGAAGGATTATACGCATTAGTATTGGGTGTTTGCCTCTGGATTTGCCACTTTTACAATTCTTTGTCACATTTTTCAATATTTGAATTTACTAAGACATTGAAAAAATATTTACCTCTAGGAATACACATACATTTTAAACTGTGTTTAATATATAATCTTTGGGTAATATATGATAGCTATCATTATTAGTATCAGAGCTATTTGTTAAACAAAGTAGCTCTTAGTATTTTTTCTACTTACATCTGCTTTGGCTTCCATAAATATAACTTGAAAAGGCTATTTCTAATGTCCTCATTATACTGTTTAAAGTGCATATTTTTATATTATAGATGAGGTATAGTTAAGTAGATTTCCTTGAACTCAATTTCTTTTACATCAGTTTTTTTCTCTTATTCTCATTTCACTTTCTGAAAGCTGTATTCTTATGGTCTAGGACAGTTAAGCAGATTTCAAAAGCCCAATTTTCTTTTTATCAACACAATAGTATGTTTGAATTCTATAGTAATATTCTTTCATCACATCATTTTGTTTTAATTATTTCATGTTGGTGTAAAATACTTTCTGCAATTTATTTTGCATAGAATTTGAAAATAGGTTTTCCTCTGGTTGAAATAATATGAGATAGTAGATAAAGAAGAAACTTAAATAAGGTGATAGGGGATTTAAAACTATGCTGTGTGACATTGGTTGTGTATTTGGCCATCAGTTCACTTCTTTAGATTTTAATTTTCTGTCTTAGTCCACTTTGTGTTGCTATAAGGAAATACCTGAGTCTGAGTAACTTACAAAGAAAAGAGATTTATTTGGCACATGGTTTTGCAATGTGTACAAGAAGCATGGTATCAGTATCTGTTTCTGGTGAGGACCTCAGGAAGCCTCCACTCATGGCAAGAGGGGAAGTGGAGCAGGCATCACATGGTGACAGAGGGAATGAGAGAGAGAGAGGGGAGGAGGTGCCAGGCCATTTTAAAGAATCAGACACAGCAAGAATTAATAGAATGAGAACTCATTCATTACTGAGAGGATGATACCAAGACATCCACCCCCATGACCCAAACACCTCCCACTAAGTCCCATTTCTAACACTGGGGATCAAACTTCAACATGAGATTTGGAGGGGAAAAGCATTCAAACTATATCACTTTCCCTTGGATCCCTAAATATCATGTTCTTCTCACATAGCAAAATATGATCACCTTTTTCCAGTAGTCCCCAATAGTCGTAACTTATTCTAGCATCAGTTCAAAAGTCCAAAGTCCAAAGTCTCATCAGAGACTCAACACAAGCTCCTTTTAGTTGTAAGCCTGTAAAATCAAAAACAAGTTATTTTCAAGATACAGTGGTGGTACAGGCATATGGTAAACATTCCCATTCCAAAATGGTAAAACTGGTCGAAAGAAAGGGTAACGGGCCCCATGCATGTCTGAAAGGCAGCAGGGCAGACATTAAATCTTAAAGCACCAACATAATCTCATTTGAATGAATCCATATCCTGCATTCTGGGCACACTGGTGCTAAGAGTGGCCCCTGAAACCTCGGCCAGCCCTACTCCCATGGCTTTGCTGGCTGCAGTTCATGCAGCTGCTCTCATGGCTTGGAGTTCAATGCCTGTGGTTTTCTAGGCTGAGATTGCGCACTACTTGTGACTCTACTCTTCTGGGGTCTGGAGGGTGGTAGCCTCATTTCTACAGCTCCAGGAGAGTAGGCAGTGCCCCAGTGGAGACTCTGTTTAGGGGCTCCAACCCCACGTTTCCCTTCTGTACTGCTATACTAGAGTCTCTGTGGGGGCTCTGCTCTGGAGGCAGTCTTCTGTCTAGGCATACAGGCTTTCCATTACATCCTCTGAAATCTAGGTGGAGCTTGCCAGGCCTCCATCACCCTTGAAATCTGTGCACCTGTACACTGAACACCACATGGAAGTGATCAAGGATTATGGTTTGCACTCTTTGGATTTGTGTGTGGCCCGAGGAGTACCTGGGGCCTTTTGAGCTCTGGCAGAAGCCACAGTAGCAAGGATGTGAGGATTAACATGGCCCCCAAAACCATTTTGTTTTCCTAGGCCATTGGGCTTTTGAAGAGAGAGGCTTGGATATACTTTTGATTCATCCCCTGAAAATATTCTTTCTTTCTTTACCATATGACCAGGTTGCAAATTCTTCAATATTTTACACTTTGATTCCCTTCTAAGTTCCAAATTTAGGTCATTCCTTTGCTCTCACATCTGATAAAGAAGCAGCCATGCCACTTCTTTGAACACTTTTCTGCTTAGAAACTTCTTCTGCCAGATACTTTATGTAATTATTCTTAAGTCCAGTCTTCTGCAAAGTCTTAGAGCAGGAGTGTCCAATCTCTTGGCTTTCCTGGGCCACACTGAAAGAAAAGAATTGTCTTGGGTCACACATAAAATACACTAACACTAATAATAGCTTATTAACTTAAAAATTGTTAAAAAAGTCTCATAATGTTTTAAGGAAGTTTATGAATTTGTGTTGGGCTGCATTCAAAGCTATCTGGGCCACATGTGGCCCGTGGGCTGCAAGTTGGACAAGCATGTTTTAGAGCATGGACAAAATGCATCCAAGTTCTTTGTTAAGGGATAGCAAGTGTTTCTTTTGATCCAGTTCCCAATAAGTTTCTCTTCTATATCTGGGACCTCCTCAGCATGACTCTCACTGTCTATATTTTTATCAACATATCGGTCACAATCACTCAAATAGTCTTTAAAAAGTTCCAAACTACGTTTCATCTTTCCTTCTTCTTCTGAACCCCACAAACTGTTCCAACCTCTGCCCATTACCCAGTTGCAAAGCTGCTTCCACATATTCAGGTGTCTTTATAGAAACATCCCACTCCATTTACCAATATTCTGTCTCTTTTGTATTGCTATAAAGGAATACGTGAGACTGTGTATTTTAGAGGTTTATTTGGCTTGTGGTTTACAGGCTGTACAAAAAGCATGGTGCCAGCATTTGCTTCTGGTAAGGGCTTCAGGATCCTCCATTTATGGCAAAAAAGGAGGGGGAGGGGACATCACATAGTGAGAGAGGGAGCAAGAGAAAGAGAGAATGTGCCAGGCTCTTTTTAACAATCAGATATAATGACAACTAATAGAGCAAGGAGTCACTCATTATCACGAGGACAGCACCAAGACATTCATGAGGGATCTACCTGCATGACTCAAACACCTCCCACTAGGCCGCACCTAGTGGCCACCTTGGTTCCACCTTGGAGATCAAAGGTGCTCCTTAATGGAAAGAAATAAATGTCAGAAGATGAAGTAAAGTGTCTGAGACAGTCATGAAATCTGTGTACCTGCAGACTGAACACCACATGGAAGCCATCAAGGATTAAGGCTTGCACTCTTTGGATTGGTGGCCTGAGAGGTACCTGGGCCTTTTGAGCTCTAGCCTGTTGCCAGGATGCAAGGAGTAACATGGCCCCCTAAATTATGTTTAGGAAATATTACTTCTCTAATTAATAACACTTAGAGAAGCAGTATTTTCTAAAGACAATTATATTATGAGGTAAATAATTTATTTTTAGTTTGTTTATGTGCTATAAACATATCAGTCTTACAATTATAATTTTGATAGAATTATTGGATTTCATTTTCAAATAACCTGTTGCTGAAAACCCAATTTTCTTTGCTACTAACAAACTGCTCTTAATAAAGTTGAGTGAAACTATCTGTAAAACTATTGGTTGATACTAAGCTATGTGTTTGAGGGCAAAGTTGAAAGCTGGTATGAAAAACCTTGAGAAAGCAGAGGAATATAAGAGAGTGAAATTCCACACATCTCAACAAAATGCAAAAGTTGATCTTCATTAAAAATGCTCTGGGTCAGGTAGGCTGTATGCCTGTTTACAAATAAGTTGTTTTCCTCTAAGTTTGATGTTGACTTTCACTCTTCAAGAGAAATAATTGAATTCTCTCTTGTTAAATCTTCTTGATGTACAAAAGGAATGAAAGAAGGGACATTTGGAACAGCAGAAGAACATGCTTTCCCTCAGCCCCCTGCCCAACTATGATGAAGGCACAAACAAAAGATGAGCTTATCCAAAAAGCTCACAAATGGAATGAGCTGACACCTGTTTGTTATTCCTTAGTAAATTATCAAAATATCAACACAGAAACATTACAACTATAGAGTAGTGGTTTAAAATACCATTATTCGTTGATGGATAAACTTGGTTTTGTATTTAAGCTCCACTAATTTGCAATTGGCTACCCTTGGAAAAATTATTTAATCTTGTTTGATAATAGTACCTACCATGTATGTAGGTATTTATAGATAATGTTAAGATAAAATGAAATAATATATGGGTAGCTATTGACATACAGTGTAGTATACAATTATCTTTAATAATTTCTAATTGTTTTAAGCAAAAAAACAAAAAGACAAAATGGGCAATGCTACTTTTTAGAGCAAAAGGTGTAAAAAATATAGGAAAATTGGAAACTTATGTAACATTTAGTTAGGCTCCATGCTCCCCATCAAAAGGAATAATTTTAAAACTAGAAGTAACAAAATAAACAGTAGAAAGCACTTTAAAGCCAGTGATAAATGAGAAGCTAATATGGTCTGGCTCTGTGTTCATACCCAAATCTCATCTTGAATTGTAATTTGAATTGTAATCCCCATGTGTTGGGGAAGGGACTGCATGGTGGTGATTAGATCATGGGGGGTGGTTCCTCCATGCTATTCTCATGATAGTGAGTGAGTTTTCATAGATCTACTGGTTTTATAAGGCTTCTCCCCTTCATTCTGCACTCATTCTCTCTCCTGTTGCCCTGCAAAGACGTGCCTTCCTCCATGATTGTGAGTTTCCTGAGGCTTCCCCAGCCATGTGTAACTGTGAGTCAATTAAACCCCTTTTCTTTATAAATGACCCAGTCTTAGGTATTTCTTTATAGCAGCATGAGAGTGGACTAATGTGGAAGCTAATACAAGAATCAATCACTTTTTGAGGAGCCATCCTCTCTCTTTGCCTCACTTAAGGTCTCATCATCTCTCATTTGAATTATTCACTGGTGCAATAACCCCCCAGCCTCTAGTTTCTCACTGGCTCCAATGTTCCATTTATTCTGCCAACCATTGCCAAAAAAGAAATTCCACAGATCATCATACAACTCCCTATTTAAAGCCTTTAATGCCTTTGATACCTGTAGGATCGATTTGGAATGGTAATCATGGCTCTTGTCAAACTGCAGCCACATTTCCCTCCACCCTATTTCTGTCAAGTATTCATTGTAGTTACATAAAATTGTGCACTGTTACTGTAATAACATGTTTTATTTTTACCTCTTTATGCCTTATTATATATTACTGTCTTGACCCAGAGCACTATTTCTGCTCCCTATTATAACTGATAAAAAATTCCCCTTTTTCTTAAAAATTTAGTTTAAACAAGACCTTTTTGAAGACTTTCTCAAATATTCAAAGCTTAATTTAATTTTATTCCTCTCCCAGATTCTTCTGTATTTTTCAAGTCTATCTCTTTTACAATATTCTGAGTTCCTCAAAGACAGAGACCATGTCTTGTATTGATTGTTGAAATATCAATGTTCTAGTGTGATGTCTGGGATACTTTATTAACGGCTGTTGATTGAATGAATAAATTAATAAATGAGTGTGTTAAATCTTAGGACCTTTCCAGAACATATTTTAAGCAATACAAAAAGTTCACATTCTAGGAATCAGTAGAAATTCCCTTAAAACAAGTTTATGAAAATAAGCTTTTTCCTTTGTATATTTACAGTGTGTTTATAGCAGAATCTCACCGTTGTCTCCCTAAATCTATTCTGTTTATTTTATAGTAATAGAACACCTAGTTTTTAATTGGAAACATGAGGATAGAGAATAAATGATTGCACTTCCTTATTTTCTTTACAGTAAGATATGACCATATGACTAACTTTTGGACAGTGAGACATAAGCAAAAATGTCATGTAGCAGCTGCCAGAATCCTTTCCTAAAATAAATTTGTATTGTACATTCTTCTTTATCTTTCCTCTTTTCTGATGCATGAAGTGTGGATGTAATAATTGGAATTGGAACAGTCATAATGAACAATGAGTTGGTTTCAAGATTGGAGGCTATGAATGATGAGGAAACAAGGTAAGACAAACCTAGAATGTTGAGAACTGTGTAGAACAGAGCATTCCTACTAGCTTTGGACTGCCTAGCTGAAACTTTTAAGTGACAGCTAAATTTCTATTATTTTTGAGCACTTTTGCTCTGGTTCGCTGTTACATTTATTGTGAATTAGGTGGAAGAATTCAGAATGTAACTCATTATTAAGTACACACCTTACAGTATGTGAATTGCAGAGACATTAAATAACTTGCTTGATGTCATAGGGCTAGTGTGTAGTGAGATACAAAAAAGCACTTGGACCTCTAGCCTTCTAGTTTGTGACATCATGTACCTATATAACTTCCATAAACCTTTGTGTCTTTGTTTGTGTGGCATAAAAAGGCTATCCTAGAAGGTGGTCATCTATTAGATGATACATTTTGAAGGTTTAAAGACCTAATAAATATCCAGTGCTTTCCTCACCAGAGCCACCTCTGCCACATCTGTGAGAGCAGAGAAATATTACAGAAAACCTTTATCAGAATTCCAGTAAAGCACTTGGTAAATTTCCTTGGGTATGACATGGTTGTAGATAAGATAGAGAAATGTGTGTTAAGTGATAGAACAGCTTAATAAATGCATAGCTACCCCCAAAAGTGTTGTTTAATAAATGATTGCCACCTTGGAAGGAGGTGTCTTGTGACATGTTATAAGATTCTCTGTTTAGCCTTATAAATTTTCAACTGTGATTTGGATGAAGGAACATTTATCAAATTTGTAAGTGATGCAGTACTGGCAAGGGAGACTAATATTTTAGGTGATCGAATCAAGGTTCAAGAGTTTCACCCAACAATCTTAACTTGCAATCCTAAATTAACAAGAATCTTAACAGATAAACCTGCAAATTCTAAATTTATGATATAAAGATAAATTCCAGAAGTACAGGACTAGGATACTTGGATAAACAGAAGCTCAGTTTGAGTTTACCTTAAGGCTTAATGTGAGCCAATAGTATGAAGAACATGTTGATATAATTTTTTTGTTTCCAAAAACTTAGCTTAGTGCTTCTTAAAATGTGTTCTGCAAACAATTGAGGTCAGAATTCTTTGGAATGTTTCTTAAGTATTTAGGTTTTGAGATTCTAGTCCAAATATACCAATATATGAGCAAAAGCATTATAATAAGTGTCCCCAATTTTTAGGGGGGAAGGGGGAGTTTAAATCTTGAAAATCATTTGTTTGGATGAGTCCTGCTTTTAGAATATTCTCTTCCATCCAGGAAAATGAATTTTAAGAGAGATATTTGACCCTGAGACCATACAAAATCAGACCTTCATTTAGCAAAGGATTAAGACACTTTGTTTTATAAGGGAATAAATGAGAAATTGAGAATATTTATACTGTGAAGTAGAAGACCAGCAAGGTTCATAGTAAGGCTTCAAATATTGGGGGAATTTTCATTTAGAAGTAGAAGGTAGAACTGATATCATGGAGTAAAAACTACAGTGTCACATAAGGAAGAACTTTGATTTAATCAGATTAAATACATGCAAATTCAAGGCTATCATTTTCCTGAAATTATTTAGGCAGAAATTCAAAGACCATACTTCTAGTACTTCTCATTTTAGAAGGGTTTTATTAAATGATATCTAGTGTTTCTCCCTTTTTGGAGAATCTCCATGCTTTCTTTTAGCTTTTTGGTTCTTCCAATCATTCATTGATAGATAACCCAGGATTTCTATGCTAATATTTAAAAACAAAACAAAACTATTATTTCTAGTTGGCAGATAAATTAATTCAAATTGACTTAAAGAAACAAACTGCAACCTTCTCAACTTACTCTAGAAAATGTGAGATAATCACTAAATCCAAAGTACATTTCCAATAAAAAACTAAATACATTGTGAATTTTTAAAAATTAATGAAATCACTAAATTGATATTTTAATGTATTGATAAGAAGAATATGATATATGTCATATTTTCATGTGGAGTAGATTTATATTATTAAAATCACGGTCTATGTACAGTGAACATATTTTTTGTGTATCCTTAAATCTATCCTAAAATCTCAATGACAACATGTAATCTATATCTAGATTTGGAGGAAAATGTTGGTTAGCGTTATTCTTAAAGGCTGTTCATAGATAGACCCATTGCTAATATGTTACAGACCATAGGCTGTTTAGCTCCACATATAATGAAAATTAACCCTGGGCCAGGCATATTTCTCAGAGAAGGGTTTTATTTCAGGGCTTGTGCTCAAACACAAGGAAGATAGCAAAGGTGGAAGGATCCTCTGGCTGACTTCCTGACAAAGCACTCAGGGAGTTTTTATTATGCAAAGTGTAGGAATTGACATCACAGATAAGGTGCTCCAGCTGGGTTGCGGGGAGGGTATGCTGGTCAGCATATCTGGTTGTGATGATTATCTTGAATAATGGGCCACCTGGTTGTCTGGCTGATGGCAACAAGGTTGTAAATCTGCAACGTGTATTTGCTATTTAGATCTCCCGAGGCCAGTTCCTGGAATTCTGTAAGCAAAAGGCATTGTTAAACATTACGGTTTAACCATGGTTTATCAATGAGGTAGTGGTGTGGGTTTTGTGATCAGTGGGAATGCATGAAAGGATGCTCTAGTAGGGGTGAGCTGAAGCCAAGCCCCGTCCCTCCTGTCTCAAATACATTTGGTCAGCATTTGCAAAGGAATTCTACAGAGTGAGCATTAGTGCTGAGAGGAGATACGGCCTGTTCAATTCCACAAGGGGTGAAATCATTGATTTGTGTAACCTCTTTCCTGTTAGTGTCTTCAGAACTGACTGAGCTAGCAAGAAATGCAGAATTTATCTCACTATATCTTCATATGATTTTATTTATTGTCCTTGGAATATGGTCAAAAATTAATTGAGCTCTAGGGTCAAATTTATATTAACATTATTGTAAAAATCGGTTTAGTTCTTAAAGTATTAAATTTTAATAAAACTCACAGGCTACTGATTTTTTACCCTCTTTATGGTGTAAGGGAGATTACATTTGTAGATAATAAATCCCAAAATGATTTAATACTATTTGCTGTCAATTTAATATATTAAGCATTCAGCAAACAGCTATAAAAATATTTTTTAATTGTCAATTAACTTCTATTGTGAACAGAACATGTACATTGCAAAAGTGTCTTAAAAATACAGATGCTTAGCTCCTGCATTCATAGTGGTGGGGAAGTGAAAACATTAAGAGCAAAATAAATTGCATAAGCATGAGTTAATATGTTGAAAACAGGTTGTTAAGGAGTAAGAAAGTGGTAATGATGATAAGTACTGGTATAGCTTTCGAATCAGAGTTCTTACTGTTTCTAATTTTGAGGAGTTAGAGGAAAACATACTCCAGAAACTTGAAATGAAGCAAATAAAATTAGGAAATTAAAGTATAAAAATTACCACAGAGGGATTAGAGCACAGATGCACGAATATTTACTCATTGGAAACAGAATGACTTCCTCACCTGGAAGATTTGCTGTAACAGATTTATGTATTAACATATCTAAAGAAAGATTCGATTGTATAGTTTCAGAGAAGTGCTGCTTGGCCTGAGAGACAGGAAAAGGGGGGTCTCAGAGGTAAACATGGCTGATGTATATACAGAACCTCTCTGCAAGTGGAAGGGGATGGGTTCAACAGAACAATCTCTTTAGAGGCAGGCACATGGATGTCTCAGGCCTGGAGTGGGGCATGTGGATTTTCTTAGCTTATAATTTTAAGCAATTTACTAACAATTTTTAAATTTACATTTTTATTATATGGACATATATATCCACAAGGGCACATACCTATATTCCTTAAAAAAAAGCAGTTATCTTTAACCTGCCTTCCTCCCAGCCTGCCTTCAGCAAGTCTTCTCTCTGCACTCACCTTCATCACACTTTCTTAGCTGGTTCTTTTAGCATTAATATCCAAATTAGTTTATATTGCTATTTCTTATTTACATCCTATTACGAATGATGACCTAGTTCTACTACACCTAACCCTGATACAGGTAGTTACCTCTCCCATCCTCCCATACAGTTGTTTATAATTTTGTAGTTATCACTATGCAGTTCTTATGATATGAAGATGTGAAGAGATGAATGATCTAACAAAAATAACAAGAAATTCTTCTTTGCCATTTACTCTGTGCAAGAGAGCAAGTTTATTTCCTTTCTTCCTCATTCCTATTTTTGGAGTTCAAAAATGTATTTCACACCCTCTTTCTAATTATTCAACTATTTTAATGCATCTTTCACACTTCACCTACCAAATATGTTTCCTCCTAGCACACTAAAAACAAACAAACAAACAAAAAACAAGTTCACTAATCAATTTTATCTTTTCTCGGATATCACTCTTGGAGTCTTTCCTCCAGCTGTTCCAATCTGATTGTTGTCAGGTCCAGTAAGCAACATCATCCCGGCAGCTACATTTATCACCATCCCATGGATTCCCTTCAAGGCTCTTCTTGGTAGCAACCCTCTTATGGTGGGGAGGGGGAAAGATGGAGGGGAAATTTTTTTATTTCTTGGCTGAATTCTTCATTTTGCCAGAGCAATTCTTCAAGTCACTTTCTGAGAAATGATTTAAGAAATGAGTGTTTGATCTATTGATTATCTGAAAATATTTTTATCCTATTTTCAAACTTAAGAGCTTAATGATGCCTAGAATTCTAGGATGAAATTTAGTTTTTCTCTAAAGTTTGATGATGATGCTTCATTGACTTCCAATGTTGCCATTGAGAAGTCTGAGGCCATTCTGATTTCTGAAACTTGCAGCTTTTCCTCCCTCCCTTTCTCTCTCTCTCTCCCCCTCTTTCTCTCTTTCTTTTTAAACATAGTTTTCTTAAATTCCATTAAGTGCTTTGATGTGTATCTTTCTTTATCTATTGTGCTGGACAGCAAATTATACCTCTACATCTGAAAGTTCAGTTATTTTGGTTCTTTGATATTTTATTATTTATTTGATAGTTTCTTTCTCTTTGTTTCTTCTGTTTTTTGTTTTTAATTCATATTGTTTTACTATTAAACCTCCTGCTAATCTTCTTATCCTTTCTTTCCTATTTTATATTTTAATCTATATTTCCTGTGGTAAAGATTTTTCATATTTACTATTATATTTCTAATTTCTTAAGTTTCTCTTTTGCTATCTGAATGTTTGTCTGTTAGTAGTCTTCCATGCTTTTTCTTCAGAGTGGCAACATCTTCAATTTTGTCCCTAGGATATTAAGTAAAGCCTTTGGAGTCTTCTTATCCTCTCTTCCCTCCTTAATTTCTCTGACTTTTCTTTGTTTGTTTTGGTCTCTTTCACATCAAATGATTTTCTGAAATGACTACTGGTTTTTTCTTATATGTTTATGTTTAAAACAAACACACAGAATCTTGATTGGAAATGTTGTGTTTGGAGGAAAAGAAAACTTGTTGTCAAGTAGGATTCATAGTACGGTAATGTGATAGTTAATTTCTGCCAGTCTTCAGCTATGACACTGATCTCCTGACTTCTGACTTTGACTTGGATTGAACCACAACTTTGGCTCTCTTGTGTCTCCATGTTGCTGACTGAAGATCTTGGGACCTCTTAGACTTCATAATCTTGTGAGTTAATTCCTTATATTCTCTCTCTTTCTCTATCTGTCATTTTATCACTAATGCATGTGACCTAGTGGGACCCCCAAAATTCTGGGTAGATCCATATAACTCAAAGTTTATACTTATTTTAATAATGAAATCATCTGTCTCTTACCTGGAAAATATACACCTGGCTGCAAACATTTTCAAAAATGACTGAGGGAAAGGGTTAGATATGGTTGGTTTTCCATATGATACCTTCTGTTGTCACGTGTCCTAGGCCTCCATCCCCACCATCCACTCCTGTGATTAATGTCACCAAAAGGGAATCCTGAAAACCAATAGGTACTTATATAAACTTTCAATTACCACATTTCTATCCTTACTGCTACGTCTGCTTTCAGAGTCTGAAGGCTTTCCAATTCATCTTGCTTTTTCTGGGTTCTAAAGGAGATCAGCTTGTTTTTTTGGTGTCTGTGTCGCTTGAGTTTCCACTTTATCAGAGCAGGCACATTAGTTACCATTTGTCTATTGGCATTACTTTTCTCAAGTTTTTTCTTTGCCTTTGTTAGTTTTGCCTCCTTTTTGCAACCTACTGGGTCTTCAAAGTAGAAGGTGTAAATCAATCTTTAAAATCATGTGTCAGAGGACATTCCAAATATTTTTATTTCAAGGACGGCAAAACTAATTCCCCAAAAATGCAAATTAAAGTAAAAACAAAAATGATGCTACTTTTTAGATATGAAGTGAGAGCCATTGACATCGACTGCATTTGCCCTGGTAATGGTATAATCAGAATTTGGACAGAGCCAAATGTTAGTTTCTGCAATTATTCTGTAACTATTGATGTTCAAAGAGCTGGTTAAAGTAAAGAGACTTTAATGATTTTTCTGATCATCCTTCATGTGAAAAGTAAACACATTCAAATAGAAACTAAGGAATCCTTCATTTAAGTTTCCAAGCAGTTCTTTCTTTAAGGTAGAAAATACATTGTCTGAGGACACCAACGTAGTAGTTTCAGAAGTTATTGTCATCACTATAAACCAATTATTTCTGTATTTTATGATCGGTCTTAAGGAGTTTTTTATGTAAGCCTACACCTAAAAAGCAGATGCATTCTTGATATGCTGACAAACCAAGTTTTGAGTAAGCAAAGTTTAAGGGCAGACTGTGAACCAACACAATTTCAGCGAGGTAAATGTGGTGCTGAGTCTTCCTGGGAGGCAGCCAGTTAGCATTCCCAGGCCAGCATAC
Organism: Homo sapiens; assembly: GCF_000001405.40. Classification (NCBI taxonomy): domain Eukaryota; kingdom Metazoa; phylum Chordata; class Mammalia; order Primates; family Hominidae; genus Homo; species Homo sapiens. Next base: position 44,052,623 of record NC_000004.12, on the reverse strand, counting down.
TCCCTAGCCTTGTCTGGTGGCCAGTATTCATTTCTTTAAAGAACACCTTCAGCTGTAATTTTTTGAGAGCCAACTATGTGCTAAGAACTCTGTTAGATGCTTTATGTACATTGAATTTAATCTCACAAGTATGGAAGAAATTTTGTAGGCTAGAAATTGAAGTCTGCCAATTATTAACTAATAACTGGATTCATACTAAGATGTGTGATCTAAAGCCCATGCTCTTTGTACTTGGAGAGTTATTCAAAATTATTTCTTATATGATAGGAATATAATAATAATTTAAAATTATTCAGTATTTTTATGTTACTAAGTAAGCATTTTTTATTTATTTATTTATTTATTATTATTATACTTTAAGTTTTAGGGTACATGTGCACAATGTGCAGGTTAGTTACATATGCATACATGTGCCATGCTGGTGCGCTGCACCCACTAACTCGTCATCTAGCATTAGGTGTATCTCCCAATGCTATCCCTCCCCCCTCCCCCCACCCCACAACAGTCCCCAGAGTGTGATGCTCCCCTTCCTGTGTCCATGTGTTCTCATTGTTCAATTCCCACCTATGAGGGAGAATATGTGGTGTTTGGTTTTTTGTTCTTGTGATAGTTTACTGAGATTGATGATTTCCAATTTCATCCATGTCCCTACAAAGGACATGAACTCATCATTTTTTATGGCTGCATAGTATTCCATGGTGTATATGTGCCACATTTTCTTAATCCAGTCTATCATTGTTGGACATTTTGATTGGTTCCAAGTCTTTGCTATTGTGAATAATGCCGCAATAAACATACGTGTGCATATGTCTTTATAGCAGCATGATTTATAGTCCTTTGGGTATATACCCAGTAATGGGATGGCTGGGTCAAATGGTATTTCTAGTTCTAGATCCCTGAGGAATCGCCACACTGACTTCCACAATGGTTGAACTAGTTTACAGTCCCACCAACAGTGTAAAAGTGTTCCTATTTCTCCACATCCTCTCCAGCACCTGTTGTTTCCTGACTTTTTAATGATTGCCATTCTAACTGGTGTGAGATGGTATCTCATTGTGGTTTTGATTTGCATTTCTTTGATGGCCAATGATGATGAGCATTTTTTCATGTGTTTTTTGGCTGCATAAATGTCTTCTTTTGAGAAGTGTCTGTTCATGTCCTTCGCCCACTTGTTGATGGGGTTGTTTGTTTTTTTCTTGTAAATTTGTTTGAGTTCATTGTAGATTCTGGATATTAGCCCTTTGTCAGATGAGTGGGTTGTGAAAATTTTCTCCCATTCTGTAGGTTGCCTGTTCACTCTGATGGTAGTTTCTTTTGCTGTGCAGAAACTCTTTAGTTTAATTAGATCCCATTTGTCAATTTTGTCTTTTGTTGCCATTGCTTTTGGTGTTTTAGACATGAAGTCCTTGCTCATGCCTATGTCCTGAATGGTAATGCCTAGGTTTTCTTCTAGGGCTTTTATGGTTTTAGGTCTAACATTTAAGTCTTTAATCCATCTTGAATTGATTTTTGTATAAGGTGTAAGGAAGGGATCCAGTTTCAGCTTTCTACATATGGCTAGCCAGTTTTCCCAGCACCATTTATTAAACAGGGAATCCTTTCCCCATTTCTTGTTTTTCTCAGGTTTGTCAAAGATCAGATAGTTGTAGATATGCGGCATTATTTCTGAGGGCTCTGTTCTGTTCCATTGATCTATGTCTCTGTTTTGGTACCAGTACCATGCTGTTTTTTTTACTGTAACCTCGTAGTATAGTTTGAAGTCAGGTAGCGTGATGCCTCCAGCTTTGTTCTTTTGCCTTAGGATTGACTTGGCCATGCAGGCTCTTTTTTGGTTCCATATAAACTTTAAAGTAGTTTTTTCCAATTCTGTGAAGAAAGTTATTGGTAGCTTGATGGGAATGGCATTGAATCTGTAAATTACCTTGGGCAGTATGGCCATTTCCACGATATTGATTCTTCCTACCCATGAGCATGGAATGTTCTTCTGTTTGTTTGTATCCTCTTTTATTTCCTTGAGCATTGGTTTGTAGTTCTCCTTGAAGAGGTGCTTCACGTCCCTTGTAAGTTGGATTCCTAGGTATTTTATTCTCTTTGAAGCCATTGTGAATGGGAATTCACTCATAATTTGGCTCTCTGTTTGTCTGTTGTTGGTGTATAAGAATGCTTGTGATTTTTCTACATTGATTTTGTATCCTGAGACTTTGCTGAAGTTGCTTATCAGCTTAAGGAGATTTTGGGCTGAGACAATGGGGTTTTCTAGATATACAATCATGTCGTCTGCAAACAGGGACAATTTGACTTCCTCTTTTCCTAATTGAATACACTTTATTTCCTTCTCCTGCCTAATTGCCCTGGCCAGAACTTCCAACACTATGTTGAATAAGAGTGGTGAGAGAGGGCATCCCTGTCTTGTGCCAGTTTTCAAAGGGAATGCTTCCAGTTTTTGCCCATTCAGTATGATATTGGCTGTGGGTTTGTCCTAGATAGCTCTTATTATTTTGAGATACATCCCATCAATACCTAATTTCTTGAGAGTTTTTAGCATGAAGGGTTGTTGAATTTTGTCAAAGGCCTTTTCTGCATCTATTGAGATAATCATGTGGTTTTTGTCTTTGATTCTGTGTATATGCTGGATTACATTTATTGATTTGCATATATTGAACCAGCCTTGCATCCCAGGGATGAAGCCCACTTGATCATTGTGGATAAACTTTTTGATGTGCTGCTGAATTCGGTTTCCCAGTATTTCATTGAGGATTTTTGCATCAATGTTCATCAAGGATATTGGTCTAAAATTCTCTTTTTTGGTTGTGTCTCTGCCCGGCTTTGGTATCAGGATGATGCTCGCCTCATAAAATGAGTTAGGGAGGATTCCCTCTTTTTCTATTGATTGGAATAGTTTCAGAAGGAATGGTACCAGTTCCTCCTTGTACCTCTGGTAGAATTCGGCCGTGAATCCATCTGGTCCTGGACTCTTTTTGGTTGGTAAGCTATTGGTTATTGCCCCAATTTCGGCTCCTGTTATTGGTCTATTCAGAGATTCAACTTCTTCCTGGTTTAGTCTTGGGAGCATGTACGTGTCAAGGAATTTATCCATTTCTTCTAGATTTTCTAGTTTATTTGCATAGAGGTGTTTGTAGTATTCTCTGATGGTAGTTTGTATTTCTGTGGGATCAGTGGTGGTATCCCCTTTATCATTTTTTATTGCGTCTATTTGATTCTTCTCTCTTTTTTTCTTTATTAGTCTTGCTAGCGGTCTGTCAATTTTGTTGATCCTTTCAAAAAACCAGCTCCTGGATTCATTAATTTTTTGAAGGGTTAGTAAGCATTTTTTGATAATTTATGTAGAAGTAGATTAGTCTAGATCTTTACATTACTAGATTTATAATATGATATTGAGGTTGAGAAAATGTTGAGTAGACTATAGTGTTTGGAATTCATTCAATTTACCGACAAGGAATGTACTATCTTTGGTTTTTAATGAAATATATGCTTAGTCACGCAGTCCCATAGGGGTCTGTGATTCTGGCACAGCCATATTATTTCCAATTGCTTCTTTTACTAAGATATGGGAATCATTCTATATTTTGGAAAAAAAAAAAAAAACTCTGAGATGGTCTCAAGCCTGGTCTGCTTAGTTATATCAAGGAGTTGTTTCTTTTCGGGGGATTGCTTTCTCATAATCTCTATGAAGAACTCTCTGCTTCTGTATCCCAAAATCTGCTTGGGATTTGCCGTCTCTCCAGACACCTTTTAAAGGAGCTCGATATCATTCCCTTTTCTCAGGGATCATCAGGGTTTGTAAAATCACTGTGAACACTTAGGCTCCCTCCAACTAAAATAAGTTTAACGTTGGCAATAAGAGATAAGTTACTCTTATTCAAAATTCTTTCCCCTCCAAATTTGTCTACGATATACACTATTTATTTTCCTATGTGGGACTACATTTGAAAGTTAAAGCTCAGAACAAAATGTATTTTTTGTCATGTGACACTGAATACAGCAGAGACTGGCTGCTTTAATGGTGATAAAAAGAAAGTAGAATATAATGCTAGATAATTTTTAGTTAATATTTTTAAAATATTCCTGTTAGGAAGTAACAAAATTATTAGCAGTTCTTTTTTGGTAAGACTGTTTTCTCATATTTTTCTGTCACTGAAGAAAAAATTGTTTCATTAAAACACTGTCATCCACAGTAAAAAATATTATTACTGTTGTAGAGCACTAATTTCCAAATTTACTTTTTATGGGGGAATGGGGAATGCACACTTACTGTAGGATTCTATAAAAGAGGTAGAGAAGGAATTATCATTTCTTTCTTGTTGACAGTTATATATTTTAAGAAGGAAAGCATGTTGTATTAGATAAGATTCTTAAACATAAAACTGCTTCTGATTTATTAAATTCCATTGAAGTGACTAATTGGTTCACCGAAGCCTTCTGTTCAATGAATCCTTCATTCTGGGTGGCCATAGATAATAAATTAATCAATGTTTTGCCCTTGTGTGGCTGCCAAAAATAATCCTTTCCATGACTAAGCGTATTTTGATCATCTTCTTAGACAATCGGGACCTATAGTAATCCTCAGATTCTCATCATTTTCCTGACAGTTTTTGACAGAACATACAGGTTAGATTAACCAGGACGCACAACCTAAGAAGGAGTTAAAAGTACAAAAAATTGGCCGGGCGTGGTAGATCATGCCTGTAATCCCAGCACTTTGGGAGGCCAAGGCGGGCAGATCACTTGATGTCAGGAGATCAAGACCAGTCTGGTCAACATGGTGAAACCCCATCTCTACTGAAAATACAAAAATTAGCCGGGTATGGTGGTGCATGCCTGTAATCCCAGCTACTCTGGAGGCTGAGGCAGGAGAATGAGCTGAGATGACGCCACTGCACTCCAGCCTGGCGACAGAGTGAGACTCCGTCTCAAAAAAAAAAAAAAAAAAAAAAAAAAGTGCAAGAAATTTGTTGGAAATAGTGCCCGTGAAGGGTAAAAGGGAAAGAGATAGACTAGCAAAATCTTCAGACCATCATAAAAGTTTGATAGCTATGAAAAGAGTAAAGGAAGAAAGAATAAGAAGTTAGAGTTTCAGGTTTAGTGTGGCTCTGAAAGTGTCTTGGAGACTTACAGGAAGCCCAAGCTCCAATATTGTCTATAGACAAGTCTCACATTGGGCAAACCTGGGCAAGCCCTAGCACACTTGCCATGCTTTATTGACCTTTGGCTGAGAAGTGTGCAGCAAAAGAGAGGCTTTGGTCCAAATGTTCCAGTATGTCTTAGCTGGGTGCCTCAGTTGCAGCAGATTGGAAAGTACTTTCCTGGAAGGGTTATCCTGGTGGTGCACCTTCCTGGCTCCCATGCAGAACCTTAATTTCAAGTATCAGAAATGGACTTTAGTAGCCTTTTAAAAAAATTCTTATTTTTAATTTTTGTGGGTACATATGTTTATATGTTTATGGGGTACATGAAGTTTTGATACAGGCATGCAATGTGCAATAATCATATCATGGAAAATGGGGTATCCATCCCCTCAAGCATTTACCCCTTTTGTTACAAAAAGTCCAATCGTACTCTTTTAGTTATTTAAAAATGTACAATTAAATTATTTTCATTATAGTCACCTTGTGCTGCAAAATATTAGGTATTGTTCATTCTTTCAAACTATTTTTTTGTACCCATAAACAACTTCCACCTACCCCTTCCCCAACCCCTACTACCCTTCCCAGTCTCTGGTAACCATCCTTCTACTCTCTATCTCTATGTATTCAATTGTTTTGATTTTCACATCTTATAAGTAAGTGAGAACATGTGATGATGGCCTTTCTGTGCCAAGCTTATTTTAGTTAACACAATGACGTCCAGTTCCATTCATGTTGTTGCAAATGACAGGATCTCATCCTCGTTTATGGATGAATAGTACTCCATTGTGTAGATGCACCACAATTTCTTTATCCATTCATCTGTTGATGAATACTTCGGTTGCTTCCAAATCTTGGCTATTGTGAACAGTGCTGCAGCAAACATGGGAGTGCAGATATATTTTCAATATACTGATTTCGTTTCCCTTGGGTATACACACAACAGTGGGATTGCTGGATCATATGGTAGCTCTGTTATTAGTTTTTTGAATGATCATACTAACTTACATTCCCACCAACAATGTACAATAGTTCCTATTTCTTCATATCCTCTCCAGCATTTTTTACTGCCTGTCTTTTGGATGCGAGTCTTTTAACTGGGATGAAGTGACATCTCATTGTAATTTTAATTTGTATTTCTCTGATGATTAATGATGTTGAGCACCGTTTTATATGCCTATTTGCCATTTGTATGTCTCCTTTGGGCAATGTCTATTCAAATCTTTTGTCCATTTTTAAATTGAAATATTATATTTTTTCCTATTGGTTGAGCTTCTTATATATTCTGTTTATTAATCCTTTGTCAGATGGGTAGTTTGCAAGTATTTTCTTCCATTCTGTGGGTTGTCTCTTCACTTTGTTGATAATTTTCTTTGCTGTGCAGAAGCATTTTAACTTGATGTGGTTCCATTTGTTCATTTTTGCTTTGGTTGCCTGTGCTTGTGGGGTATTACTAAAGAAATCTTTGTCCAGTCCAATGTCCTGGAGAGTTTCCACAATTTTTTCCTAGTTTGAGGTCTTAGATTTAAGTCTTCAATCCATTTTGATTTTTTTTTAATATGGTGAGAGAGATGTCTTTAGTTTTATTTTGTACACATGGATACTCAGTTTTCCCAGCACAATTTATTGAAGAGACTTTTCTTTCCCTGATGTTTGTTTTTGGCACAGTTGTCGAAAATGAGTTGATTGTAGATGTATGGATTTTTTTTTTTTTCTGTGTTCTCTATTCTGTTCCACTGGTCTATGTGACTGTTTTTATGCCAGTATCATGCTGTCTTGGTTATTATAGCTCTGTAGTATAATTTGAAATGAGGTAATGTGATTTCTACAGGCTGGTTCTTTCTGCTTAGGATGGGTTTGGCTATTCTGGGTCTTTTGTGGTTCTATATGAAGTTTAGAATTCTTTTTTCTATTTCTGTGAAAAATGTCATCGGTATTTTGATATAAACTGCATTGAATCTGTAGATTTCTTTGTGTAGTATGGACGTTTTAACAATATTTATTCTTCCAATCCATGAACATGGAATATCTTTCCATTTCTTTGAGTAATTTATATTCTTTTCATAAGTGTTTTATAGATTTCATTGTAGAGATCTTTCTCTTCTTTAAATTAATTTCTAAGTATTTATTTTTATTTGTGTTTATTGTAAATGGAAATACTTTTTAATTTCTTCTTCAGATTGATCACTGTTCTGCAACTTTACTAAGTTTATAAATTCTAATACTTTTCTTGTGGAGTCTTTAGGCTTTTCCAAATATAAGATTATATCGTCTGCAAACAAGGATAATTCAACGTCTTCCTTTCCAATTTGGATGCATTTTATTTATTTATCTAGTCTGATTGCTCTACCTAGTACTTTCACTATTATGTCGAATAACAGTTTTGAAAGAGGATATCCTTGTCATGGTCTGGAATTTAGAGGAAAGGTTTGTGGTTTTTCCCCATTCAGTATAATACTAGCTGTAAGTCTTTTGTATATGCTTTTTATTATGTTGAGCTATATTTCCTCTATTGCCAGTTTTTATGGATTTTATCATAAAGAAATGTTAAATTTTAGCAAATGCTTTTTCAGCATCAATTGAAATGATCATGCAGTTTTTGTCCTTCATTCTGTTGACATAAGGCATAACATGATTTATTTGCATATGTTGAAGCATCCTTGCATTTCTGGAATAAATCCCACTTAGGCATGATGAATAATCTTTGTAGTGTGATGTTGAATTCGGGTTGCTAGTATTATGTTGAGGATTTTTGCATCATTATTTATCAGTGACATTGGCCTATAGTTTTCTGATTTTGATGTGTCTTTGGTTTTGGTATCAGGGTAATACTGGCCTTGTATAATGAGTTTGGAAGTATTTCCTCCTCCTCTATTTTTCAGAATAGCTTAGGTAGGATTGGCATTAATTCTTCTTTAAATGTTTGGTAGAATTCAGCAGTGGATCCTTCAGCTCTTGGACTTTTCTTTACTGGGTAACTTTTTATTTCACCTTTGGTCTTGTTACTTGTTATTGGTCTGTTCAGGTTTTGGATTTCTTCCATCTTGGTAGGTTATATGTGCCTAGAAATTTATCCATTTTCTCTAGAGTTTTCAATTTAGTGGCATATTGTCACTCATAGTAACGCTAATGACCCTTTGAATTTCTGCAGTATCAGTTGTAATTCTACTTTGTCATCTCTGATTTTGTTTATGTGGGTCTTCTCCCCTTTCTTCTTTATTAGTCTGGCTAAAGATTTGTCAATTTTGTGTATCTCTTTAAAAAAAAAACTTTTTGTTGGTCTTTTATAGTTTTCTGCATTTCAAAGTTATTTATTTATGCTCTGATTTTAGTATTTTTTTTCTTCTACTAATTTTGGGTTTGGTTTGCTCTTGCTTTTCTAGTTCTTTAAGATGCATCAGTAGGTTATTTGAAGCTTTTCTTCTTTTTTGATGTTAACACTTACAGCTGTAAAATTCCCTCTTAGTACTGCTTTTACCATATTCAATAGGTGTTGTATATTGTGTTTCCATTGTCATTTAAGTAATTTTTCTATTTCCTTCTTAATTTCTTCATTGACCCACTAGTCATCCAGGAGCATATTGTTTAATTTTCATGTGCTTATTAAAAGTTTTACTCCATTATTTTCAGAGAAGATGCTTGATATTATTTCAATTTTTTGAATATTATAAGACTTGTTTTGTGACCTAACATGTGGTCTATTCTTCAGAATGATTCTTTTGCTGAGAATAATATGTATTTTGCAGCCTTTGGATGACATGTTCTATAAATATCTATTAGGTTCATTTATTCTATAGTGCAGATTAAGTCTGATGTTTCTTTGTTGAATTTATGTTTGGGAGGTCTCTCCAATACTGAAACTAGGGTGTAGAAATCTCCAGCTATTATTATACTAAGATCTATCTCTCTCTTTAGCTCTAATAATATTTGCTTTATACATCTGAGTGTTCTAGTGTTGGGTGCATATACAGTTATAATCATTATGTCCTCTTGCTTGATTCCTTTTTTTCACTATATAATGATCTTCTTTATCTCTTCTTACAGTTTCCATCTTACATATTTTTTCTTATATGAGCATAGCTATTCCTGCTCTTTTATGTTGTTCATTGTCATAGAATATCTTTTTCCAGCCCTTTATTTTCAATCTATGTGTATCTTTTTAGGTGAATTGTTTTTCTTATAGGCAACAGATCAGTTGGGTCTTGTTTATTCATTTATTCAGCCAGTCTTATGTCTTTGATTGGAGAATTTAGTTTGTTACGCTCAATGTTATGACTAAGTAGAAACTTACTCTTGCCATTTTATTTTATGGTCTTCTCTTCCTTCTTTCCTTTCTTCCTGTCTTCCTTTTAGTGAAAGATATTTTCTCTAGTGGTAAGACTCAATTTCTTCTTTTTTTATTTTTTGTGTATCTGTTGTACATTTTTCAAATTGTGGTTACCATAAAACTTGCAAATATTATCTCATAACCCACTACTTTAACTGATGACAACACTGATTTCATAAACAAACATGCAAAATGAAAACTAATAAAACTTCTACACTTTAACTTCATCCTCTACTTTTAAATTTTTGTTGTTTCTCTTTATGTCTTATTGTACTATGTCTTGAAAAATTGTTGTAGTTATTTTTATTGGTTCCTCATTTAGTGTTTCTACTTAAAATAAGAGTAGTTTGCAAACCACAATTACAGCATTGTAATATTCATTGTTTTCCTGTGTGTTAACTATTACCAGTGAATTTTGTACTTTCAGATGATTTCTTCTTGCTCATTAACATTCTTTTCTTTCTCATTGAAAAACTCCTTTTAGCATTTTTTGTAGGACTGGTGTTGATGAAATCCCTAAGCTTTTATTTGCCTGGGAAGGCCTTTATTTCTCCTTTGTGCCAGAAGAACGTTTTTGCTGGATATACTATTTTAGGGTAAAAGTTTTTTCCTTCAGCACTTTAAATATGTCATTCTACTCTCTCCTGACCAGTAAGGTTTGCAATGAAAAATCTGCTGTCAGACTTACTGGGGCTTCATTTTATGCTATTTGTTTCTTTTCTCTTGCTGCTTTTAGGATCCTTTCTTTATCCTTGACCTTTGGGAGTCTGAGTATTAGATGCCTTGTGGTAGTCTTCTTTGGGTTAAACCTACTTGGTGTTTTATAACCTTCTTGTACTTGAGTGCTGACATTTTTCTAAGTTTGGGAAGTTCTCTGATATTATTTATTTGAATAAATTTTCTACCCCTCTCTGTTTCTCTACTTCCTCTTTTATGCCAGTAACTCTTAGATTTGCCCTTTTGAGGCTATTTTCTAGATCTTGTAGGCATGCTTTCTTACTTTTTTCTTTTGTATTCTCTGATTGTGCATTTTTAGATAGGCTGTCTTCAAGTTTACTAATTCTTTTTTCTCCTTGATCAATTCTGCTATTAAGTGACTCTGATGTATTTGTCAGCATTTTTCAATTGCATTTTTCAACTCTAAAATTCATATTTGATTCTTTTTTATTATATCAATCTCTTTGTTACATGTATCTGATAGAATTCTGAATTCCTTCTCTGTGTTATCTTAAATTTTTTTGTTACCTCGACACAGCCATTTTAAATTCTCTGTCTAAAATGTCACATATCTCTGTTTCTTTAGGACTGGTCCTTGGTCCTTTATTTAGTTCATTTGGGGAGATCATGTTTTCCTGGATGATCTTGATGCTTGTAGATATTCATCTGTTTCTGGGCCTTAATGAGCTAGGTATTTATTCTTTGCAGCCTAGGCTTTTTTTGTGCCAGTCCTTATTGAGAATGCTTTCCAGGTATTTGAAGGGACTTTAGCTTTAAGTCCAATATTGCTCTTGTTTTTGCAGACTCATAGGGGGTATAACTTTGGTGGTCTTTAATAATATCTGGAAGAATTCTATGGACTACCAGACAGAAACTCTTGTTCTTTTCCTTTACTTTCTCCCAAGCAAATTGAGTCTCTCTCTCTGCACTATGCTGTTTGGAACTGGGGATGTAGCAATGTAATTACCCATAGGGCCACCACCACTGGGAATGCACTATGTCAGACCTGAAGCCAGTACAGCACTGGATCTTGCCTAAGGCCTGCTGTAACTACTACCTGGCTACTACTTATGTTCACTCTAGGCCCTAGGGCTCTATAATCAGCAGATGGCAAGGCCAGGTAGGTCTGTTCTCCTCCCTTCAGAGCAGTGAGTTCCCCCAGGCACTGGGCACATCCAGAGATGCTTTCTGCAACCCAGGAATTGGTGCCAAAATCCTTATAAATTTGCCTGATATTCTATTCTCTCGTGGCTAAGCTGGCACTCAAACCGCAATATGAACTCCATCTTGCGCTTTCCTATCCATAGGTGGAAGAGCCTTTCCCTCTGGGCACCACCACCATGGGCTTACAGGGGGGTTCTGCCAGGTCACTGGCAATGTTCACTTAAAGCCCAAGGGCCTTTCAGTCAGCTTGTGTCGAATCCTGCCAATCCTGGGACTCATGGTTCACAGCAGTGGGCTCCCCTCTGGCCCAGGGCAAGTCCAGAAATGCTGTACAACAGCCTAGGTCTGGATTCAGGGACTCCAAGAGCTGGCTAGTTACTCTACCCCATCGTGGCTGAGCTGATACTTAAGGGTGCAAGACAGAGTCCCCGTTACTTTCCCCTCTGTATTTTTCAAACAGAAGGAGTGTTTCATCATAGCCATCACAACTGGGAGTGTGCTGGGTCACATCTGTACTAAGCATGCCTCAGAGCCGAAGGCCCATAGCTTACTATGTGGTTATTGCTGCTGGTTATTCAGGGCCAAGAGCTCCTTTGTAAACAGATGATGAATCCTTCTAGGACTGGGTGCTTAGTTCAAGGCAGTGAGTTCCCCTTTGTCCCAGGGTATGTCTAGAAATGCCTGGAAGTGATGGCCTGGAATGGTGGCCTCACATCTTTCCCAGTGCTATATTCTACTGTGGCTGAGCTGGTATCCAAGATGCAAGACAAAGTCCTCTTTACTCTTCACTCTCCACCCCTTGGACAGAAGGAAGGAACAATTTTTGTTGCTGTAAGCTGCACTGCCTGGCATTGTGGGAGGGATGGAATAAGTACTTCTTTAGCCACGCTGGCTGGTGTCTCCCTAGGCCACTTGCCACCCTCATCCTCTGGCTTTGAGTCCAGCCCAGCACTAGGAGTTGCCTAGGAGTTGCAGTCCTTTTGCCCTAGACTGCCTTTAAAGTTTACCTAGGACCCCAGAGCACTTTAGTCCATAGCGGCAAGGCTTGCCAAGAAACTTGAATAGTGACTGATAAATGGGTGGTTCCCCTTTACCCAGGTCTGGTCCAGATGTTTCTCCATGCATAGGCACTGGCTGAATCCAGCATGGCTTTACTCTTTATTATGATAGGGCAGCACTGAGTTCAATGTAATGTCCCCCAGTCACTATGCTCTTCCTTCTCCAAATGCATAGACTCTCCACTCCATGTGGCCACTGCAAATGAATAAGAGAGGGGTGACATCTATGATTCAAGACTGTCTGCCCTGTCCTCTTCAATGCCTCCTTCCATGATAAGAAGTTAAAACCAGGTACTGCGATTACTTACCTGATTTTTGGTTCCTGAAATGATGGTTTTTTGTGTGTGCAGATAGTTGTAAAAATTTAGTGTTCTTATTGGGGTTATGAGTGGTGTAGGCTTCCATTCCACCATCTTGCTCTAAGCATTTCTGTAGTAAGCTTTTTTAAAAGAAACTTATTGAAAAGTTATCAGGTTATCGCAGAACTGCTTAAAGATTAGGAGAACAGGTTCAGAAAATGAATTAGAAAAAAAGAGAAGTTGGGCAGTTGGTATTTCAAACACAGACTTGATTAGGGAGGAAAAAGAAGCCATTGATATGGAAGCAATGGAGGTTTTAACCAGAACCTATTTGCATATGCCCCAGAAGCTGGATGTTCTGGTCAGAAACCATTTAGCAAAACAGAGCTTATATGAGAGAGTTCAAAAAAGTTCCTTCTATTTCCATACAAGGAACTTATTACAAAGGTGTTAGAAGAGCCCGAGAGCCACCCAGCGTTTCAGTGAGACAATCAGGAATTAGTCATTACCACTTTTAAGGCAGAAGGGGAAGATGAAGGGGCTACTGGACTCTAAGAACTAGGGCTTCCTGGCAGAAACTGACACAACAGCGATCAATCTACTTCTGTGGATTCCATAGCAAGTGGAGAAAGGGAGAAGGACAAATTCTCTGTTTTATCCTTTCCTCCTGCCCGCCCATCTTCCTCCAGGGCTTCCCATTGCCTGACTCTAACTGAAGCCTCTTGTTAGGGGATCCTAGAAAGCATAATTTTAAAGGACCAGGGAAGGGAACACAACTAGGAGCAAATGAATAAAAATCTGGCACTTAGAGTGATGCTCTCTCCCTAGGTGTGGTATTTATAAGCCCAGAAGATAAGCAGTGGAGTGGCAAAAGACAGCCACACTAACTTTCTGATTGAGTCAGTTTGAACACCCTAATATTAATGGCTTCCTCTGTGGTGAAGTTCTTAGTAAATGTTCATGTGGCACAGAATCATTCCCACGGCTTGAACCTATTCCTGAGTTGTACATCTTTTAATATCTTCTCTAAAGCTTCTAGCTCCTCCCAAATTCCAGAAAATTCCAGGAAGTCCATAACACATTGACTAGAAATTAGCGTGTATTTTTTACATTAGAGTATCTCTTCATCGTATAAAAGAGACAGCAAGAAATGCTAGTAAAACTTTATCCTAGTGTGAAAATATCAATTTTTGTCTGCCCTTTTCTACTGATTTCTACAGTTTCACATCTGGAATAGCAGCTGCAATCAGAAACCCCACCTAATTAAGCTTACAATAATCCAGTCATTCTCAAAGACCCATCTGTCTTTGAAACTGGTCAAATCAGAGAGTTAAATGGGCCGTTATATAAATCATTACTCTGCATCTTCAGAGTCTTTCATGGTGGTACTTATCTCTGACTTTTCTAGTGATATAGTATTGCTTCTTATTTATAGTTTTCTTAGAGAAGATAAACTATAGTAGCTTGGCTCCTCCTTTTATAACTTTTACCCAAGATTCTGCCAACTGCTTATATTATTTTCAGAAACCATACACTTTAGAAGTGGGGATGCCAAAAACAGACCAAAATTGCAGTTTTATTTAAGCCTCCATGACTTCTTACTTATTTGCTGGGAAATAGTATCAAGTCTGAGCCAGTTCCCAGTAGTAAATTTGACAAGTTCTTCTGGGGAAGGCTAGGAGGTATATTCTTAGTATTTATTTGTGATTTCATTATAGGATCTTTCCTCATAAGTGCCTGACATCCTCTTAATTCAAGGATACCAGGTCTGCTAAGGAATTTAGTTCTGGAGCGTTATTGAGAAGTTATGACTCTCCACTGTAGTGAATCGCTTCAGAATTCTGCACATCCAATTTGGATTTTTTTTTTAGCAATATAAATATAATATATAAAGCTGTATAAATACAGTATGATCCTTCCTAGTACACATTCTATATCAATGCTGTTGTCAAAGTGCTTGCTATAAAGATCACTAGAGGTTAAAGGATGGTAATAATTGTGATGTTCTGCTGCCTGAAGTGGTTATTCATACAAATCTGCTCCTAGTATTTATGTCACTCTTTTGATTCTCCTACCTAGTAACTTTCTGGCCACCAAAATCAGGGAGTCCATTTCACCTGCAGCATTGAAGCATCTCTAACACTCTAGCCCAATTAAATAATGTATTCATTTAAATAATTTCAAAGCTACTGGTGCTCCCAGCAACAACGCATTTCTCAAGGTCTATCTTGAGACGGGCATGTCTTCTGGGAAGTAGTTAGGTGGGTGGTTGAGCCATAACTGGCAAATCCACTCGAATATTCCTGCTTCACAGAATAATTAGATGCCTTCCTCTACATTATATCAAGTTTTTTTTTTTGGCATCACAACTCTATTTGGCAAAGGCCATGCTTTGGTAAACATTTCAGTTACCCAACTGAGAAAGCCAATAAAACCATTCTCAAATGTTCAGGGTCACACATTGATCCTGAGATCTGTAGTAAGTGCACACATATTAAAATTATAGCCTCATGCAACATTATTCTCCCCTATTTCTAGTGCCCTTAAATTAATTTTCCTTCTGGTTACTCAAATCTTTGCTAATATAAATTAACAAAGGTAATAAAAAAAGTTGGCATATGCCTCTTAGCTTTCCTGGGCTGACACTTTAACTTCCTTCTTACCATTTGGAAGCAGGCTATGACATGACTCTGGCTATGGATCTGGAGATAATGGGGAGGGCAAGGATGGAGTATGGAGAGAATTGGCTTCCTTTTTTATTATGACAGTGTCTTCTTCATGAAAGAATACATTTAAGACAAATGAGAAACAAGAAAATTTTGGCCAATTCTGTTTGTGGGCTCAGGGTGTGCTGAATTTTCTGAATCTCCCACAAAATGTCTATCCCAGTTCTGGATTCCTTTTTCCTTGTCAGTGCCATAGTCTTCATTTAACAATCCTGAAGCAGCTGTGAATTCACCTGATGTCAAACTTTGTTAATATCCAGGCTAAAACTGAGTGTGCTGTTTGAGATGTCAGTCCTGTGATACTGAAAGTTTGGCAATTACTTTAATATTGTTATAGTCTCAATGCTTCTTCCTGTACCTTGAGCCAAAATGATAGATATTTTGAAGACTTTCCCTTGTCATTCTCTTTTCTGAAGATATTTAGTGCTGTAAAGGCAGCCACCCATCCCACAGTTTTTGACTTTTTAATGCACTTCCTGTTTCAAAAGTACTAATAAAGGCCCTAAAAGTTTGCCTTCATTACAAGGAGGATAATAGACTGTTTTGTCAGGGTACAAAAAACAAGGGGTGCCAGATTCACCCACTACTGAATTTTCAGTCTTCAGGCCATATTATGTAAAACTCAGGACCTTGATAATGTTATTTAAGGGAGTTAAACAAGCAAATAAATCAATTTTAAATGTTGATTCCTAATATTATTTCAAAAGAGATTTATTTAATATTGATAGATCGAAAGAGGAAATTGTTAAAAATTGACTTTAATATATCATTTAAGAGATAGGAAAATTTTCAGACTATGGCAATTATCCTATTGTCCAGAAAAGTCAGATTCGTTATTGTCACTGTGAGTACCAAAAAAATAAAAAAACACTTATTTACTAGTTCAAAATAACGATCAACTTCCATAGTTTGTGCTCTCACCACTATTGATGTTTAAATATATATGAATGAGTGGTTAATCTTTATGCTTGTCATGAAATGTGAGAAAATAAGTTCCCAGTAAAACATACATAACATTTAACAAAGATTTAGAAACTGGAAGAAACACAGTATGTTGTGTTACTTTACTCCATAACTGTTGTCCAATGAAATTTAATTAAACTTTAGAGAAGGATGAGTATCTGGAAATGTTGGCAACATTATCAGCATATGAGTGTATGCAATCTAAAGTGAAAAGCATTCTCTTATACTACTTGCATTTGAAATTGTACGTGTTTTTAAATTGCATGTGTGGTAGGTATCGCAGGTTGCTTTCCTCCTCCTTCATTCCATCAACATTCCGGTAGTGTTCCCAATGCAAATATTGAAAAACTAAAAAATTACATTTACAATACTCCTTTATAGCTAAGGTTCTTGATGTTATTGATTTCCACCAGAAAGGTCCACCCATATGAAATTTGAAAAATCTAAGTGAGAATGATACCATTTTTTGGTCCTTTTGCTGTTTTCTCTGGGTAGGCAAGGTCCTGGAGATGTGAAATTTTTCTGCAGAAGTATTCCAGCTTCTTTTCTCCAGCTTCCTCATTGTAGATAGGCAGTTATCATGTGCCTGAGTCCAAGCACCAACTTTGTATGTTAGGAGACATTTGTGGTAGTGATGGCTTCTTGACTCTCTGGCTTTCTGCTGTCTGGAATGTAACTATGGCAGTATGATCATCATCTCAATGGCTTTTGTGGTGGCTTCAGTGAGAGTAGCTTTCTTGGCAGGCCAGTTCTTAGGGTTTGGGTGTCATTCCTTAAGTACCTGACTAGCATGAGTTTCTCCATTTCTTCCAGTGATTTTGGTATCATTTCATATTTCCCTTTATGAAATCTCTTTGTAAATAAATGCAGAGTGCTTTAGTGTTTTCTACTTTTTGCCTAGAATTTTGAGTGGTGAAACATTTTAAAATAATTTACCAGTTCATTTGTCTCCCCAAAATGAATTATAGAATCCAATAAAATGTAGGGAGGATGTCATTTGAAGATGAATGCATCTTTGAGAGGTAGGTCGTCAGATCTCCTTTCCCAGAAGAGTTTAGTTTTAGCTCATCTGTGACTTCCTTCGATATGTTATGACACAGGAAAGATGTAGCACAGAACAAACTGCAAGTCCTACTCAAGTGATTAGTAGGGGGAATCACCATCTTCTCTATGACCTTCAATCCTAACTCCTGAAAGCTAATTTTTCACTAATACATTCACGTCTCTGCTGCTATTACACCTTGACTTGAAATCTGGACAACAAGAAATCTAATATGTAATGCTAGAATTGCTTTAGATTCCCAAAGAGATGTGAAAATCAGATATGGGAAAACATATCCATCTGTCTAGTTTTCTAATTAGACTTCATTATATCCATTATCAAATGCTTTATTTGGTTTATTTCACTTCACTCAAAATAAGTGGGTATCTACTTCTCAGAGATGACTAGACTTTCACGTAGTGGTAAAGCCAAAATATTGTGATGGCTTTCCTGTATATTTGTCTTTTATTCATATGCATTAATGTTTATGAAGGTGGTAATTAGTGAACTATTTACTTTGCAAAAATATCCTCCTAGTAATCAGGAGTTCACATTGTACAATTATTACTAGATTCTTCAGTAACAAATAAAAAGCATTTGGAGCCATAAAATATATGCCATTTAATGAAATGAAAATGCTGGCTTGCCAGAGTATTATACATGATGACATACTGCTAGAAGGAAGTCCATTTGACTAAGAATGAATAAACACTGGTGTGAAATAAATCTGTTTCAGATTTCAAATACAGTTGTTTACAATATTGTACCTAAGGGTGAAAAACAAATAAGGTAAATGAATTTGAATATGCACTCTATGATTTTCCAGTTGTGTTATAATTAAGACTATAAAACACTGCCTTTAGCAAACAGCTATTGTGGGAATTCTTTCATGCAACCTTATGCAAGGTAGCCACATTTTATTTGTCTTGATTTCCTCTGACAACAATTGCAACCGTCTTCTGAGAGAAGGGGAAATATAATTTTATATAAAATTGTTTACAAAAACCCAAGTGCTATCAGGATTAGCTCATCCTGATTTGCGTCTGAGAAATACAGACCCTTTATGCGTCAAAAAATACATTTTTTTTCATAGACCAGAGAAAACCCATTTCCATGTTTTGAATGGAACCACCATGGCTCTGATGGTCACTGCTCAGGGTCTCAGGATATTGTAAATTATATACAGAATTGCACAAATTCTAAGATATGTGAGTGAGCTTAGTTGAATCTCTGCATTGTCAATATATCTGTCAATTCTTTTGTACACTATCCTGGACGTGACTATATTCACTTCATTTTAGCTTAAAGGATGGAATGCACCCACATCATATTCCAACATCAGTGCCCTGCTTGTAACACTTGTTATGGTAGCCACAGGCAACTTTCCAAAGCTATCTATGTATTCCCTACCAAATCCATTTTCTCCTACCCAACTGACTTTTCCTTACAGTTTCTTCCATTGTCCCTTCCTCTTTTTTCTATTATATCTGTCAGCAGTTCACACTGTTCATACATTTTGCCTTCTCTTCTTCATTCACACTCATTCTTTGGATAATTTTATATAGGCCTATGGCCATAAATACCATGTCTATGCTTATGATCACCAAATTAATATCACCAAACTAGACTCTCCCTTGTTTATAGACTTCTATGTTAAATTGCCTACTTATTACGGACACTTAAATTTAAACATGTTAATAAAAGAACTCCTGATTTGTGTCTCCAAATGTGCCCCCTTTCCCTGAGGTCTTCACCACCTTTTCATAAGAACACAATTCTAGGATAGTGTATGTTCTTTTTCCTTCACAAGTCCTCCAGTGTATTTCAAAACATCTCCAGAATTTAATCTCTTTTTACTGGGTCTATCAATGCTGCTCTGTTCAAGTCACTGTCAAGACCACTTGGGTTACTGTAGTATCTCCAACTGATCTCACTGCTTTCACACCTCCTCTCTCTGTCCCCATCACACTTAGCCTCAAGTCTATACTACATATAGGTTTAAAACATTTATCAAATTAACTGAAATTTGAATCCTTCTAATAACTTTCAAAGCATTTAGAATAATTCAAAGTCTTCTCTATGGCCTAAAAGACCCTCTGTGATCTGGCCTATGACAATCTGCATTACATGATGGCCTTTGAATTTTCTCAGCTCACTCAATTCTATCCCCATTGAGTGCTTGACTCTTTCTTGAACACTAACTTTGCTTTGGAGTCTTTACAGTTGCTTTTCTTCTCCAGTGTTATTCAACATCCCTAGTTATTCAACCTAAAATACAACAGAAAACATGCTTTCTTTTTGTTCATGTCACTGAGAAATTCCTCTTCAGGAGTACACTTTTATTTTATATTTTGCTTTCATTATGTGAATTTGCTTACTTATCTCTCCCTTTCCTCAAATAGAATATAGGTTCTGTAAGCACATACTCCTTTTCCTTGTTTACCACTGTGTCTACAGTGTCTATTCCCCAGAGCCTGGTGAATAGTAGATATTCAAGCACTATTTATTAAATAAATGTATAAATACAATTTATTTTTTCTTTCTACTCTAGGCCAGCCTCTCCTGAATATACTGACGCCAATGCCAATTCAATTCCCTCTTGACACACATTGTTCACATAACTTATTTATTTAAGTATATCCCACTCTCAGCTGGAAAATCATGATAGTTTTTCTTTGTCCTCTACTATCAATTTCAGCTGACTCTATATCTGACATTCTTTTAAAAGTGTCTGGTATTTCACTCTCTCCAAGTGCAAATATACTCTAGTAAATGGCTGACTCCCTTCAGGTAAATATCTGGGGAAGATTTATCACATATATTTCTGATAGAGCCTGGGTCTTTGAACTGGCTTAGATATGATAATGAGTAAGAGCCAGTTTTTCTTTGAGATAGTAGATGTTAAATTTCTCCTTGCAGGGCTTAAACTTTTTGGCTTTATTGATTTATTTTCTTTTTTTTTAGTGTAAGTCAATCGACGACCTAGTTTGCTGTCTATGGCTATTGGTTCCTTTGGTACAAAGTATTCTGATCATATTCTAACTTGTTGCTCATTATGGTAATTGCTATGACCTCAACTCCCCAATGCCGGCAGATTCAGCACATAATCTGGAGGTCCTCTGTGTCAACATCAGGGCTCTTATAAGGTAAGTGTAGGTCTTAAGGATTGGGAAGAGAATATTTAGGTGAGCTTCATTCCTTCAGGTGCAATCAAATGAATTCTGTGATTGAAGAAGAGAATCCTGATGATGTGCTGCCAACCAGTCTCTGCTATTCTCATATTTTATCATCTCCACTGACACTAAGAAGTTCAGTTCCATGACAGCAATTACTACTGACAATCTCAAACTGCAAAATAGAGTTTTTACTGAGTATTTTATAGATGCTGATGTTCATCCACAGCAGTGGATTCTTCATTGATTTAGAAATGTTAGTTTTCTTCTCAGAAAACATAGTCATGGATGAGTACTGTCATTCTTTAACTTTTTCGACCTTCCTAACCCATCTAACTTCTTGCTCTAACTATGTCAAGGTATTTCTGGCAACACTACCTTCTTATCTGTCACCAATCTTTGTATCTAAGCTTCATGATACCATCATAGCTGTGTTCTAGCCTAATTACAGATTTTTTGAGGATGCTGAATTCCAAAGTCAGAGGTGACCCATTACAAATGGTCACAGACTTAGTGGCTTAAGAGAGCATCTGTTCATGGTTATTCCAGTCAGAAGTCTGGGCATATAATGGCTAGGATTCTTGCTCAGAATATTGCAAGACTAAAAGCAAGATGCAGTGGCTGCATTCTCATCTGGAGCTTGGTATCCTCTTACAAGTTCATTTAGGTTGCAGGAAGAATGCAGTTGATTGCACCCGAAGGAATGAAGCTCACCTAAATATTCTCTTCCCAATCCTTCGGACCTACCCTTACCTTATAAGAGCCCTGATGTTGACACAGAGGACCTCTAGATTATGTGCTGAATCTTCTTTGCAGTTTTGCCTCCCTTACAAATAAAGTTCAGCTTTATTTTCAGGACATTGTTCTTCTGGGAATTAAGATTTCCTTATTTTCGCTGAAGCTGCCTTCCTTTCACAGGAATGAATTAAGGGTTCGACAATCTGAGAAATTACCTTTTTTTAAGATTTCAAATATTGTTAGCAAATCTAGCCAATTCCACAATGCTGTCAATTGACATTGCCTCATTCCTCTCATGTATTATAACTCTTATATAACTCAACTTTTCACCATTTACCTGTGATTCATCCCACTTCAACACAGGTGAGAGCATTATTAATTGTGATATTGCCATAATACTGCTACTTCACACCAGGGTTTATCCACACTTAACAATTTCTATTGCATCTAACTTGTGAACAAGCTCAAAAATTCCATCTCAAGGGTTTCTTTTTAAGAACATAGTACCAGCAATCTTAGACTGAGTATCCTTCGAACAACTGTCTAAGGCAAATGTTTGCAGACAGAAAGTTGATTTGAGAATGTGATCCTAAACAGCAAGAGTGGAACAGGAATTAAAAGAAATTAAAAAATGTGTAAGCAAAAACTCAGTTGTATGTAAGAAAACCCAGTTTCCTCTGAAGAAGGGAAAGAGCTGGAGTCCTTCAAAAACTGACTGCCTGTCTTTCTGTGGCTAGTGAACCTTATCTCTCCCTTTCCCAGGCTTTGTGAAGACTGTGTTTCTCTAGCTGTGCAGCTGCAAGGTCACTAAACAAATAATCTGAAGTCATAAAACATGTTGTTTCTTGAAAAGTAAGAAATAATGTAATGCATGTCTTAATTGAATAACTGTCTTTGTTTCTTACTGTAATATGCTTCCCCCTGCACAGATCTTCCCCCCGCCCCACAAAATGCTTAAAAGGTAGCTCGACTCTTTGTTCAGGGCTCAGTCCTTTGGATGTTAATCCGACTGGGCCAGTGCACCTAAATAATTAAATAATTCCGCCTCAACCTCTTGGTCTCTCTGATTCCTTAATTATCCCGCTGTAAGAGTGGAAGGAGGACAAGGTAGTATGAAAATGAGTTATGAGGCATAAGCACTTGAATTTGTAAGATCTTCTGAGACTTCTGACATGCAGCTCAGAACTGTCTATTTTGTGGAACAAGAATAAGTATTTAGCCATTGGCTTTTATTTTCATTGTACAAGGGTACAATGTGTATTAATCCCTTCACATCTGGGTGGGTATGTGTGACTATTACAGTATTTCCATTGATGTCTTATTCTGTTGGTTAGAGAAATCCTTGGGCAGGAAGAAAGACATGCATTCTGGCTCTGAGGCAAGGTGCTGTTGGGTAGTATGGGCAAGAAGCTGGTCAAAGCCTTGTTATCACAAAAGCGAAGTAGGAGTAAGAGGTGGCTGGAAATTTTTTTTGATACATAACATGCTACATATTTATGGGATATATTGATATTTTGTTACATGCATAGACTGTATACTGATCAAGTCAAGGTATTTGAAGTGTCTGTCACTTTGAGTATTTATCATCTCTATGTTATGAACAATTAAAGTCCTCTCTTCTGCTACTTTGAAATATACAATACATTGCTGTTAAGTATAGTCATTGTACTCTGCTGTCAAACAATAGGACTTATACCTTTTATCTAACTATATGTTTGTATCTGTTAATCTACCTGTCTTCATTCCCTACTCCTGCTTACCCAGCCTTCCCTGATTTTACTATCATTCTACTCTCTACTCCGTGAAACCAACATTTTTAGTTTCCAAATATGAGCAAGAGCATGTAATATTTGTCTTCCTGGGTTATTTCACTTAACATAATGACATCCATTTCCATCCGCATTGCTGCAAATGGCATGATTTCATATTGTTTTATGACCAAATAGTATTCCATTGTGTATACATACCTTATTTTCTTTATCCATTTGTCCATTGATGGACAGTTAGGTTGATTCTGTGTCTTTATTATAGTGAATAGTGCTACAGTAAACATGTGCGTTCAGGTACTCCTTTGGAATATTGATTTCTTTTCCTTTGGATAGATACCCAGTAGTAGGATTGCTAGATGGTATAGCAGTTCTATTTTTAGTATTTTTAGAAATCTCCATACTATTTTTTTATAGTGGCTATACCAATTTACATTTCTAACAACAGTGTATAAGAGTTCCCTTTTCTCCACATCCTCATCAGTATTTGTTATTTTTGTCTTTTTAATAACAGCCATTCTAACTGGGGCAAGATGATATCTCATTGTGGTTTTGATTTGCATTTCTCTGATGATTAGTGATGTTGAACATATTTTTATATATCTATCGGCCATTTGTATGTTTTCTCTAGAGATTTGTCTATTTATGTTCTTTACTCACATTTTAATGGGATTATTTGTGGGTTTTGTTGTTGTTGTTGTTTGAGTCCCTTGTATATTCTGGATATTAGTCCCTTGTCAAATATATATAATAGTTTGTGAATACTTACTCCCATTCAAGTGGTTGTCTCTTCCGTCTGTTCTTTCCTTTGCTGTTCAGAAGCTTTGTAGTTTAATATAGCTCCATTTGTCTATTTTTGTTTTAGTTTTCTGTGCTTTTAAGGTCTTAGTCATAAAGTCTTTGGTGAGACCAATGTCTTGATATGTTTTCACTATATTTTAATTTAGCAGTTTTATACTTTTGGGTCTTACATTTAAGTCTTTAATTAATATTGAGTTGTTTTTTGTATATGGTGGGTGATAGGAGTCCAGTTTTATTCTTCTGCAGATTGATATCCACTTTCCAAACCCCATTTATTGAGCAGAGTATCCTTCCTCAGTGTATGTTCTTGTTGCCTTTGTTGAAAATCAGTTGGTGTTAAATATATGGGTCTATTTCTAAGCCTTCTGTTTCTGTTCCATTGATCTGTGTGTCTATTTTTGTATCAACACCATGCTATTTTGGTCACTATAGAATTACATTTTGAATTCAGATAGTGCGATGCCTCCAGCTTTGTCTTCTTTGCTCAGGAATGCTTTGGCTATTAAGGCTATTCTGTGGTTCCATACAAATTTTGGCTTTTTTTTCTATTTCTATGAAAAATTACATTGGTGTTTTGATAAGAATTGCATTGAATATGTAGATTGCTTTTAGCAGTATGGACATTTTAACAACGTTAATTCTCCTGATCCATGACTTGGGATATCTTTTCCATTTGTTAGTGTCCTCTTCAACGCTGTCATCAGAGTTTTGTAGTTTTCTTCATAGAGATCTTTCACCTCCTTGGTTAAATTCATTTCTACATTTTTTGTTTTTTGTAGCTATTACAAATGGAATTGCCTTCTTGATTTATTTTTCAGCTGTTTCCTTATGGGTATATAGAAATGCTATTGATTTTTATATGTTTATTACATATCCTAGAACTTTACTGAATTTGCTTATTATCTCAAGAAGTTTTTGGTACAGTCTTTGAATTTTATAAATACAAGATCATGACGTCTGCAAAGAGGGACAGTTTGACTTCCTACTTTCTAATTTGAATGCCTTTTATTTCTTTCTCTTGCCTGATTGCTCTGACTAGGACTTTTGGTACAATGCCGAATAAAAATGGGAAAGTGAGCATCCTTGCATTGTTCCAGTTCTTAGAAGAAAGGCTTACAACATATCCCCATTCAGTATGATGTTAGCTATGGGTTTTTCACATGTGGCTTTTAATATTTATAGGTGTGTTCCTTCTATGCCTAGTTTCTAAAGTTTATCAGGAAGAAATGTTAAATTTCATAAAATGCTTTTTCTGCATCTATCAAGATGATCCTATTGTTTTTGTCTTTTTTTCTGTTGATTTAATGTATCACGTTTGTTGATTTGCATGTGTTAAAACATCCTTGCATCCCTGGTATAAATTATACTTGAATATGGCGTATTACCTTTCTGATGTGCTGTTGAATTTTGTTTGCTAGTATTTTTTGAGGGTTTTTGCATCTATATTCATCGGGGATATTGAACTGTTGTTTTAACTGTTTTGTTCTTGTCTGGTTTTGGTGTCAGGGTAAATCTGGCCTTATAAAAGGAGTTAAGGAGAATTTCCTTCTCTTCTAGTTTTTGGAATAATTTGAGGAGCACAGGTATTAGTTTTTCTGTATATGGTTGGTAGAATTTGGCAGTGAATTTATCCAGTCCTGGGCTTTTCATTATTGGTAGACTTTTTATTACTGATTCAATCTTGTTACTCACTATTGGTCTCTTCAGGTTTTCTATTTATTTCTGAAACAAACTTGGTAGGATGTATGTTTTCAGGAATTTATCCATTTTCTCTAGGTTTTCCAAGTTGTTTAGCATATAGTTGGTTCACAATAGTGTTTGCTGATCTTTGCATTTCTGTGATATCAGTTATAATGTCTCCTTTTTCATTTCCAATTTTGTTTATTTGGGCCTTCTTTTTTCCTTTTCTTGGTTAGTCTATCTACAGTTTTATCAATTTTTTTTTACTTTTTTTTTAAAAAAAAACTACGTATATTTCATTCATTATTTGTATTTTGTTAACATCTTTGTTTTGTTTAGTTCTGCTCTGATCTTCATTATTTATCTCCTACTAATTTAGGGTTTGGTTTGTTCTTGTTTTTCTAGTTCCTTGAGGCTCATTGTTAAATTATTTGAAATATTTTTATTTTTATGTAAGTTTTTATTGCTATGAATGTCTCTGTTAGTCCTACTTTTGCTGTGTCCCACAAACTGAAATACATTAAAGTGGTACACAGAGGTTCATTTCTAAAAGTTTCCACCTTCACAGCTGAAAAAAGTGAAAAAGAGAGAGGGTGAATAACTTGCCCAAAGTTATAAGAAAAAGGGAGAGTAGACTCTCAGTTAAATCAGTTTGATTTAACTTATTGAAATGTGTCTATTCAATGAGCATTACCTTCTGTTCTCAATAAGTACGGATGTTGCTGTTTTTCTACCACCTAATTTATCAGCTTTACTAACCCACAGTAATAAGAATTTTGCATGCTTTCACACTCGGCCTACTCTTTTGCTAACAAAATCTGATGCTCAATATCCAGTAGGCAGAGAAAATTGAATGTCACTGTAATGTAGCCTATGTTCTTAGCCTCCTGCACTCAGGGATCTAATGACTTGAACTCACTCACTTGACAAATAGTGCTAATTTTATTGTAATAATTTTCAAAACTCTCAGTTTATCTAGAAAATATATGTATAAGAACTAAATGATGAGAACATATATGTTGTACAACTTCAATACCCACTAGAAATATCAATGGATAATGTGTACACTCATTTATATTACATGGTTTTTGTTATTGGATTAGGTTAACATAGAATGTCCATGACCATTTCTAGTGACACTTAGTTGTTGCTGCCTCCGGTATCCCTGGCACAACTACACAGAATTTGCCTCTGGCTTGTTTCAGTTTGTGCTTCCACATTCTCTTTTGTATATGCATTCTTTTTCCGGTGACCTTTTATTTCCTTTTTCCTCCAAAGTTCCTCACAGTAGGATTGTATATACACTTGTTTTACTTCTGTTGCAAGTTAATTTCTCTAACTTGGAACAGTTAGGGAAGCTGACTCTTAAAGTGTGTGGATTTTTGTTTTGTTTTCTTTTGTTTTGTTTTGTTTTGGTAATGCCTTTAGGCTCACAATTCATGGAAGGAAGTGAAAAGCAGCAGAATTTGGCTGAACTGAAGCTGTGATGAAAGCACGAAAAATAGCATTGACTGAACCCAGGGTGTACTAGAGAGCTAAAAATGGCCCAAGAGTTATTCCTCATTGAAATTAAATGGACAGGCATTTATACTTCTACCTTTATCATTCAAGGTATGTGGGCTATCCCTGGAAGAGGATGATCTTGAACCAGGTGACTTTGCAGCTGAGGTGATCTCTGAAGGGGATGAGATAAAGAATGTCTATGAAGAGCTCTTCCAGCAGCTGGACAACAAGTGTGCTTTTGAAAGGTATGGCCTATTACAATCTCTAATAATCCGTATCTCCAAATTACCATCTCAGTTGCTTCTTAAGATGCATTAAAAACATCCAAAAGTTACTCTGCTTTCAAAGCATGTCATTGTAGATGGAAAGCCAGGCACAGACATTGTAAAATAATGAAAGATACAACTCTTTGTGGCAGAGTGTGGCAGGAAAAAACATTAGAGAAAAATAGTAAATTGTTTTTTATGTAAAAAGTAGGAGCAAGTCACACATCTGATTAGAAATACTTTTTGGTTTATTCTACTAATATTTAAGATTAATAATTGTTTTATCATATCCTGATTAAAAACAATGAAGAAACTTATTGTATTAGATTTTAAGAAACTTATAGTAGTGGTTCTCAAAATGTAGTCCCTTGGCTGGCAGCATCACTGGCACCTGAAAATTTATTAAAAATGCAAATTATTGGGTTCTTCCTTAGACTTACTTAATTATAAACTTTGGTGATGGGTCAAGCAATATGTTTCAACAATTCCTCTGGCTTTTAAAGTTTGGAAACCATTGGTATATAACAAAGTCTGCATGGGGTAAAATTTTTTCTACTAATAACTGAGAAATTGATAAAAATATAAAGAATACAAGTAAAGGAACTGAAAGTTTGTAGACATAGCAGACACAAGTTAGATTTGCATCTGATTATAAACTTTTCTGACAGGTGTTCAACTGTTTTCTCTTATACAAGTAGAACATGTAATACTCTTATTAATCATAATAGTATTTTATTTTTTCTAATATATGTTGGCTATGATAATTTATCCCTTAATAAATCAGAAAGAAATGAGAAATAAAATTAAAACGTTTCACAGATATTAATGCAAAATCCAATTCATATATATTTTTAAATGGCAGAGATTAATTATAAAGCATAGTTTCTCATCAAACAGTAACATGTGGGATCAGCTTCCTTGACATATCTAAGCTTTAATCAGAGGAAATAATTAGAAATTGCTCACTGTAATAACTTACTTTTAGCAATTTGTAGTGTGTTATATATCAACTGAAACAGACCAAGAGAAGGGCAATGGAGATAAATTATGATGTTCATAAAATGCTCATAATGTTAGTAAAGGAGTAATAATTTTTTAAAATACAGATGTAAAAGCAGAAATTATGGCTTAATTTTTTTCACACATTGCAAAGTGCTGAACCGCTATAGTCTCTAGTCTTTCCTTAAGTGCTTCAATATATGAATTGGATTGTTTGAAAGTTTTTAAAACACAAGGATCTTACAGCATTAGAGATGTACTCTTGAAGGCCATAAGAGACTTCTTTGTATATCCATACTATCATCTCTCAGTGATTTTTTTTTGAACAACTGAGTTACAGGAGATATTATCTATCATTTGTTATCCCAGACACTTTTGTCATGATGTTATACTCTGAAAAGCTCTTTGATGAGTGGTGAGATGGATGTGGGGCACAGCCTAAACAACTCTATGTAGCAAATGGGAAAAATTGCCAGTGAATCGGGAAGGGACATTATGAGTTACATGGCAGCAGGAGCTTGAGAAGAGAGACATTGTGCGAAGTTGTATGTTGTGTATAGTAATACCCTTCCATGGTCTCTTCTAGAAATCTTCAGTAAAATGTAAATTGATCTCTACTACACAGTAGGCTATGGTGAGCTTTTTGTACTAAAAATTCAATAAACCTAATGGTTCAGTTAGAATTAAGTAAAGAAATGTGTAACTGGTAAGACAAGGATTTATTTCTATGGTAACAGGGTGAGTCTTTGAATGCCGACATGCTTCAGTATCTGAATTTAAAGCGTCCAAAATTTCCAGCCTCTTCTGATTTTACCAAATTCTCCTTGTATGCCATATATGGAGACCATCTAATTACTGGCATGCCTCACAGAGGAAAAATCAGGGCCATGGAGGGACAGTGTGCCCTCTCTTTTTATTCTTAACTGTAGACACTTTGAATTGGCTTTCACAAAGTGAAAGCAATGAGTCAAATCTAAGTCCTCTCTGTCCATGAGTCTCAAATCTGTACCCATCTTTATGGATTGGCCTAGTTTACCCTTAGATTGGACAGTCTCTGAAGAAATAAAACAATATGTGCTTCTATTTAAGTTTTGGTAGGTGGGTAAAAACAGAGGATATAGTTGGTGACATTCAAAAATCTAAAATGGACTGCAAGCAAGGTGAGTAGAGCTTATTAGTAATATTTCAAAGCCGACAGTATAAGCAATACACATATACCTATGGGAGGGGAGCAAGGCCTCATTTACTAAAGTGCCATAAAGAAAAGGATAGAGAAACAAAGAAAATGCTTGTAATTTAACTCAGTCCCATCTGCTCACCAAGCAGAGCAGGAGGAGGAGGAGGAGGAGGAGGAGAAGAAAGAGTGTAAGGAGAATGAGGAGGAGAAAGAAATAAGGAAAAAGGAGGAAGAGGAGACAAAGGAGAGAAAAAGGAAGAGGATGAAGGGGGATTGAGAAATCAGTGGTGTTCAGATTTATAAATTTCATTATAATCTATGTCGGAATTGCTATGTGCTTTATCATCTATAGGCTGATGACTTCCACATTTGATCTTCAGTTGAAATCCTTTACTGAATTCTAGACTGAAATATTCAGCTCTTATTCTACATCTCCTGTGGCATGTCTAATTGGCATCTCAGACTTAGCCATCTAAAATGGGACCCTGCAAATTTTCTCTCCAAACTTTGCAAACATAGTCAATGAAGGATGCGAGTTGTGGGTTCCCCCCACCACCCAGATGTCAAAACAATAGAAAATGAATTATTGTGTTGACTAGAACAGATAATGCATGACTTGTATACTTTATTTCCCTTCCCTTTCCTCTTTTTTCTCCTTCTTTTTACTATTTTTATGTTTCATGGAGATCTATTGACCTATATGTGTAATCTTTAAAAATATCAAGTAATACCAGTGAAATGGAAAGTACCTGAGGTCAAGAATTAGGTAGAATTTGTTTACTACTGTATTTCTAATACTTAAAATAGTGACAGAGTGCTCAATCAACAGTTAATGAAAGTTGAATTTCAGTTAAACCCACTTATTTTATAAACCTTTTCACAAATTGCATTCTATTGCCATTGGGATATCTGTTGGATGAGGACTGGATAAATAAATATGTAGAATTTTCTCAGCATGTCTACAATATGACATGTTTTCACTGAAAACATTTAAAATTCAAAGTCGTGTTATGAATATAGATTTTTACATATTTTAATTAATGTGCATTACTGTCAACTTCTTCATTAAAACATTATCCAAAATTGCATCAATGTATTATCTGAGAGACAACATAGTATAAGAAATAAGTGGAAAGGCATTTTACAGTTTTTAAAGAAAAGAATACTGACAGTTTATCTTTTTTTAATGTATTGTAAAGTCACTCGTGGAGTAAAAGTGAATAGGAATTCAGTTGTTTATCACTTAAAAAAAAAGACAGAAAAGTATTTCAAACATCTGTGGCCCTGGTGACTGGGGAACTAAGTTCATAAAAATCTGTAGCAAAACTGGTAAAAGGGAAAGTTGCAGGGGGTAAACCCCCTGGGTGAGTGATACTCTTAGAGCAAGCATCATTTGGGATATTATTTCTGTCTTGGGTTCCAGAAAAACCATTGAGGATTCTTGTGTACAGCATAGAGGTCAGAGAATAGATTGGAACACCAATGGAGAGCTGGGCCCTGTGAATTCTCCTATGATTGAAAATTATTTTATTTTGGGGCAAATTTGAGCAACAAGTAAATTCCGGTTTCAGAGCATCAGTTCATTCTCAAATTGATTTACATCTGAAAGTAATTTTTGCCAAATCTAATGTGTCATTGTCACTTAGACTGTCCACAGAAGGCTTTTTATGGTACTCAGGGAGAGTAGAAACATTAGTTGATGCTTGAAAATTAAGATGAAAATTTCTTATGATCTTTGAACAAGTGAAAAATGATGAAAAATGTTAACTTTATGTTATGATGATTTAATAATTCTGTCTCTGTTTTCATTAGCTTTTATTTGTACCGAAGTTTACATGCAAGTGAAGAATTATCAAACAGTTACATAGCTTATTAACCAAACTAGCAATTTTGCCTCCCCATTCACACCAATAATTTCCAGAGGCAATCATTGATCAATTCATGTAGGACTTGCACTTTTCCTTCTTGAACTTTCGGTTTCAGGGCTTATTAAATTCCCTCTATGGAATGTGAAAGAGAGCTTAGCTTGCTTTTACTGGAACTATTCACCATTAATGGTATATCTCTTATATCTGCATTCTTTTAAAACAGCTAAATAATAATTTTGATCATATGAACTTCGACTACTTACATAACTATTATTATGTTAAAGCTAGTGTCTATCTATAATAACAAAATATTTTTTTTTCTAATAACTGTATGTTAGCCCTGACATTAATTTTTTTGATTTTATTGTATTTTTAAAATATTTATCTCAAGGAGACACATGCCTTTGCATGTTCATCACAGCCCTATTTGTAGTAGCAAAGGCATAGAATAAACCCAGGTGTCCATCAACAGTGGATTAAATAAAACAAATGTGGTACATATACACCATGGAATACTATGCAGCCCTAAAAAAGAACAAAATTATTTTCTTTGCAGCAAAATGGATGAAGTTGAGGGCTATTATCCTAAGCAAATTAATGCAGGAATAGAAAAGCAAATAGTGGCTGGGCGTGGTGGCTCAAGCCTGTAATCCCAGCCGTTTGGGAGGCCAAGGTGAGTGGATCGCTTGAGATCAGGAATTTGAAACCAGCCTGGCCAACAGGGTGCAACCCTATCTCTATTAAAATACAAAAATTAGTCAGGCATGGTAGTAGGTGCCTGTAATCTCAGCTACTGGGGAGGCCGAGGCAAGAGAATCGCTTGAACACAGGAAGCGTAGGTTGCAGTGAGCCAAGATCGGGCTAGAGAGTGAAACTATGTCTCAACAAATAAACAAATAATTAAATAGGCAAATACGCATGTTCTCACAAGTGGGAGCTAAACATTGTATACTCATGGACATAAAGATGGCAACAGTAGAAACTGGGGACCACCAGGAGAGAGACAGGAGAAGGGTTAAAAACTAACTACTGGATACCATGCTCAGTACCTGGATGATGGGATCATTTGTAACACAAACCTCAGCATCACCCAGTATACCCAGGCACCAAACCTGCACATGTACCCTTGAATCTAAAATAAAAGTTGAAAAAAAATGCTTATCACTAATTCATTCATAAACTGTCTTCCAATTGTTTATGTTTCCTGTGAATACAATCAAAAGCGTCAGGCATTCTATCAATATTATGTTCTCTGTTGATTGCCTCTGCACTGTGCCAGTTTAGATTGGTTGTTGTCCAAGACTGCTGTACAGAATTTACTGTTATTTCCCATCATCATGAATGAGGGAACTTTCCTGAACTTTCTCTGCAGTTCAGATCATCTGCTTCCTGGATCTCAGGTCTTCTTCTTTATTGGATTATGGTAATTTTTTCTTCTTTGAGCATCTCTTCCAATAGCTTCCTGAGAAAATGTGCAAGAGAGAAAATGTTGTAAGGTTTGAAAATGTCCCTACTCCACCCTCACATTTAATTGAAAACATGGCTAGGTATAGAATTCTAGATTCCTCACAAAATTAAAAGGCATTTAAACAATTTTTATCCTACCTTTGGTGTCATTTTTAATAAATCCAATGTCTTTCTTATTATGTATCCCCTCAATAATACCGGTTTACTTTTTATTTTGTTTTTCATTCTTTTAGGAAGCATATAATTTTCACAGTATTCTGAAATTTGAGGATAATATGCCTTGAGATGGATATATTTTCATTCACATTGTGTTGGGTGCTTTAAGAGAATTTTCCATCTGGAATGCTTTTAGGATGATGTCTTGAAATATTTGATGATTTTTTATTTTCCATCTTATACCTCTCATATTTTGTTGCTTCACTTGTTTTTTTATTTTTGATATTTAAAAATATATGTATTTGTATAATTTATTTCCTTGATGTGGGTGAGGGTATGTATTTATTTGTTTGACGTGGGTGTATGTGTGAGAGGCCATGTACATGCATACATACCTTTCAAATATCTCTTACTGGTTTCCTGATGATTCCTTTCTTCCATTCTTTTGGATAATTTTTTTATATATATATATTCATTTTAGAAAATTAACAATACAGAATGTTTTACCATAAAAAGTCATTACTTCTTCACTTCTCCCACATGTATCCAGTCTTCAACTCTCAAAATAGGTGATTTTATAAATTCTGCAGAGATTTTTATACAAATTAAAATGCATGTTTCTCCTTTTATACACAGAAGGGAGACTGCTTTCTTGCTTTTTGCACTTAATGAAATTTGCATGTCTTTTTTGGTGTCAGTACATAGGAAATTTCTTTTTTATATACAATCATTTACTTAATGAGTCCTCTCTTCATGAACACTTGATTAACTCTCATCTCTTGTTCTGAAAATAATATTGCAATAAATAACCCTGCTTTTAAGCTGTTTAATGCATGGGCAAATATGCTGTAGGAAAATTCTCAATAGTGCAATTTCTAGGTCAAATGTTATATACATTTGCAATTTTGAGAGATAGTTCCAAAGCTGCATACCATATTAAGCTTTTGATTTTGTCAATTTAAGAGGCAGAAAAATAATGACATCTAGGCATATCTTTAATAAACAAAATTTCTCTTATGATGAATGAAAACTATTTTATATCGAGAAATTTTTGTATCATATTCTATGTTTCTTGATTATTCTACAAATTGTTCATGTCTTTCACCAAATTTTATTTTCTATTTAGTTATTAATCAGTGTTTAGTTTTTTAAAAATATGCATTGGGTAAATTAATTTTTGTTCATGATGTCGTTTACATTTTTTCCTATTTGTCCTTTGTCTTCTGATTTTATTTATGGTATTTTTATTTCCTTATGCAATTAAAAAACTTTATGTATTCATACTTAATGCATATTTTATGAGTTTTGAATTTTGTGTCATAAAGTGGTCTTCTTCACCACTGCTATGAAATATTTTTCTATTTCATTGCTTTTATAAGTCTACTTTTACATTGAAATATTTATTTGCTTGGAGTTTATCTGCTATTAGCTGTAACTTATGAATTCAACTTCTTATATTTTCTAACTTATGAATCTAATTTTCTTATATTACTCAGATGTCCCCACATCATTCATTTCATCTTTTCTAAAATCATTATGAATGTTAGTTTATTTCTTAAACAAACATCAATCAAATTTCTTTTTAGATCCACCATCTCTCCTATTTCCAGAAATATCTGACTTCTTGAATTCTGAGCAATTTGCAGGTTTTGAGTTATATATTATGTTCCTTTGATTTTTTTCTAATTTTCCCAAAACTGGCCTAGGATTTAAGTTTCTGTCAACCACTAAGAAATTTTCCTTTTTTTCTAGATTTAAAATGTTATTGCTATTGTTCTTTTCTTTGTGTTAGTGGGTTTATAATTTAAAAAATATCTTCACTGCATTTTAGGGGAGCTTTGGGAACAGATGAAGAAAAATGCACATGTAAAAAAATCTCTTTACATAGCTAGGTTTCATCTTCATATTAATATACAGTCATGTATCACTTGACAGTGGGGATACATTCTGAGAAATGCACAGCTAGGTGATTTCATTGTTGTACCAACATCAAGGAGTGTACTTACACAAACCTAGATGGTATACCCTACTGCACCTTCTATATGGCAGAGCCTATTGCTACTTAGCTACAAGTCTGTACAGCACGTTACCGTGCTGAATCCTATAGGCAATTTTAACACGTAATATTTGTGTATTTAAATAAATTTAAATATAGAAAAGGCACAGTAGAAATACACTATACAAGATGTAAAAATGGTATACCTGTATAAGGTACTTACTGTGAATGGAGCTTCCAGGACTGGATGTTGCTCTGAGTGAGTCGGTGAGTGAGTGAGTGAGTGGCGAGGGAATGTGGAGGTCTAGGATATTACTGTATACTACTGTAGACTGTATAAACACAGTTAGGCTATACTAAATTAAAAAAATGTTTTCAATAAGTTATACTTAGCTCACTGTAACTCTTTTTACTTTATAAACTTTCATATTTTGTCTTAACTTTCTGACTCTTTTGTAATAACCCTTAGCTAAAAGTGAGGCAGGAGAATAGGGTCTTGAGGCAGGGAACCTAAGGCCGATTCGTACTTACTGAATATCAGAAGCTACTCCCTTTTCAACCCCTCCTTTTTCTGCGTGGCAGTTGCTGCGTGGCAGTTGCAACCCCTCCTTTTTCTGCGTGGCAGTTGCAACCCCTCCTTTTTCTGTGTGGCAGTTGCTGCATGGCAGTTGCAGTCCCTCCTTCTTCTGTGTGGCAGTTGCTGCGTGGCAGTTGCAACCCCTCGTTTTTCTGCGTGGCAGTTGCTGCGTGGCAGTTGCAACCCCTCCTTTTTCTGCGTGGCAGTTGCTGCGTGGCAGTTGCAACCCCTCCTTTTTCTGTGTGGCAGTTGCAACGCCTCCTTTTTCGGCGTGTCAGTTGCTATGTGGCAGTTGCAACCCCTCCTTTTTCTGTGTGGCAGTTGAAAATGAAAGTACCTCCAACCGGTTCCCTCCTGCAACCAATCAGACTGATTTGCGCAGAATGAACCAGTGGGAAACCTATAGAGGGTATTTAAACCCCAGAAAATTCTGTAATCAATGCTCTTGAGCTGCTTGCTCAAGGCCTTTCCTTCCCTATGGAGTGTACTTTGTTTAAATCCCTGCCTTCACTGCCTTGCTTTGTTTGTGTGTTTTGTTCAATTCTCTGTTAAAAACGCCAAGAACCTGGACAACTACCCTAAACAGGCAACAAAAGCACAAAGACGTTGTACACAAAAATATTTTCCTTCTGTATATCTTTATTCTAGAAGTTTTTTTCTATTTATTTATTTATTTTTTATTTTGATTGTTTTTTGCCGTTAACATTTTTTTGTTAAAAAGTAAGACCAAAACACACTTGTTAGCCTGGGCCTACACAGGGTCATTAAGACATCACTAAGCAACAGGAATTTTTTCAGATCCATTATAATCTTATGGGACCACAGTGTATATGCGGTCTGTTGTTGACCAAAATATTGTTGTGTGACACATTAATGGGGTGAGGATATTATTCTCTATTATTATCTTATGTAATTTTTAAATGCCATCAGATAAAACACAGAAGGGAGCACAGAGCTGCCTGGTCCTGCAGCTCTCCTGGAGTGAGGTGGTGCTGCTAACCACTGGAAGCTGAAGTCCAGAGGCTCTATTCAGTCAAGGGGTGATGAACTCTCTTTGGGTCTGGAGACAGGCTGGAACTGGGATGAGAGTAAGTAAAGAAAGTCAAGTGAGTAGAAAACATTGGGTGAAGACAGAGAGTAGATTCACTGCTGTAAAGAACTACCTGAGACTGGGTAATTTTTAAAGAAAATATGTTTAATTGACTCACAGTTCTGCATGGCTGGGAAGTCCTCAGGAAACTTACAATCATGGTGGAAGGAGAAGCAAGCACCTCCTTCACAAGGTGGCAGGAGAGGCAAGGGGAAAGCGGGGGAAAGCACCACACATTTATCAAACAGCCAGATCTCCTGAGAGCTCTATCATGAGAATAACAAGGGAGAAGTCTTGCCCCCAGGACTCAGTCACCTCCCACCGGGTCACTCCCCCAGCACATTGGAATTACAATTCAATATGAGATTTGGGTGGGGACGTAGAGCCAAACCATATCAGAGCAGATAAAGAGAGGTTGATGAATGGGTACCAATATGCATTAGGTGGAAGGAATAAGTCCTGGTGTTAGATAGAGCAGTAGGGTGACTATAGTTAACATTTCAAAATAGCCAGAAGAGCAAAATTCAAGTGTTCCTAACATCAATAAAATATAGATATTTAAGGTGTTGGATATTCCATTTACCTTCATTTGATTATATGAGTGTATCAAATCACATGTACCCTGAAAATATGTATATATATTACAGATCAATTTAAAATAATTTTAAAGAGATATCATTTAAAAAAAAGAAAAGGTTTGGTGAAATTTTAGCAGCTATCCTGAGGGGGAACATGCAAGGACCAGATTAGTGTTTATGAATAAACTCTGTAAGTTTGTAATATAAAGGTGTCTATATGATGTTGCCAGGATTACCTTCCTAATTAATCAATAGGGATAGTCTTTATATTTCTTCAAGATACTCGGAGTCACATTTGGTTTTCTTCTGTTTTTGTTTTGGAGACAGGCTCTTGCTCTGTTGCCCAGGCTGGGGTGCAGTGGCATGACCATAGTTCACCACAACCTTCACTTTCTGGGCTCACGCAGCCCTCCCATCTCAGCCTCTGAAGTAGCTGGGACTATGATATTGTGCCACCATGCCCAGCTATTTTTTTGTGTTTTTTGTAGAGATGGGGTTTTGCCATGTTGCCCAGGCTGTGTTCAACTTTTGGACTCAAGCTATCCACCTCCCTTGGCCTCCCAAAGTACAGGGATTCCAGGTGTGATCCACCATGCCCAGGCCCACATCTGTTTTTTGCATGTGACTTTGTTGAGCTGGACCATGTGTTATTCTGTTTTCTAGTTAAGAAATTCATTTGTTTATAATAGCTTTGATAGTTCCAAAATAATTCTAGAATATACATTAGAAATTAATATAAATTTACATGCTATATCTGCAAAGACAGAGTAAAATTTAAAACAAATAATAAGTAGGTGGAAACAAGATCTAGCTTACATTGTAAAATCTCTTTTTGAGGAAAGCTTGATCCACACTGAAATTCTAATTTACAGGTGTATTAATCTGTTCTCACGCTGCTAATAAAGACATACCCAAGACTGGGTAATTTATAAAGGAAAGAGGTTTAATGGACTCACACTTCCACATGGCTGAGGAGGCCTCATAATCATGGTGGAAGGCAAAGGAGAAGCAAAGGCACATCTTACATGGCAGCAGGCAAGAGGGCTTGTGCAGGGGAACTGCCATTTATAAAACCATCAGATCTTGTGAGACTTATTCACTATCATGAAAACAGTATGGGGGAAATTGTCCCCATGTTTCAGTTATCTCCAATTGGCCCCACTCTTGATACATGGGGATTATTACAACTCAAGATGAGATTTGGGTGGGGACACAACAAAACCATATCAACAGGTGTAGGAAGACTGATGCTCTTGAAAATCTTATGGTGAAGGGAAATAAGCAGACATATTTCTGAAGAATGTAAAAGGAGTTCATGGATACTGTTTTACTTTCCTGCCTATTGCTGCTATAATAACTTACCAGAAATATTGTGGCTTTGAACAATACAGGTTTACTACCTTACAGTTCTGGAGGTCAGAAGTTCTAAAATCAAGTTGACAACAGAACTGCAGGCTTCAGAAAGACTGTTTCCTTGCCTTTCTCAGCCTCTATAGGCCCCATCCTCAGTTTGTGGCCCCATCCTCAGTTTTCTACCTACCATGAATACATAAAAGATTAAACAACTACTTTAGCCTAGGGAATAGAAGTATGCATTTTATATGAGTTCAGGTTAAAAACTCCTGTTCCATTTCATTCAGTCAGTCATTTTCTATTTTCTCTCTCTCTTTTTTTTTTTTTTTTGGCTTGTTAACAAAATCATTAAATCAAAACAAGCAAGAAGGGGAAAAATATGCCAGGCAAGGGAAATGGCTTGAGAACAGATGACTCTGTGGAAGAAATGAGCAATGTCTTAGTCTTGTTGGGCTACTATTACAGAATACTACAGGCTAGGTAATTTGTAAACAATAGAAATTTGTTTATCACAGTTCTGAAGGTTGGGAAGTTCAAGATGAAGAGAGTGTCAAGTTTAGTGTCTGATGAAGGCTTAATCTCTGCTTCCAAATGGTGCACCATCTGGAGAAGATGAATGCCTTATCCTCATATGGCGGAATGGGCAGAAAGGCAAAAGGGCAAAAAGGGCCTACCTCATTCTCTCCAGCCCTTTTATAAGGGACAGATCCCATTCATGAGGGCAGAGCCTTCATGGCCTGCTCACCTTCTAAAGGCTCCGCCTCTTACAACTGTTGCATTGGGGATTAAATTTTAATATAAATTTTAGAGAAAACACAACATCAAACCATTTCAGGCTGTATGTGGTTGTCTGGGTTGTATGTGTGTTGTATGGGTTGTATATGTGTGTGGGTTGTATATGTGTAGTGCTGTATATGTGTCTGTTGTGCTTTAGGGATGTACTTGGTAGAGATTTACAGAGTGTTATGATCTAGGAATGTAGCATTCTGACTATTTGGCTCTGTAGAAAGAAAATTGTACCAATTTTTTGGCAGGATTATTATTTTTTGTATTATTTTTGATTTATGTACCTTGTTGTAACAACATTGGAAATATGTCAAGCAAATTCCCTCCTCTGGAAGTAAATTACAAAAAAAGTAAACAAATGAGAAAGTTTCTAAAATAACTCTTAATGAAAGCATTAAATCAGGCATTACCAAGAAAGCTTGAGTAGGATTTGTTGATTCAATTTGATAAAAATAGGACTTGTAATTTTATATATAGTCTAACGTGATGTATGAGGGGTTTAGAACTGAGTATGAATGGTTTAGAAATAATAATTAATCTTATAACAATCAATCACAAGGTGCTTATTGACTAGAGTACCTTCATTTACAAAGTTATTGCAACACTTCATCATTTAGGATGGGTAAGAGCTTTTATCGTGCTATGATTTGGCAAATATATGAGTGTAGATGGTTTGATAAGATAACAACAAACCATCTTGGTGGATCAGAAATCTTGCTTTTAAAATCAATATAGAATGCCTTTAATTAAATTCAATGAAAACTCAGTTATTGAATTAGTTTTAAGAGGTTTGTTCCAATGCTTCTAGAGAAGTAGACAACAGTAGAATATTTACATTCCCTCCTTTACAATAATAGTTTGTTTTATTGGGACTATTTGCCTTATGTTTATGGAACATGATGCATAAATACAGACCTTATATTTTAGGTGACAGAAACTGATTTCTAGCTATGTGAGTTTATAACAAAGTAGAGAAAGGGGAAGTCAGAAAACACATTTGATCTAACCTTGAACACCTACATGCAGAAAACCTGGGGCATCTCACTCCTTAGTTTTAGTCCTTGTTTATACTGCAAACAGCCAAATAAATACAGACATTTTTCTTTGCACTATTTTCCCAGAATAGAGATAACTTATAAATTATTTATGAGTCATTATATAAAGGTTTCATAACTAAAACTGATCAAACTAAAAAGTTTCCAGAGTAAGGCAGATGTAAAATTTACTCTGTCACAATAACCAATAATATTATGATACTTTTGGCATTTACTTGTTTATTCAGGTATGATACTTTATATTGCATTTAAAATTGCAATAAGTGTAAGCAGTTAATGAATCTATAGTTGCTGTCCCTGGAATATTTTTTATAGGGATGGTAAAAGTTGTGGGTGTTAACTTAGTTTGTTTGTTACATAAAGCTGTGTAAAACGTACTGTCATTGAGAGAGACTCTGTCTCAAAAAAAAAAAAAACATACTGTCATTGATACAATATTTATTTCTTATTTTATTTTACTCTCCAGTAAATGGGACATTGTTGTCATCAGTTTATCTAAGAATCTGTATCATTATATTTCTCTTTGCATTGTATTGTATTTTTTCTCCCCGATTTTTACTCTTTACTACTATTTTCTCTCTCCATAGCGCCCACTCTCATATGATATACGTATACATCAAATATAAGGTCTTAAATGTGTGCATCCTTATAAAACATAAATTTCTTCATGCTATTTTCTGTTTTTTTCTACCATTTCAGTTAATTTAAGAATATTGGTCTACTCATTTTCACTTCTTCAAATTTAGCATTTTACAATGATTCCAATAATCCTTTCATCTATGATTCAAAATTCACTGATATGTAATATTAATATATAGTTCATAATATACTTAATCTTAATTGTCTGAATTATATTCTTATTTTAGTTTTACTTCATTTTCATCTTCTCACTTCTTATATTTGATTCTTTTCCAGAGAATAAGATTTTCTGTAGTTGATATTTTCAAAGATTTGCCTTTTTGGCTTCTTTAAAAATGTATATTTAATTAATTTCTGTTTATTTTTATTATTTCCTTCCTTTACTCTTCTGGCTTTCTTTTTTGCACTTTTCTTGTCTTCTCGACTTAAATATTCATTTGTGTTCAGTTATTTTGTTATTTCTTCAAAAAAAGGTACAAATATATTTTTAAATATTTTCAGCTCTATTCCATGCATTTAGGTTT
Source organism: Homo sapiens (assembly GCF_000001405.40). Lineage (NCBI taxonomy): Eukaryota > Metazoa > Chordata > Mammalia > Primates > Hominidae > Homo > Homo sapiens. The sequence goes on along the minus strand of NC_000004.12, from coordinate 44,010,991 downwards.
GAGTATTTTCATTATAATACATTTCTATTTTATAATTATCCTCCTGATTTATTATTTAATACAGAGTTTATTGATTAGTTTTCAAAGTATGTAGTTTTTTTCTAGTTATTCTTTTCGATTTTAAGTTTATTTGGAATACGAGTTCTGTGTTGTTTTAAAATGTTAAAGTTTATTAAGTTTATTAAGACTAATATCAATTTTTACTAATGCTCCATGTGTACTGGTAATCAAGTGTAAAATGTACATACATACACACACATAAAGTATATGCATGCAATGAGGACATTAATTGTGATATTAAATCTAGAATAATTTTATTTAATATTTTTTCTGCATATTTCAGCTTCTGACAAAAATGCAATTTTAAAATCTAAATAAAAATGTTGATTTACCTATTTCTCTCTTTGGTCCTGTAAGTTGTTGCTTTATTTATTGTTTGAAGTTCTATTTGCATATAAACATAACCCAACATTTATTTGCATATAATTATGATGACATTCCATTAAGATTTATATTTTATTATTATATAATATTTTTATACTCTGTAATGTTTTGCCTTAAATTTTATTTGAAAATATGTAAACATTGTACCAACATTGTCTTGTGACTCATAATTGCCTTGGGTGTATTTTTCTGTTTTTTTATTTTCACCCCTTTTCACCATTATATATTTCTTTTATAGTACATGTTACTGGGTCTGTTTTAAAAGCTTTCTTTTAATCTGTGAATCTATTTTTTGATAAGAGAGTCTAACCCACTTATATATACATAAAATGCAAATACCATTATATTGGGGTATTTCCTCTGTCTATTTGTTATTTCCCATACTTTAAAATATATTTTTCATATCTATCCTGTCTTTCATTAATTAAAGCTAATACTGTCCAATCAATTTGCGTGTGTGTGTGTGATTATCTCTGACACTTACTCCTGAATTTCCTGAAATTATCAAAACTTGACCTTCAGACAAAACAAATGTTTTAGAATATTCTACTTTTTTGTGTGCGTGCTAGTGGAAGAAAGCTAGATGATTAGTACTTTCATTCATACATTTATTTTAATTGTAATTTCAGTTTAACATCTTATGTTATCCTCAACCAATTAAGTGAAAAGAAAATAGAAACCTGTACAAAATGTTAAAGGTCTTGCCTAGGAAATCCATAATCTTCTCGACATAGCAATGGATAGAGAAAAAAGCACAGGAAGTTCAACATCATCTACTTCTGTCCTGAGTGGGGAGATTTCTGTGAAAAATAGTGAAATCATGTTCTCATCACTCCTGTATCCAGCATTGATTTATTTTATACAACATGAGTCTTCATAAGTATTAGAACAACTTGTATAATGCTAATATATATTATAAATGTAGAATAAAATTATTAGCAATTAGACTACCAAGATAATCTGTTTATTAAAATTAACAAAGGGTATCTCTAAGTTGTTGTAAAAGGTCTATAATGGTAGTGATTTATTATCTTGATTAACATAGAAATCCACTGGCCTGCTCTTTTTAAACAAACAAAGAATAAACATTTATCTAGTGTTCTTTCATTTATTGCTTTGTAGTTCATCAATTATATTTATTTTATTTATTTAATTCTGTCTGACTAGCATTACATTCCTTCTCTTGTCTTCCTTCCTCCTTCATTTGGGAGCTGCTCCTTTTTTTAAAATTCAAACTGCTCCAGTGGAAATGGAAACATTAAATAATCTACTCTTTGGCCATAGGTCACTGGCACTGAGGGGGCTAGTTATCAAGAACCAATTATTATTCTTTTCTGGGGTTGTAAAATTGGGAGCTGGGACCAAAAACTAAATCATCTGATGGCAGAAAGCATGGGATATGACGTTCTTAGAGTGTCTGTGCCTATTTTTCCCATTATGTGGAAAAACTCTTAGTCCGTTTGGGTTGTTATAACAAAATATTATAAACTACCCAGAAATTTATTCCTAACAGTTTCAGAGAAGTCTAAGATCAAGGAAATGGCAGATTCTGTGTCTGGTGAGAGGCTATTTCTTGGTTCACAGGAAGGTGCCTTTTCAATGTGTCCTCACATGGTAGAAGACGCTTGTTAACTCTCTGGGATTTCTTAAGAATCCCATTCATGGGCTGGGCGCCAGGGCTCACGCCTGTGATCCCAGCACTTTTGAAGGCCCAGGCAGGTGCATCACTTGAGGTCAGGAGTTTGAGACCATCCTGGCCAACATGGTGAAACCCTGTCTCTACTAAAAAAAAAATACAAAAATTAGCCAGGTGTTGTGTCACGCACCTGTAGTCCTGGCTATTCTGGAGGTTGAGGCAGGAGAATCGCTTGAATCACTTTGAACCTAGGAGACAGAGGTTGCAGTGGGCCAAGATCATGCCACTGCACTTCAGCCAGGAAGACAGAGTGAGACTCTGTGAAAAAAAAAAAAAAAAAAAAAGAATCCCGTTTATAGAGTCTTGCCTCTCATGACCTAATCACCTCCCAAGTAACATCCTGATATCACCTTGGCAAGGTAGGATTTCAACAATGAATTTTGAACACAAATATTCAGACCATAGCAAACCCTGTGGAGAAACAAAATTGACAGGCTTTAAAGATACAGATACAAGGAGGGGGAGAGGAAGTGGGAGAGACAGACAAAGATAGAGGCTGTCTTGTCTTCCCAACACTCTAGTTATTCCCAAAACTCAGTAGTTTCTCTGCCTTTGTGTGTTTCTCCTTCTCAGACTCTGTAATGCAAAACAGTCTCCTTATTTTCTAAACTAGATTGAAGTTAGTTTCCATCACTTGCAATCAACACTCTCCTGGCTAATATATGCTTAAACTTTATGCAGCCAAAATTTCAAGCATCTAATCATATGATATTTAATAAAGGTAACAGATGGTTACTGTTAAGGAGAAACAGAAAATAGACTGAGTGATAGCAAAACTAAGTTGTTGACATCTACTTCATACAAATGATTACCAATGTAGAGATCCAAAATAAATCTCACAAGGGGGGTAGAAAAATAAAAAGAAACAGATGCAGTTTCAAATAGATTAACGTGCATGCAAATATACCGTACTTCTGTGCGTGTGTGTGTGTGTGGTGTTTAAGTGGTTAATAATCTTCTAAACAATAATTGTTAATAATTCAGATTCTCATCTAGAATCATGAATCCAATTCTAGCTTTCCATTTGCTCTGCAAGAAACTTAGGTATGTTGCAGAACTTATCTGTGCCTCATCACCTTTAACTACTAAATGATAGCTATATGAACACTTTTCTAAATAAGCTGTGAGATTAAATGATAGACAGACAGTCAGACAGGCAGACAGACAGACAGATAGGTAGATAGATAGATAAATAGACAGATAATAGATAAGATTGATGATAGGTAAATAGAGATAAAAATAAATTAGAATAATACTTGGAAAGAGAAAGTGCTGCTCAATTTTATTTATGACTTTCATTAACTGCTTAATGCTGACTTCTGTATACTTTTCTCCTCAACAGAAGCTATATGAGTATAGAATAATTCCCATGTCTTCTCCTAAAGCACACTTTAAAGACCCCATAAATAATTCTTTCCTGAGCCACACCCTAGCACCACCATCTAAAGTGAACGTCTTTCACTAAATAGCAAAACAACATTGGCATTTATCAAAAAAATCCATTTTCTGTGTGTGTGGGTATGGTGTGCCATTTTTATTTATTTTAAAAAATTTTGTTGATAGTCTCCCTAAGTCTGTTTTTAAAAAATTTTAGTTGGCAAGTAATAATTTTACAGTTGACACTTGAACAATATAGGAATTAGGGGCACCAATCTTCTACATAGTCAAAAACCTGCATGTAACTTTTTTTTTTTTTTTTTTTTTTTTTTTTTTTAAAGAGGCAGACTCTTGCTCTATTGCTCAGGCCTGAGTGCAGTGGAGGTCATGGCTCACTGCAGTTTTGAACTCCAAAACTCAAGTAATCCTCCCACCTCAGCTTCATTCCAAGTAGCTAGGAATACAAGCATGTGCCAATACCCCTGGCTAATTCTTTTTTTATTTTTTGTGAAGACTGGGGTCTTGCTATATTGCCCAGATTTCTTTTGAACTCCTGGCCTCAAGTGATCCTCCCTCCTCAAGCTCCCAAAGTGCTGGGATTACAGGTGTGAGCCACTGAGCCCAACTAAAATCTGCAAATAACCTTGACTCCCCTTTTAACTATGAGTAGCCTGCTATTTACCAGAAGCTCGACTGATAACATGAACAATTGATTAACATATATTTTATATATATGTATATAACATACAGCATATATACTTACGTATGTACATACATATATAAATACATTATACATAATATACTGTATTTTCATAACAAAATAAGAGAGAGGAAATATGTTATTAAACAATTATAAGAAAGAGAAAGTATATTTGCTATTCATTAAATGGAAGTGGATCATCATAAAGGTCTTCATTCTCATAGTCTTCAGACTGAATAGGCTCAGGAGGAGAAGGAAGAGGAATGGTTGATCTTGCTGTCTCTAGGCTGGCAGAGGCAGAAGAAAATCCATGTATAAGTGGACCCATGCAGTTCAGATCTATGTTGCTCAAAGGGCAATTATACATATTTGTGGGATACAATGTGATATTTTGATATATGCATACATTGCCAAATGATTAAACTAATATTATTAATTTGATTTTTGACTTAGGTTTTTGTTATGAACTTTTTCTGTATCTGCACAGCAGTAACTTGTGTCTTGCATGACTTATCCTTATAAAACATAATGGGTTTTATATATATTTAGTTTATATATACATATATATGCATATATAGAGATAGAGCTATCTTCTATAATCTTTTCTCTAAGATTACAGGGGATAGAGGATACCTGTTTATGTTGCAAAATATAATGTCCTGGGAAAATAAAAGATATTTAATAGGTGGTATATAATATTTAAACAGGCTAGTGCTAGTAATTATATTTCTTAAACCAAATTCACTGTAAGGAGTAGAGATACAGAATCGCTTAATATATGCCATTTTTGAATGCTTTAAACTTAATTTTATGACACAATTTTTAGAAGCTCATTTTAGTTTTAGGACATTCATTTTGTATTGATATAAATTGTTGTATATTACTTTCTATTATTCCCAATGTAAGAACAGGAAAAGATTTAAACTCTACCACCATATGAAATTTCATTAATTTTAGAGGATTTGAAATAGGTTTTCAGTGTATGTATGTATGTGCATATGAATATGTATACCTAAAATATAACTTCATGTCATTCATATACACATTTAAATATTAAGGACATGTATTTTTGTGAGCTCATTTTACAAAGTTTAACATAAATATGGCTAAATTTTAAAAAGCATTAATTAAATTGATTTTTAATATGAGAATATAAAAACTAACCAAGGAAGAGGGAACAAGGTAAAATTATTTCAGAGTATTTGAGGAAAGAAATGGGAAGCAGAATCAAGGGAAATTCAGCAAATCTGTGACAAAATGTGTCAGGATTAATGTTACAATGTTTGGATAAGGAGTTTATGAAGTCAAAAATTACAGCTTTAGTTACCAGGATACTGAGTGAGCTGATTTATGTCATTCTCAATTTAAGATTTACAATGAGTTTTGAATAAGAAAATATGTGACTAGGGACAATGTCATAAAAGAACTGAGCAGATCAGATCGGTGCCTAATGGGTTTAGCCATGAAGCCCATTTGAGAGATGAAGTCTATTTTTAGCCCAGTGCAATATGCACATCTTATTTCTTCATATTCTCAAAATAAAAGATTCAAAGACCTTTGATACTCTCCTTACACATAAGTAGTTTTCAAGTCTTCTACACACTGTCAGTTTCTTTAATATTTCAAAACTATTTTTACAATATATATTCTGATTATTTCAGCTTGAAATGATATTAGTACATAAGAGAAGAACTGCAAAATTTTTCTTTTCCTAGTAAGACCATATATTCTTCAGTGAATTTGAAAATATTTTTAATTCAGAATATTCTTATGTAGTCAGATCTGATTTTAATTTTTCCAATGTACTTGACATGTCTGCAACTCCCCATGTGATACAACAGTATCTAAAGACCTGAATTTAAATACTGCCTGTCCACTTTATCTACAGACTAGGATGAAAGATAATTGATATGTGTGGAGCAATAAAAATAAGCCCCAATACTCAATTATATATTTGTTGCTGCTGTGCCATAAAGTCCAAACTATCTCATGTTTATGCATTTTAAATTCTACTTGCAGGAAAAAGTGCTTCTAATAACTCTGCCTTCACAGTAAAATTAGGCTTTAGAAACATGATTTCAATATGTAGTTACTTCTGATTTTACATAAAAAGATGAACTTTCTGTATCCTAGGCTTAATATTTCCTGAGAAAAAAGTATTTAAAAGACTGTGTTTCTCAGCAACATTGAAGAAAAAAACACTTCCAACAGTCCTAGAATATTTTCATAGGAATTTTTAGTTCTTTTTTATTATTAAATAAAAAATCAACATGGGCTTTGATGTATTTAAATTTTAACTGGTGAAAATACTAAGATGGTTAGGAGAAACACAGAAGTAAAAATGACTGAAAGGGAAAGAGAGAGAGGACATTATACATAACATCAGGGTATCTTAGATCTAACTCTCCTTCTAGGATATTAATTTTTAATTAGAGATATGAAGCAGAGGAGTGCTACAGAGGGAAAGAAGGTACTGTTTTTTTTTTTCTTTTTTTTTTTTTGATGGAGTCTCACTTTGTTGTCCAGGCTGTAGTGCAGTGTCGCAATCTCAGCTCACTGCAACCTCCCCCTCCCGGGTTGAAACGATTCTTCTGCCTCAGCCTCCCAAGTAGCTAGGACTACAGGCACATGCCACCATGCCCAGCTAATTTTTGTATTTTTAGTAGAGATGGGGTTTTACCATATTGGCCAGGCTGGTCTCGAACTCCCGACCTCGTGATCCACCCTCCTCGGCCTCTTAAAGTACTGAGATTACAGGCGTGAGCTACCGCGCCTGGCCAGTAGGTACTTTTAATTTGTACATCCCTAACAGCCACTACTGAAATCTCAAAATACATTACTGTCAGCCTACCTGCAGCATACAAAGATGCATGATTAACTATGTTTATTTCGGTATGTTTTGAAACACAAAATATATATTTTCCTGTGAAAATATAAGAATGACATTATAATGTTAAAAGTAACAAGTTTCTAAACAAGGCCACACAGTTTTATTTAATCTGTATATAGTTCAACTATAAGACTAAATAATATTGTACAGTCTGGCTAAGACTTATAAAATTAAGTCTATGGGGAGTGTTTTCAAGTTCTAATCTGATGTTTGAGAAACATATCTTCTCTGATTTGGCAGTGATACTTCTAGTTTTCAGTGGATGATCTACAGGTTTGTATGTTTAAGGTGATTTAAAGTCAAAGTAAGTATTAATCGATCAGCTCAAAGGCAACTCATTACGTCCCCTCCTGCTATCTCGTTTCTTATCAAGATAATGATACTTTCAGTTGGCATCACTGTATACCAGTAAACCAAATCCATAGTTACAGATGAAGAGACAAAGTTAGAGTGATTCAGTGATTTTCCTAGGATGACACAGCAAGTATAGTAAATCTGAAATCAGAGCCAGCTACATAATCTGTGAGGTCCTATGGAAAATGAAAATGTGAGATCCCTTGTTCACAAATCAATTAAAAAGATTTCTCCCTTCTTCCACATTCTCTCTCTTCGGCAATCATGGTGGTTTTAATTTGCTATTTAGTGACATGTTCCTTTGGGCATGAGGATACTCATGGAGTTAATGTCAGCCCTTAAAAGATGAAAGATACAGGGAGTCCTGCCTTCAATGCTGCATAAGGCCTGTGTTCAACCCCAACCCTCCCTGTGCCTGTGCCTAGACTCCCACCATAAGGAAAGGGTGGCAGCAATTGGTAGGTGGGGGTAGCAGAGCAGGTGACAGAGAACTCATCCAGGAGAGGTGGGAAGGTGGACTGGGGGTGGGAGACAGGATGTGTTGAAACAGGCTACAAGCCCCCAGTGCACGCATGCTCCATTGCCCTATCAGACTTCGCTTCCAAAACAAATTTAAAAATAAAATTAGTAAGAATTTCAAGACAACCACTGCTGAACATTAAATTCCAGGTTTGGGCCTCTTTCGGTCCCTGAGAAAGTTATATGCACTTGAAGCTGGTCCTACCCAGGACACTAAACCAGGTGATTTTATTTCAGAATTTTATGTCTTCCTTTGTATTAACTCCCTCTCTACGTTGAAGCTTATTTGTAGAGTGACCTTAAAAGTGTAAAATTTTTATGGAAAGGGTCTGAGATTTGAGGTCCTAGGACAGAGAAGCCCGGACAAATGGCTCATAGATTTTGGCTTTTGAATTTACTGCAACGGTATGCCCTGCATACCAAGGTCCACGTACTTTGCATTCCTGCCATCAGCAGCAGTTGACTCTCCTTAGCAGAACAGCTCCTCTACGCTTGATATCATGCAACTCACTAGGTACAACATGTACAATCCACTTGGGACTTCTTGACAATTAGTTCCTGAAAGTGTCAGAAGTAGAAGCTAGCTTTTAGTTTCATGTTTGATATCTTTCTTCTTTCACCATGAAGACCTTGCCTCAGCTGACTTTGATCATTGAGCTTTGGCTGGTTCATGATAACATTCTAGATCCACCAAGGGCCCCGTCAATGTTGCAGCTTTTATATTTCCGTATACGATGGGACTTGGATGCAAATGTTTGTATCTGTGATGGGATTTAGGAGCAAATTGGGAAAGGAAATATGAAAAGGGAATACTATTCATATCAATCTTAATAAATAAATCAATTATACTTTCTCAAAAAGATTATTGACGCAGTTTATATTGCTATGTTGTTTCATCAGTTAGTATTCAAATTCTTAAAGATTTTTAAGAAATTGAGCTTTGTTCTATAAATATAAGCAGCATTTATATTTTGTCTAGGAAATTTTTTTGTTTTGAAATAGCAAGTATCTAAATATACTGTCAATTTGCTTACTGATAGTTTCTCAGCCACATAAGCAGTTTGTGTTCATCTTTGTTTTTATCATAAGTATGACAGGCATTTTAATGGTAGTGGCTTGATCTAGAATGATAGTTATAGCTTTTTCTCTGCCCCTCAAAAGCACTCTAAATCTTTGTAAGTAAAGGAAGATAGCTGAGATTGACAGTGTTTTCTGCATTTGCTGAGATAGAATTTTCTAAATATTTTATGTGTTCATGTGAAATGTTGTAGGACTGCAGTATTTATTTTGGTATGAATTAAGGGGTCAGCTCTATCTATGATTGATTTTGGTTATTTCTTGTTTAACAGAGTGAATAGGAAAGTGGACTTTATTTTTTCATCTTGAACCTCCTAATTGCCCAATTGATCTACCTTAGTTGGATAAGAAAGAAAGTTCCATTTTGTATCTGTCATTGTTCTCTTCTTTGTAGATCCACCAAAAGCAGGAGGGTGCAAATGAAGAATAAATGATTCTCTCACCTCTTCAGACCTATTTAATGAGAATATTCAAGAGTAGGGAACCAATAATCCTCATAAGTGATTCAATCCCTACATGATTTCTATGCGGTCAGCCCAAGTCTGAAATATCTTCTTCATTTAAATTGCTGGAATCCTTCTCCTTCTATTCTTTTTAAGATCATCATCACATCAGTGATTTCTTACATTATTCAGGTTTCATATTAAAGGTCTCTTTTCCAGAACAGTTTTTCCTGCTAACCTAGCTAAATTAGGTATCTTCCATCCTTATTGTATCCCCATCAAAAGCCTTTACCCTTCTTAACTTTCTTTGATGTATTGACTTGAAATTGCCTAATTTACTTATTTGTTAATGTGTTCATTGTATAAATCCCACTAGAAATTAAGCTACATGTGGGTCTGTCTCCATTGTTTATTGCTACATTCCCATAACTAGAATGAATTTGGCTCATAGTAATTATTTTAAAAATTAATGAATGAATGAATGAGTTGTGTAGCTAGCTGTATTATGTTGTTGACAGTCACAGATAATTTTCAGCCTTCGTGGAAAGCAACCCTACTTCATTTATTTCTGTGCCTGGAAAACTATGCTGTAAGTGTAGCAAATTATTTCTCTTAATATCTCTTTCCAAGATAGCATTCTACATTTAATGTCAAAACCAAGGCCAATTAAAATATGTCATTAAAAGGGAGATTGTTAGAGCTAAACGGGAAATAGGCAAACATAATTATTTTTATTTGTGAAACGATAAGATCAATACAGAATGAATAACTGATTTATTTAAAGACACAATGGTTCATGAGAGAACTAAGTCCATAACTTAGATTTACTAATTCTTCAATCTAGCAGTGTGTCCACAGCTTTCTGTTGTTTAATGAGAATTCTTAGTGTTGGAAATCAAACTCAAAGGGAATTTGCTTACTGCACAAGAGGAAGAGAACCAATTTCAGCCCCTTTTAGAGTTTAAACCTTGTACCTGACATGTGTGCGTTTTCTCCCTCCAGCTGTCTTTACTTTGTTCCTCTCAATGTGGTGATCATTGTTTTTATAAACAGAAATATGCTTCCTTAATGTGGCTTCAGATAAGGTCCATGAACACTTCATTCTACAAGGCTTCATATAAAATTTATATAAAAGGCATTGGCTAAATGTTTTCTGATTGGTAATTTATCAGCTGTAAATGGAGTTATTTTTTTTTTAGTTATTTCTTTTTATCTAAAATTTCTGACATCTCTTTTGGGATTATTATCGAGTTTCTTGGTGATCTTTTCTAAACTGCATTTCAAATGGGAAACATTAGTATTGTTTGATACACATCATAATTCAAAAATTGAAAGAAAATATTTTCAATAGCAGAGAAAAAACATAAAACTAATTTTAGTTAATAAATATTAATTTATTTTATGAAAAATTTTATCATGGCTATCGTGAGTAGCTGTCCATATTGTTATTAAAAATCAGCTTCTAGGACAATCACCAGGTTCAAGTATGTTCATAGCATTTAAGAAAAATGTGTTAGAGCACATGAAATATCAATTTTGTTTTTTAATTTCTTGCCATGCCAGACCTTTGTGCCAGCTCCCTCTGCAAATATTGCCCCTCCCATAAATAAACATGTCCCCACTATTTCTTAGAAAAAGAAATATTGATCAGACCTTTGAACTATATCCTTAACAAGAGAGAGGCAGTTTCTGTAATTATCCACAGGAAGTCATTTCTAGTCATCATAGTTGGTAAGAATTTTCTAAAGGTTTAGAATTCTGGAAGAAAAGTAAAACAAAGCTTATGACTATTGCAAAATTTCTGCCTTTAATGATCCTTAATGTGCAACCCTGCTCCCTTTTTCCTGTACCACAAGCAGATGGCATTGATAGGAATCTACATATCGCCATGTTTCAGAATCCAAATTTTTTTTTTCCCAATACTTAGAAAGAAACGAAGTTTCATCAAGGACTAGTTGAATCCTAGTCCTTAAGTCTTTATTTCCTGAATAATTTCCTGGATAATTTGCAATGGGCAAATCTAATCATTGTGGGAAAATCTCAACTCTCATCTACAAGGCTGCTCTCAAGGCTTCTGGAAGCATATTCAGAGCCCATGTTTGAATTTGGAAAGGTATCTCCTGCAGGCAGATAGAAAACGATGCATCTCAGAGGATCACATCTACAGAGTTTACAGCTCAATGAGTAGATTCCACTTCTGTGCAAAAAAGACAAAGATGTTCCTTTCTTCCTTCCTCTAGTGGGAACCACTCCTGTGCCAGGCTGAATTCCAGTCTCTATCTGTCCCCAGGCAGGCTGCTTTTGTCACAGTGTGCAAATTGCATGGCTGTGCATAGCAGCATGGCTATGGCTTTACAGAAGGTATCAGAGAAAGATAGTTCAACATCAGTGCATTTTTCTAAGATCTAAATAAATTTAGTCAGAAATAATAGCACCAGTGTCCTCCGAGTTTAGCACATCATCATTCCGAGCCAGGTTGTACTTTGCCAACAACATAGGAGAGTTGTTTTCATCAATTCTCCTATGATAAGAGGTGAACAGTATATTGGTTGGAACCCTTGTTGTTTTAAGGGTCTATATTCCAGATCCCTCAGGAGCTACTGCTGAACAAGAGCATCCCAAACTCTGCAAGAATAAGCCATGACTTAAAGACATAGGACACTTTAAATTTTTCTTTAGAAGAAACAAAACAAAACATTAATCTAAGTGAAGCCTATGCAGGGATATAAATTTGCTACAATAAACAGTAAATTTACCCTGGTAAATATAACACTTAAATGTGTGATCCGTAAGTTATTATTTTTAGTTGCTTCCCTGTATTCAGGCTTGCCTAACTCACAAGTTTCTGTGGAGTGATTTATTTTTCACTGTCTAAAGGGAAATGGCACAAAAATAAATTCAAGTTTTAATACTTAGTTAACAGAAATTCCTTTTCACTTTTAAATGATAGTTTCCTAACCTATAAAACAATAATAGCAACGTGGGCTCAGTCTCCAACTAGGGAAATCCCTATATTGTCAGAGAAAATCTTCATCAGCAACATAAAAAAGTAATGTAGCAATGAATTAATTAAGTTCCTAAAGTGATCTTGAGAATAACACAGATCTACTTTCTCCTCATTCTCTTTCCATTTTTCCTCCCTCTACTGCCATTAGCTATGGAATATTTCCTTTTAAATTTTCTCAGTTCTCATAAATGTTCACCTAAGGAGAATCACCCAAGATAAGTTTGAATTCCACGAGAGGATGAGGGTTAAACAAGAAATAAGAGGCTGATTCCAAGATATGGATTAGGTTATTTCCATGTTTACAATATAGCCCATCTCTGGTTTATAGTTGATCTCCTCTGTGTTGATCCCCATAGTGAAGGTGATTGGGCAACAGTGGAACAGAAGTGATTTCTTTCCCCGTGTAAATTATGCACCAATACTTTAGCAATTAAGCCCAATTTCCCCTTAATTTCGTTTTGATTGATCCAAGTGTGAAAGCATACCAGCTTGTCTAATACTTTACATAACCATTTCCCCTATATGAAACTTAATGAAAAATCTGTTTGGGAAATTTGAATTTTTCTTATAATATAACTATTTTTTAAAATGTATAAATTCTACCAAAATTATGAAATCTTATTTAGAATTTAATATTTTCAGCCATTTCTCAGATGGCATAAACAATTGGCTAGTTCTATATTATGAATATCTAAAGGATGTCAGAGTGCTAGTATTTTAATCCATACTTCAATTATTTAAAATGGGAGCATCACCTCTATTTTTGTATAAGCAGAGAAGAAAAACACAAAAAAGCTGACACTTGATTATTGAACCAATATTGTCACTTGGATCCGTTAAAAATTACTAACCTGCGTTTGTACAGAGAAGGTACTAGGTTATTTTCAATTATATTTATAATGCAAAGTGAATCATTATTAAGTATAAAGCTATAGTAAAAAAGTGCCACCAAATTATAAGACTAATCATTGATGACGTGCCAGTATCAGCAAATTCCAAATCAATTTTGATGAACTCTTACTGATTTATTGTTTCTTATAGTTATTATCACATTTTTCTTATATATAGAACAATAGTAAAGTTATTTTTAATCTGCTAAGTGAGAAAACTTCAGAAAGAGTACAAGCCCCAATTATTTTCTTGTATATTATCCACATTTGCTTCCTTTATATATTTTTCAGTATCTGAAATTAACTCATTTATTAATTGTACATTTGCTCATATTCCTTTATACCAATCAGAATGTAAAGTAACAGGTCACTCCTCTTTTTAACAAAGTGTCTGTAGCATCACTTTCAACTGTGACAAATTCTAGACTCTGCCAAATACTAGACACCTCATAAATATTTTTTGAATGAAAAATGGATAATGAAGTATACTATGCATTGTATATATTAAAATATTCGTTCATTAAATAAACACTTATTTGCACCTCAGATGCAAAGAAATTTTATAAAACATAAAAAATTATGTTACCTTAAATAGACATAGAGAACAAAATCAGATACACATGTGCTTAGTTTTCCAGCTATTCTAAGACTTATTTTACTTGGATTCGATTAAGATTTCTCATTTCAGAATCAACAGAAGTCAGAAAAAATCTATTAGCTAGTATTAACTCTAAGTTGGGAAAATGTAAACAGAAAGTTTTATTTTTATTTTTATAGATTTAGGGAGTACAAGTGCAGTTTTGTTAGGTGTATACATTACATAGTGGCTTAGTCTGGGCTATCAGTGTAACCATTACCCGAATAGTGTACATTGTATCCATTAGATAATTTCTCCTGTCTCGATCTCCTCCCATCCTCCCACTTTTTTGAGTCTCCAATGTCTATTATTCCATTATATCCATGTGTACACACTATTTAGCTCCTGCTTATAATGAGAATAACTGACCTTCTGTTTCTGGGTTATTTTACTTAGGATGATGGCCTCCAGTTCCATCCATGTTGCTGCAAAAGACATGATTTTCTTTTTTTATGGCTGAGTAGTGTTCATGGTCTCTCTCTCTCTCTCTGTATATATATATATATATATATATATATATATGTGTGTGTGTGTGTGTGTGTGTGTGTGTGTTTATGTGTGCATGTGTCCATATGTATGCCACATTTTCTTTACGGAATCATCCATTCATGAACACTCAAGTTGATTCGCTATCTTTGCTATTGGGAATAGTGTTGTGATAAACATGTAAGGGCAGATGTCTCTTTTATATTACTTCTTTTCTTTTGGGTAGATAAATAGCAGTGGGATTGCTGGGTCGAATCCCAAATGGTAGTTGTATTTTTAATACTTTGAGAAATCTCCATTCTATTTTCCATAGGAGTTGTAGTAACATACATTCCCTCCAACTTTATGTAAGCATTCCCTTTTCTCTGTAACCTCACCAACATCTGTTATTTTCTGACTTTTTGAAAATATCCATTCTGACTGGTGTAAGATGGTATCTCATTGTGTGTTAATTTGCATTTCTCTGATGATTAGTGATGTAGAGTATTTTTTATGTGCTTTTTGGCCATTTGAAAAACATCTGTTAATGTATTTTGCCCACTTTTTAGTGATTTTTTGTAGTGTTTGAGTTGGTTGAGTTCATTGTAGAGTCTGGATATTATTCCTTTGTCAGATGCATGGTTCACAACTATATTCTCTGATTCTGCAGGTTGTCTGTTCATTTGATTGATTTTTATCTTTCACTGTGCAGAGGCTTTTTTGTTTAATTAAATTCCACTTGTCTATTTTTGTTTTTGTTGCATTTGCTTTTGAGGTCTTAGTTGTGAATTATCATCCTAAGCCAATGTCCAGAAGAGCATTTTTCTAGGTTTTCTCCCAGAATTTTTATAGTGCAGAATAAAAGTTTAAAATAAACTAAGCAATGTGTAGTTTAAATAATGCTTTAAGAGGCTTAATGATAAAACATAGTTCTAGTTTGAAACAGTTAAATCTCATGAAATGTAATGACTTTTAACCTTTAAAAATGACTAAAAATTTATTCCTTTTTTAAAATAATAAAAACAAATCCAATTTTAATTGAGAGGCCTTGTTTAGTGTAAATTCATTTCAAACACTGGTCATTCAGTCAAACCACAGTTAGTTAATGTACTGCCAACTAACTCACTCTCCTATCAGCAATTGTTTATATGTATACATTCTTTCACATAATACTTTCTTAACTATAAATATTGGTCATTCTATTTTCCAAATCTATAACACAGCTAAAAGAAATTTCATGCTACCTTTGTAGTGTCATGAAAACAATGAAACACATTTTTTTTTGTTGTTGAGACAGAGTCTTGCTGTGTCCCCAGGCTGGAGTGCGGTAGCGCAATCTCAGCTCACTGCAAGCTCTGCCTCCTGGGTTCACGCCATTCTCCTGCCTCAGCCTCCCGAGTAGCTGGGACTACAGGCACCCGCCACCACACCCGGCTAATTTTGTTTGTTTGTTTGTTTTGTATTTTTTAGTAGAGACGGGGTTTTACCGTGTTAGTCAGTATGGTGTGGATCTCCTGACCTCATGATCCGCCCTCTTCAGCCTCCAAAAGTGCTGGGATTACAGCCGTGAGCCACCGTGCCCGGCAACAATGAAATAATTTTAATATATGTAATTATCCTGTATTATCATACATCATTCCTCACTCATTGTACATGCATTTGTTGAGTGCCGACACTAAGTCATGCAGTGAAAGGCTTGCTATGAATAATACAAATAATAGCTATTTCCTGTAATACAACTCCAAATCTTACATATTGTATTGATGATTAAACTAAAACACTTACTATACTCTGAAATAAGTAGAGCATATGTATTTACAACATACTGAAAGTCCTGATATTTTAAGTATAGATTAACTTACTTTAACCGAAGTATTTTTAAAATGTATTTTATTGTATGTAATTAAGCGTACAACATAATCTTTTAATGTAAATATACATAATGAAATGATTACTATAGTTCAGCTGATTAACATATCCATTATTTCAATTACCTTTTTTTATAATAAGAGCACCTAAAATATAATCTCTTCACAAATTTCAAGTATAAAGTACTATTAACTATTTTTTCTCAAGCTGTACGTTATGTCTCTAGACTTATTCATTCTATGTGTATGCAACCTTTTGCCCTCCAACCTCACTCTTCCCATTCCCAATCTCTCCCATCCACCTATTCATTGCCTTTGGTAACCACCTTTCTGCTGTTTGTTTCTAGTATGGAGACCCTGCCATTTACGACAACGTGGATGTATCTGCAGGACATTAAGACAAGTGCAATAAGCAAGACACGGAAAGAAAATATAGCATGGTCTCTCTTATATGTGGAATTTTAAAAATTAACTCTGAATACTTTGGATTAAACTGGTCAGTAGAACAATTTCTATGATCTTAAAATAGCTGACCATATAGAAAAACCTACATTTAAAGTGTTAGATTTTTGTTATTCATTAGCTTTTCCTCAATAAATAAATATTTGTTTAGTAATTAGCAAAACATAGCTATCAGCTCAGCACAGATTAATGTCAGTTATAAATTACTTAACTGAGTGTAAATAAGAACTCTCTCTTTTTGAGGTTTATGATTTGCAAAGGATTACTAAAAGGTATTCTAAAATTGATGTCACTGGACCTATTTATAAATAGGATTCTCAGGAGATACACTTTGTATGTGATACTTTATGGGAGAGGAAGACATCCGTGTTATTTCCCAAGGTCATGTCTACTCACTATGCCTGGCAGGCACACTTGTAATATACCATAACTCTAAAAAGAGCTGGATCAAGGATTTACCAGGTCACAATTTCATCATCCAAAGTCAATGGCTGCTGTCTAAAGATTTGCAACACAGCTGAGACATTGAAATTTGTTAGAAATGTCTAACAGTTCCCATTTCAACTTCTGCCATATGAAAGGATTAATGCTGTGCCATTTAAAAGAAATGTTTTATCTTGCATTAACTTTCTTGATGATTGGTGGAGCTTTAATCAAGTAGGACAGAAAGACCAGCTATTCAAACTACTGAATACTGAAAAGGTCACAGTATTGCAGAATACTCCTGTAATTTACTGTCTCCTATTACATACTCTGAAAACGATCACACTCCCTTCTCAAAGGCAAAACACTAACTATTTGACAAAGTCACCATACTCACTGAATGCAGCTCTAGTTTAGGTCAAAGCTGATAACATTATGTATGTAGCCTGTATGAAAGCATTACTCTGATAAATATAGCATAGTGGAATTAAATCCTACCAAATTCAATTTACAATCATCTTTATCATTAGGAATGTAAAAGAGAATCATGTTTCATAAATAATGAAATTATGTTTAAAAAACCCTTGACGGCACATATTTAATGTCTGAACGCTTTCACTATTCCAGATGCAGCAGTCATCCAAGAGATGTCCACATATGTACTCCTGTTAATGTTAGTTCCTTTCATCCAAGCCATCAGAGGTTCTCCCTGGATCTCATTTTTGGGGTGATGTCCTATACTTTTTTTTAAATCTCCATTAACTCCTCTCCTTAGTGGTTTTAATGGCATATTCATACAATATTAGAATGAAATTTGTGAGTCAATATTAATTTCCAGGTTCATAGTCTCACAGCTTGAACACAAACTATTCAGACCTTTGAAATTACCTTTATTTCTTTACTTCCAGAGTAGCTGACTTTTTCATTCTCTGCTGGAGCGTTTGGGCTGATTCATCACCCCCTCCCCCACCACCATTCACTGAATGTAGCCACTGGTCGTGGCTGCCTTTTCTGCTATTTTATAGAACCAAGCCTGAATCTATAAAGCGCTTCCCTTGGTACCTCCCAGAAACTTTTTATTGCCTGTCTCTTTCTGTCAACTCAGTTGCAGAAAAATACATTTTATGGCTCCAGTAATTTAAGAAAGGTATGTTTAAAGAAGAATCATAAATGTTCATCTTACATTGTAAAGAGATTGTTGGTACAGATAGATTTTTTTGAATGATTTTGTTTTCAGTTTTATCAGAGGATCACAGAAAGCTTATAATAAATAATTTCAGTTCCCCTCTTACCCCAACCCCACTATTCTAAGCACTTTTAATTCTCTTATACATTCTTATCTTTTCCACTAACATATTGTTAAAAAATGCTTGATTTTTTACTAACTTCAGACATTATCTACTGACTTTTTATTATGGTAGAGTTGTGTTAAGTATATGTCAACACTCTCACCTCTTTTTTGCCAAGACATCACATTGTTATTCTAATTCTTCTATTGGCTACTTCTCTAACTTTCAATAGTACAGTTAGTTTAAAAGTGTGTTGCACCATCACCTGTGGAGAGCATCTCTTGATTCCTCGTATTTTGAGGACATATAATTAGCTCCTATATACTCCTTTGCTTTTCCTCACTGCACCCAACTTCTTTGCATTGTATGCTTCTATCTATTTTTAACATCATGGGTTAATGTTTTATATTTAGTTGTACATTGACTATATAGTAAATCTGAAAGTTAAAATCAATAGATACAATTTGTAGAATTATCTCCAAAGACCATGTAAATGCAGTTAGTTGTATGTCCAGTAGTTTGACTATGTTTCCTCTAGGTAATTTTGTTTTGTTTTGTTGCATTATAGATTACTAAGGATAGTAAAATATGTGTCTCTTTCTCTCTCTCTCCTGCAGCTATCTCGCTCTCTTGCAGTTTTCCATTCTCTTCCTCTAATCCGAGTATTTGGTTTCTAGACTATCTGTACAACTACACTACTTTCTACATTAGCCTATTTTTACTTTCTTGTGATGAATCCATTCTTTCCTAGATTCCATGTTTTTTTTGTTTGTTTGTTTAATCTCTCAATTTACTGAAACATATTTTAAGAATAAGTTTGTGAGACTGCTTTTTTTTTGGAAAGCTTTTATTCAACTCCCCTTTTAAACGGATAGTATAGCTTAACATTAATCTGGCTCATTAAGTTTCCATGGTATGCAAAGAAACCCTGAATATTGTTAGGATTTGTCTGGCTGTGAGTCTTTTTTCCATCATTTCTCAATGTGCCATTGTGGCGGGCCAATTCTCCAAGTCTGTCTGTCACACAGACAGGCCTGCTGACAGTCACACAGACAGGCCTGCATAGCACTCCAGTTACACAGGTGGATTTCCACAGCACTGCTTTAACATTGAGCAAATAGTTAAACCTAGGGAAATCGGTGCCCAGCCATCAAAGCTAGAAATGAAACATATGGTCAGCAGGAGCCTTGCATAGGCTTCTCCCTAACCTGCAGCAAGTCAAAATAATAGAGACAGTCTTACATTCCTAGTGCCAAGACTCATCTCAGGTCAATGGAATCTGAGACAAGTCAAGGTAACAGACGCAGCTGTGCAAATAGATTCCATTGGAGAGTCTAAGGCAGCTCTCCGGACCAAAATGTAAAGGGGATAAGACAGAAATAATCATTCTGGCACCACAGTAGACAGGTCTTGAAGGTACTGGGGCCCTTTTAATCAGACTTAGCAAGCATTTTTTGCCTCTGACCTTCTAACTGAAACAAAATTAGTTACCAATAGACTTAGGCAAATGCTATACTGCACGTAGGCACGTAACCCCAACCAATGTAAGCACTAAGAAAATTTTAACACTTTGAGTTGGTCTCGTGGAAATATCTCTGGCCTTCTCGCTATATCCAGTTATAGTAATAAATTCCCTTCTTTCCTAGTTCGTGTGCTTCTTGTTATTGGGCCTCAAGAAAATGCAGCTGGACCTGGCTTTGTTCCAGGAACACCATGGGGCCACTTCAAATTGAAGACATGTATTTAAACATTTTTTCCTACTTACTCTCTTATTTACATCTTAAAATGTAAACTGTCTAATGTTAACGTTGCTCCCATATTTCTTCTGGTTGTAGTTCCATGACACATATTTCTCATGCCTTCAAAAGTTTCACTTTACGTGTGCCTTTTAAAACAACATACAGCTGGATTTTTATCTAATCCAGTTTGAATCCTCTAATTTTTATAGAATATCTTAATTCATATGTGTTTATTGGAATTATTTATATATTTTGACTTACTTCTGTCTTCTATTTTGTTTTTGCCTATATGGTTAATGTTGTTTCACATGCATAGATGAAAAACTATGATAGGTGTGTAAGTCTGCTAGGGGTCCCATAACAGAATGTCACAGACTGGGTGAGTTAAACAACAGAAATTTATTTTGTCTCAGTTCTGGAGGCTGGAAGTCCAAGATTGAGTGGCTGGCAGGGTTGACATCTGACAAGGCCTCTCTCCTTGGCTTGTGGGTGGCCACCTTCCCTCTGTGTCTGTTCCTCTGTGTGTGAGCACCCCTGGTGTCTCTTCCTTTTGTTAAAGAACACCAATCCTCTTGGATTAGGTCTCCACCCTAATGACCTCATTTAACTTTATTACGTTTTTGAACTCTATCTCCAAAGATAGTCACACTGGGGGTCAAGGGCTTCAACACCTGAATTTGGAGGGGACACAAATTTTTGTATGTTTTAAATATCTGAAATGATCTTTTTTACATCCAAGCAACTTTTCCGTAAGGAAGGCCATGAGGTGAATAAAATTCACTCATTTGTATTATTGTGTAATAATTCTAGTTGTTTGATCATGGTAGAAGCTTTCTATGTTACCTTATTTGAAAATGATAATATTTCTACTTACAAGAAATTGGTAAAATATTGTTATCCCATGAAGTTCTTGAACAGGGAATTTTTCTTTGTTTGTTTATTTTAAGAAAGGCAGTGGAGTGTAAACTGAGATAAACAATGAACAGGAAAGTTGACTTCTTTTGAACCATAACTTAACTTGTCTCTTCTAATATTTACCAGACAACATAACTGGTTCAAGTTATTTCTCCATTTCTCTAGTCACAACAGAGAATATATTGACAATTAGGTGACATAGTCAATAGAGGAAGGTGATCATCATGATTACAAAAAAAAGCAACTTGTTAGTAGAAGCATTATCAAGGGACAAAGACTAGAATTTATTAAGCACCTACTAGGCTCCAGGTATTCTCATGGCATTTTAATAAATATTATTTTACTCAAATATTAAATCTTGTAAGTATTATTTCAATTGAAGCTTTGAAAGAAAGTAAAAAAACTACTAAAATTTACTGACATAAATATACAAGTAAATATGAGCTTTATCCATATTATTGATAATTTAAAAGAATGAGTTTTTGGTTTTACTTACTTCCTGAACTTACTTTTTAAATTTTTTGATATCTGTTTGTATCTTTATTTTTGTTTTCCTTCTCCTTACTTTGCACTTAACTTCCTTTTTACTTTTTTTTAATTATTTAAAGTAGAAATGTGGCACATTGATTTTAGACTGGGAGTTGAAAAAGTATGACTTGCAAGCCAAATTTGAGCCAAGACTTATTTTTCCATGACCCTTGAGCTAAGAATTGATTTTATGTTTTTAAAGAATTGTAAAAGCCACATAAATAAGTAAACAAAGAATATTTACAGAGACTATAGGTGGCCCTTAAAGCCTAAAATATTTACAACCTGGTCCTCTACAAAAACATTTTCCAATCTCAGGTTTAGACCATGTAGATTTTATGAAATTATTGAGGTTGATGATGTTAAACCTACCATCTTGCTATTTGTTTCTTTATGTTTGATTTGTATTTAGTTCTTTTTTCTTCCTTCTTTGCCATCTATTGAATGAAGCTTTTTTTATGCTTCTACTTTATCTTCATAATAGGATTATAGCTATAACTATAAGCTGTAGCAATAACTCTTGGTTTTAGTTTTTAGTAATTGCCCTAAAATTAATAATATATGTATTTACTCATCACAATTCCTCTTGAAATGATATCTTGCACTCATAATATTGTAAAATCCTTACAAAAGTGCACTTTCGTTTTACTACTCATGTTCTTTATTCAATTGTAGCGATATATTTCATTTCATAATACCTAGAACTCACAATATATTGTTAGTATTTTTGCTTTAAGCCATCAGTTTACTTCAAAAGATGTTACAAATGTTAAAAAGACATTTTACATTTGCCATATATTTACCAGTTCTGTCACTTTTCACTCATCTGTATAGATAGACATTTCCATATGGTACAATTTTTATTATTCCTGAAGAACTAACTTTACCACATTTCCTGTAGTAATGCTCTGCTGGCAATACATTTTCTGTTTATATTTTTTTCTGAGCAATCTTTATGTTCCTCATTTTTGGAATATCTTTATTAGCTAAAAATTCAGGCTGACATGTATTTCCTTGCAGTATTTTAAGATTATTAAAATTACCTTAAAGATTATCTTTCAGATAATTTTAATTTAAATCTTTAAATTAAATTTTAATTTAAATTTAAATCTTTAAGATAATTAAAAACAATTATTCCATTGTTTTGTGGCTTGCATAATTTCAGATGAGAAATTTGCTATAATTTCTATCTTAGTTTCTTGGTACAAAATATGTCTTCCTTTCAAGAGATGTTTCAAAATTTTCTCATTATCAATCCCCCTGCTCCCCTGCTCTTTTTTTTTTTTTTTTTTTTGAGACGGAGTCTCTCGCTCTTGTCGTCCAGGCTGGAGTGCAGTGGTACAATCTTGGCTCACTGTAAACTGCGACTCCCGAGTTCAAGGGCTTCTCTTTCCTCAGCCTCCCTAGTAGCTGGGAATACAGGCATGTGTCACCACGCCCAGCTAATTTTGTATTTTTAGTAGAGACGGGTTTCGCCATGTTGGCCAGGCTGGTATCGAACTCCTGACCTCTGGTGGTCCGCCCTCCTCGGCCTCCCAAAGTACTGGGATTATAGGCATGAGCCACCCGACCCAGCCTATCAATCCCTTTTAACCATTTTATTATGATACCTCTGAATGTAATTTTGTAATCTTACTTTGGCTTTGGTTTCACTGAACTTCTTATATCAAGAGTTGCAGTTACTAAATTTAGAAATACATTGTTTCTAGTTCCCTGTGTTCTCTTCTGTTTTTCTGGGGCTGCTTGATAATTTCCCCAAACTCACTGAGTCACTTCCCATCTGTGTACTTCATTTGGAATGTTTCAAAAACTATGACTTAAAATTTGCTATGTGTTTTTCTTCTTCTTGAGTGTCTAATATGATGTTAAACTCTTCCAGTGTGTTTTTCATTTTAGAAACTTTTTCATCCCTAAATGTTTCATAATTTCTTTTAGTTCGGTCTTTACTACTGAAATAATTTTCATTTTTGTAATTCATTGCTGAAATCTGTTAGTTTTTATTCTGTATCCTCCTATTGCCTAGTCATAAAATTTTAAAGATTTTAAAACTATATAAATATCCTTATTTTTTGTTTTTTGCTTTGTTGACCTTTCATGTCTTATTTTCATATTTGTTTGATTTTTATATTACAAAATTTTGATTAAACTTTCTTTGAAAGGTTTTATCCTTTTAAAACAATTTTTAATACTATTTTAAAATTCTAGATTTTATTTTTAGTTTGTTTTGTGAACATGTTTTATGGTTTATTCTTTTTTGCCATGAAGAATATCAGTATGGGCCGGGTGCGGTGGCTTATGCCTGTAATTCCAGAACTTTGGGAGTCCAAGGCGGGTGGATCACGAGGTCAAGAGATGGAGACCATCCTTGCCCACATGGTGAAACCCTGTCTCTACTAAAAATACAAAAATTAGCTAGGCATGTTGGCACATGCCTGTAGTCCCAGCTACTCCAGAGGCTGAGGCAGGAGAATCGCTTGAACCCTGGAGGTGGAGGTTGCAGTGAGCCGAGATGGAGCCCCTGTATTCCAGCCTGGAATACAGAGAGCAAGACTCTATCTCAGAAAAAAAAAAAATAGTATGTTTAGTTCTTCAGCTTTTAAAAAATAATTTTAAAGATTTAAATGCTGTACTTTTTAGGATTCTATGTTTAACATATGTTTATGTGCTATTAAGATGGGAATTTCTAGAGTAACTTTCCAAGTTCCATGCCTCAAGGTATCTTCTACCTTCACATTTGTGGCCAATTATTTGTGTCTCAATGCTCTTCTGGGTCAGGAATATTTTCTACCTACAGCCCTATACTCCAGCACAACATGGTGATTTAATCCATAGATGTTATATTTGATGCTTGCAGACCCTGCTGGGATCTATTTCTCCCAACCAACTGTGCCTCATCTGGTATTTCTGTTGTTTTCAGTTACCTTACTGTGTCCCTGTGATTATGTCTTTGGGCTAGATTCCTCTTCTTTGGGAGATGGTGTTAATGCTATTATAATATGTCAACTTGCCTAGGCTGTAACTCCCAATAATCCAATCAAACTTGAATTCAGCTATTGCTTTAAGGATATTTTGTGGACGTGATGAACATCTATGATCAGTTCACTTTAAGCAAATGAGATTATGCTAGATAATTTGAGTGAAACTGATTCAATTGGTGGAAAGGTTTTAAGAACAGAATAAGGTTTCCCTGAAGAAGAAATTCCATGTGGAGACTGCAGCTTCAGTTCAGGGCTGAAAGTTCCAGCCTGCACTTGCTGACAGCCTGCATTATTGATTGGATTTTTCTTTATATATATGATTCTGTTTCTCTGGGACAACCCTGGCAGATACAGGGGGTATTGTAATATTTCTAAGATTCTTGAAGGTCTCACATGCTTGTCAGATCCCATCAAGATTTTCCAATTATTCTTGCAGCCATTTGCTCAAGTTTGCACTTAGAATTAGTACAAATAATTCTTTTCTTTCATGACTGTGGTGGCTTTGGGAGTGCACTGCTTAGATCCACTGCAAGGAATATAGTTACAGGCATCATGCATCCTGAATACTTTTGAGATATACATCAGTGTCCACACCAAAACCAGGATATTTCTGTGTTGCTTCCCAGTCCATGACTAGGATAGTAGGGTTAATACGGCTGGGCCATTCCAGTACAATGCAGAACTTTTCTAATGAGCAAACTTGACTCATCTCTGATAGGACTTCGCTAATCTTTGCTAATCTAAACCCCATTGGCTTGATTTAGATGTTCCCAGAAGTACATTATACCACCAGTTTCTAACAATTACCTCACCATTGCTGAGGTTTTAAATTCACATTCTTTTTCTATTTTTATTTTTTGAAACGGATTCTCACTCTATTGCCCAGGCTGGAGTGCAGCGGCACAATCTTGACTCACTTCAACCTCCATCTCCTGGGTTCAAGCGATTCTTGTGCCTCAGCCTCCCATGAAGCTGGGATTACAGGCAGGCACCACCATGCCTGGCTAAGTTTTGTATTTTTAGTAGAGACGGGGTTTCACCATGTTGGCCAGGCTAGTTGTGAACTCATGACCTCAAGTGATCTCCCGCCTTGGCCTCCCAAAGTGCTGGGATTACAGCTATGAGCCACTGCACCTGGCCAAATTCACATTCTTTATCTAGTGTTGACATTTTATCCCTAAATAATTTTTGAAAGATCCTCGATCTCCTTGATGTGTTTTTATCCAGAGAGTTGTACATATTGTTCAACCAGTTTTTGACTTTAAAACTTGTCCCAGTTCTGTTATAGGAACTTCTTTACACTTATGTTTGGTTAAATTCCACCATTAAATTGTTTTCTTTTCTTATCTTTTTCTTTTCTTTCTTTCTTTCTCTTTCTTTTTTTCTTTTTCCTTTCTTTTCCTCTTTTTGTCTTCCTTCCTTCCTTCCTTCCTTCCTTCCTTCCTCCCTTCCCTTTCCTTTCTTTCCTTTCTTTCTCCCTTCTCTCTCTCTCTCTTTCTTTCTTTTCCTTGATCTCTTTCTTTTTCTTTGAGACAGGATATCACTCTTGCTCAGGTGGGAGTACAGTGGAGTGATCACTGCAGCCTCGACCTTCGGGGATCAGGTGATCACCTCATACCTCAGCCTTCCAGGTAGCTGGAACTACAGGCGCCTACCACCATGCCTGACTAATTTTTGTATTTTTTGTCGAGATGGCATTTTGCCATATTACCCAGGCTGGTCTCGAACTCCTGTACTGAAGCAATCCAACTGTCTTGAACTCCCAATAGCCTGTGATTGCAGGTGTGAGACACTGTCCAGCTCTTCATTTTTTAACTTTTATTTTAAGCTCAGGGGTACATATTCATGTTTGTTATATTAGTGAACCCATGTCATGGGGGTTTGTTGCACAGATTATTTCATAACCCAAGCATCAAGCCTAGTACCCATTAGTTATTTTCTTTGATCCTCTCCCTTCTCCCACCCTCCACCTTCCAATAGGCCTCAGTATGACCCAGAAAATTATTACTGGATATATACCCAAAAGAGTATAAATTGTCCTATCACAAAGAAATATGTATGCATATCTTCATTGCAGCTATTCACAATAGCGAAGACATGAAATCAATCTAAATGGTAGACCAGATAAAGAAAATGTGGTATATATACACCATGGAATACTACACAGCCATAAAAAGAGTGAGATCATGCTCTTTGCAAGAATATGGATGAAGCTGGAGGCCATTATCCTTAGCAAAGTAACACAGGAACAGAAAACCAGATACAGTATGTTCTCACTTATAAGTGGGAGCTAAATGATGAGATCACATGGACACATAGAGGGGAACAAGTTCTTTTCTCTCCTTCCTTCCTCCCTTCCTTCCCTCCTTCCTTCACTTTCTCCCTTCCTTCCTTCCTTTCTTCCTCCTTTTCTTCCTTCCCTCCCTCCGTCTCTCCTTCCCTCCCTGCCTCCCTCCTTCCCTTCCTTCCTTTTCTCCTTCCTTTCTTCTTCCCTTTCTTCCTTCACTCCCTTCTTCTCTCCTTCCATCCCTCCCTCCTTCCCTTCCCTTTCCTTCCTTCCTTCCTTCCTTCTTTCCTTCCTTCCTTCCCTTTCCTTCCTTCCTTCCCTCCTTCCCTTTCCTTCCTTCCCTCCCTCCCTCTCTCCCTCTGTCCCTCCCTTCCTCCCTCCTTCCTTCCTTCTTTCCTTCCTTCCCTCCCTCCCTCTGTCCCTCCCTCCCTCCCTCCCTCCTTCCTTCCTTCCTTCCTTCCTTTTTGCCTCCATTTTTGGTTTATAATGGTGATGTGTTTTGGTAAAATAGTTTTGGACATTTTTCCTCAGAACTCGTCTTTCAAGTTTGAATTATTTTATTCTATCAATGCTATTCTATTAACAGTATTTTTCCTGAAGTATTTGTTACTATAAATTTGTCTTTCTTTATGATATGGTATACGTGTGTAATTTGGGTTTAAAATCATATATTGTGCATATGCTAATTTTTAAATAAAATATTTTAAAATGTATGATTGCTTTTGAAAGTAAGTTTGTGAGACCAATTTCTCTCGTTTGACTAAAGTACTTACTGTAAAAATATTATCAAGTGTTCTCAAAGATAAGAGATTAAGATAAAACATATATTATAGGCTAAGGCAGGAATTAAGTTTAAACCTCCACTATTGAGTTGAATTGGAGAGAAAGGACTCGGATGAGATTTACTCTTAAGATCCAGAAAGTGTGAGAGAACACCTATTTAGTTAGTAATACTTTGACAGGCTTCACCTTGAACTTTTCCATTTTTCTATACAGGCTGCTATGCTTAATTATCCTGATTCTTTTCAACTTTTTTTTAATCCTTTTTGTGACTTTTCAAAATCACACAGAATCTTTCCTTCCATTGCTGGATCCTTGCAGCATGTGCTGAGTGGTAAAGACTATAGTTAGAAACAGAATGTTAGTAAGAAAAATCCATCTAGATAATTGTTTGCCAAATACCTACTAAACACACACTTAGAGACACACACATGCACGCACACACACACACAGCCATTTATTGATGTATATTATAAGTAGTCTTTGTGCTAGAAACTTGACATAATTTATTTCATTTACTCTTCATGCAAATCCTTTGACTGTTACTATTTGTAATCTAAAAAGGAGATAGGTGACTGAGATAATTAAGTAACTTTCAAAGTCTCTTACATCTAATGAATAGCTGGTCTTGTAATCAAAATCAAATTTACATGGTTACAAATACTATGCTTTTTCCATTATATGTTACATTTCAAAGAGAAATAGAACATAGTATCTATATTCAAAAAGATTTCAGTCAATTGCAGCACTACAAGAGCAACAAAAATAATTATAATAACTTAAAATGTGTAAAGGCATCAAATGTCAACCTAAGCACCTCACCAGTTATGCTGACTCTTCATTCTGCACAGTGTTTTTCCATGTTCTATTGCTCAAAGTCCAAATACCATTTCATATTTGTGACTTATTTCTAATGATTCCTCTCTTTACAGTATCATATTATTTCCCTAAGAATACTTCTTTTATAGTATCTATAAATACTATAGATATTTATAGAATAATCTATAGAATAATACACACTATACACAATTGGATGGGTTCCTTGGGCAATTCATATATTTATTGGTAGAATATACATCCATTTTCACAGGATAATTGAGGTAGCATAATGGATTGTTGTCTCAGGAAAATATTTTATTTTACTTTTTATTTTTTAAACACCTAAATGAAGGCTGTGGAGTCATAGGGAGCTAGTGACAAAGTCACCAGGGAGTGAATAAAAGCTTGAAACAAAGGCCTGACTTGATTGGATTTGAATTTCAGGAAGATTAATAAAGAAAAAAGGGATTGGAGAGAGGAATGGCAATAGGTAGAGGAGCTATTCTGGTACCAGTTGTTATACTCTGGAGAGGGATGACGGATGCCTAAGATAAGGCAATAGTGAGGAGTAAGTGGAGGGGGAAAGTGGAATAAGAAGGTATAAATGACAACACTATGCTTAGATCAGTAGTTTTCATGTGTGTTTGTGTGTGTGTGTGTGTGTGTGTGATGAATTTTAGAGAGAAACTGGACAAGAAGCAAGTAAAAATTGTAGCTTGTACAAAACGTAAACCCAATTTTTTTTTCTATTTTACAGCTCTGAAAAATCAAATCTGTCCATGGCAGTGCTAGCATACTGTCTATTAGGTATGTCTGCAGTGTGGGAGAGGGAGAGAAGGTTGAGAGCTGCTTGATCATGCACAGTAGGAGAGGGAAAGTCAGATCTCCAGGATGATTACATAGTTTCCAACTTCAGTATCTGGATTATAGTGTTAATAATTATGAATGTAAGAATAGAGGAGAAATAGGCTGGGAGTGAAGACTGAATTCTGCCTCAGGATTAGCAACTTGAAGAGTTAATGCATTTATAAATAAAAGCAAAGAGTAAATTGCTACAAAATCCTAGCCATTTTCCTTTGGAAATATATACCATTTCTCAGTTGTATTCTATATGATTCTTCTGCATCATTTCTTGAGCAGTACAGTGATATAATTGTTAATTTACAATTGCAAACTGCTTAATTTTCCAGATTACCTTTTTAGCAGTCTTTTCTGTTCCATATTGTGTGTTACTTTTATAGTGCTTCAGTGAACTATCATTGTAGCCTTTACATACACAAACGTGAATATCGGGAGTATCTCTCTCCAACCAAGGAGCAAAGTCATTTACTAACTCTTCTACTTATATAGGAGTCAAGAGGGGAGGGAATGCTGGAAAGAAGATTGGATAAGCCCTGGGATGTCTTCTTCCGATCATAAACCCAACTGTAGGAAAATTACAACCACTAAAAATTTCCCTTTGAGTGAGGTTGTGTTTTTCAGAGGATAAGCGATACTGCAGTGGTTATAGCTCTTAAAAACATTGAAAAAAAAGCCAGAATATCAGAAAATCAATAGTAATAGTTTATTCATAAGGCAAAAAGTATAATTAGTTGAGTCTGACACTTTCTGTACATCACAAATTTTGTATTCCACTTAGGACTGGCAGATTAATCGTACAGAAGCTTTAGTCAGCAGATTCTCTTTCCATGAAAAATTACAAAGACAAACACTTCCTGAATGCCACCTTTTATGATTATTTTAAAAATAAAATTGTTGATGTCAATTTAAATATATTATTAATTCATTTCTTACTTGTTTTGTGAATACACTTTTCAAAATATCTCTCCTGGTTACACATTTTCATATTCATTTTCTCATTTCTCAAGGAAAGTCATTGCAGTGAAGAGTATTTTCAACTGATTTTCAAGTATCTATATTAGCCCATGGAGTACACTTCTTCGTTCAGTTTACTTTTTTTTTTATATTCACAGATTAAATGAAGCTGTAAGCATCTTTGAAGTACAAATGATACTTGGAAAGTAAATGAAACTGGGAATACTTGCAAGTAAAATATGGGAAGTCAAAGAGATTAAAGGATGAGAACCAGAAATTGCTTATGGCCAGTGTCCTGAGTAAGCCTCAGAATCGCATCCTAGAAGCATCAAGTTCTTGTGTTACCCTATGGATCTAAAAAACGACTTCCTTAGTTTGATGTAGTCTGCAGACATCTCATCATCACAAAAACTTGAAAGCACTTACAGCACTAAGAAACTACCTTTGCAGATTGTAAAAAAAGATAGAATCCTACTTAGTGTTTTGATCACACCTGCCTATTTCCCCAAGGTTTTACTGCAGGGTTAAAGAATGAATAAGCATCTAGTTATATTTAATAAACTCCATGCCTTATGGCTGATTCTAAAGGCACATGGCTTTGTTACATTCGCTTGAAGCTCTGCTTTATTTTCTAAAAATGGTTGCTTACAGTGGTCCCTTGCAGCCCATGGTGATAGTTTATAGGGTGCTATGTTATTTTTGTTTACTTGAGTGGATATTTATACACATGCCTCTTTAGATTCAGGTGTTTTCATTTTTTTTGTCAGGAGTTTGGTATCCATATGCAGAAAAATGCTGATGAGTCATTGCATTTATCTATTGCTTAGAGAGATGATGATGGGTCATAAACCCAGATATTTAAACAAACAACCAGAATAGTTTGTTACTTTCAGGCAAGATTCCTGATCGTTTTGTTGTTGTTGTTGCTGTTGTTGTTTTTCCTGCAATGAAAGAGGCAGCAGAAGGGAATCAGATAAATAACCCTCTCACATATCGTATTTACTTGTAATATTGTTATGCCATCAAGTAGAACAAAAATCAATATAATTGCTTTATATTTATCAAGTACTCACTCTGTGCCAGTCTTCTAAATGCTGTATGTGAATTAATGCATTTAATTCTCAACACCACCCTGTGAAGTATCTACTCATATTTCCTGATTTTTCCGATGAGATACTGAAGCACACAGTGTATAATAACTTGCTTGACTTCACAGTTGGTAAGTGGTAAATCTGAGACTCATGCCTAGAAAGTTGCGTTCCAGAATCCACATGGTTAACCACCATGCTATAACAGTTGACATAAGCTGAAACCTGGAAGAGTAGAATGGTCAATTCTCAGCTTAGAGCAATTTGTGAGTACTGTCTGACCAAACCAATTATTACAAAATTTATCTGGTTTATAGCAATAATAAAATACAGGAATTGGTTACTGTAAGATCTGGTTCTGAAAAAAAGAAAGCAAGAAAGAAGCCATACAAATTAAGAGAAAAAGATGTAAAAAGTGATAATAAATATTATATACATATACACTAATTGTATATCATATACACTAATTGTATATTATAAATTTTAAATGATTTGATTTTTTAAATTTCAACACCAAATTATTAAAGCAGAATTATTAAAATAGTAGAAAATAGCTAATGAAATAATTATAAAAATATGAAAATACTGCATGAAAAAGCCACATCATTACGTGTTCACTGGTGAAATCTTTAGAAGTTAGAAGAAAAATATAATTAGCATATTACATTGTCCATTTCAAATCATGAAAACAATGTGAGATTAACAAATTCATCATATACAGTTAATATCTCAACATCAAACTTGATAATTTAATTAAAATAGGAAACTTTATACTGATTTCATACATGTACATAATAAAACATTCAGATAGAAATACTAACAACTAGAATTAAACATGATGCAACACTACAGAAAGGGTTTGATTCAAGAATGCAAGTTACTAAATCAATAAAAAATTATTTTATCAATGAAATATATGCTCAAATGAGTACCTTAAAAGACCCATCTCAAGTTTTAAAATTGAGTTTAATAGCATTAGAATGATTTTTCTTTATTAAAATATTTGAGATAAAATTTTTATTTTGTTATTTTTGCAAATGTATGGGATACATAAGAATTTTTTTATATGCATATAATGCTTTGTGATAAGTCATATTTAGGGTGTCCATCATCCAAGCACAATACATTTTAAAGTATAGTTATCCTACTCTGCTATCAAACATTGAATTTAATCCTTCTAACTTACTGCATATTTGTACCCTTTAATCTATTTCTTCATCGTCTCTGTCAGCCTTCATTCTCCCCAATCTGTGTTACCTATTTTTCCACTCTCTACCTCCACATCTTCAAATATTTTAGCTTCCACATATAAATGAGAATGTGATATTTGTCTTTTTGTGCCTGGCTTATGAAATCAAAATTTTAAAACTTTGTCTTTATATTGAGAAATGATTATATGATTTCTGCTTCACCATTATTATTTAATATAATTTAGAAATTTTGTTCTCATCAATGATAGAAGCCAGAAATTAAATTAGAAGTAATAAATGGTGGAAAGGGAGAGATAATCATATTATAGGGAGATGACATTTTATCCCTAGGAACCTAAAAAAAGTCAGCCAGAAATGAGCTTGAATTTAGTGACATTGTAGATAATTTTATAAAAGTCAATCTGCCAGCAATACTAGATAGGAATGAAAATGAGCCATAGAGAGTGGACAAGTAGAGATGTGAGAAATCCACATTCTCTTGTAATGGTTAGCACAGGCTTCCTGCAGGATATTGTCCTTGAACTGAAAGTTGAATGGAAAAAGTAATACGCTTCTTGAACCAAAAAAGGAAGACATGCTTAGTAAGAGGGAAAACAAGTCAAACTGGCCATTCGACTGGATCTCTCTTTTCTTACTATTGAATTTTTTGGAGGTTTTGGTAACACTGCTCTCCTTTCTCTGACTTTCCTGTAGCATTCTCTTCTGTTTATTTTACACATGATACATTCTATCAAGTTCTGCACAGCACTCCTATCTTAATACTGTTGAACTTTATATTCAATTATTTGGAATTAATAAATAGATCTGTTATTTTGTAATTAAGTACAAATGAGACACTGTACATTTCTCTAAATGTAACTCAAAGTTTTACATTTTCTTCACTTTTATGAGAGTCCTAGATGAATAAATGATAGTCTATACTATGAATAAACAGGGCCTAGTTATTCTTAGAATAGTTTCAATTTAATTCTGTTACCACTCATGGGTAAAAATGCCTTCATTTTTTTTTCTTTCCTGTTTTTGACACAGAGTTAAGGATGAATGAATTGAAGATACCTAATAATTATTGTTTCTATTTTTCCTACTTCATATATTTAAATCAGGTGATACACCAAGTAACATTATTTTTCTCCCATCTCTTTCAGGCATAGAACAATTTCTAAAGTAACAGTAAACGCTAATGTTTAAAATAAATTGTGTGTGTGTGTGTGTGTGCATGCACATATGTTTTAGCCAAGTAAGTGAACTGCAACCTGACTCAATTCCAAAAAGATTGTTTTGGAAACCATTAAAAGAAATCCAAGTACCAAGGAAGGCCTTCAACATGGTCACAAGTCTCTATCACTACTGTATTTATGTGGGGCCAAATAGTGGGTGTTATGGAGTAAAAATTTTCTTTCCCCCTAAATTCATATGTTGAAGGTCAAAACCCCAGTGTGACTATTGAGAGATAGGGCCTGTGAGGAGGTGATAAAGGTTTAATTAAGTGAGGCTCCAATCCAACAGGGCTGGTGCCCTTAAAAGAGGAGAAAGAGACACTAGAGTGATCGCTCTTGACCATGTGAAGACACAGCAAACAGGTGGCATGTGCAAGTCAGGAGGAGAGCCCTCACCAGAAACGAAATCAGTGGACACCTTGACCCATGAGCCACCAGAACTGTGAGAAATAAACATCTGCTGTTTAAGCCACCTCATGTATGATATTCGGTTATGGCATCCCAAGAAAACTAGTACAGTGGGATATTTTAAAACTCAGCTCTTTTAGGAAACACTGAACAATTAAAAAGACAAAAGAGTATGTGTCACACAATAATACTGTATGTATCCCATACTAAGGTCCTAAGGGGACACATAACTATGTCTTTCAAGAAAAACCCCACCTACCAACTCAGTGAGTAGACATGGACCCACTAATAAATAGAGCAGAGATTTAAGAGAGGATAGGGCTTAAGCTCTAATGAAGAGTCACAAAGATCACAAATCCAGAAACATTTTCACTTCTAAATGGTTTACTGTTCCTTAATTTGAATTTTCAGTCCACATAGACACAGCATATTAAAATTATGCACAACACACATGCACCTACGTAGAGAAAGAAAAAGAGGGAGAGAAAGAATATATGTGATTGGACTTTTGGGAGAATACACTTTGTGTCAAGCATTGTACCTATCATCAAACAAATACTATAAGGAGGCATCATCCCTATTTTTGAAGATGATAAACTGAGACACAAAGATATAACTTGAACATGATTCCACTATTATTTGTGAACTAAATAACAACAATTCATTTTCAGTTAGAACATGGAAGCCCACAACAATAAAAATGAACCATTTATGAACCTCACATCACAAAGATCCATATCTCCAGAGGTTCTGAAGGATACATTTGGATAAGCGGTGGATTATTCCAAATGAACTTTCTTATAAGGCTTCATCTGACATTTGTAATTATTAGTAGTCACAATTATGAAAAAATTGGCTTACAGGCTTTAAAAAATTTTTTTAAATTAGGAAGGGATCATCTCACTGAGTTACCCAGAACAAAGTGAAAATTTGTTTGATTGTATTGTGTATGGATACCAAACAAAATTGCCTGATTGTATTGTATATAGAACTGGAAAACATGCCAGGAATGGAGGCATTTATGAACAAGCTACTTGTGTGCCTCTCTCTCATTCCTGGTGTGTGCTTATGGCAACTCAGCTTATTTTTGGATCTGCTCACGATTTCTGCTTCTTTACAACATTTGCTCTCTGTGACCCCACATAGTCCCCATTGTATCCCAACCCTCTCAAAATAGTTTTCCAGCTTTATCTTCGAATACAAATTGCCTCATTATCTTGATATTTGCTAGATCAAATTTAAACATCAAGGAGAGTATGATTAGACTATTTGAGCTTTTTTTGTATTATGTCATATCGTAGGACTCTGCCTATCTTATGCATCAGCCACCTTCAAATTATGTAGCTTCTAATCAACGGTGGTCAGAAAGGAGAGGGCTAGTGGGGAAAACAAAAGCCTAATGATAGTTATGTCTTAACCTGGGTTTGTAACTATTCATTCTGTTATTTGTTCAACAACATTTATTAGGTGCCTACTATGTTTCAGACATTGTTCCAGGCTCTGAGTTACACCTGCGGTCAAAATGGACAAAATCTTGATCCAGTTGAGGTGAAATTGAAGAAGGGAGAAATGCACAGCAAAGAAATGGATACATAAATATTCAGTGTCTCAGGAGGTAATAGGTCTTCTGGGAGAAATACAAAGCAGGATATAACGGAAATGTGATAGGGCTGCTATTAATACTATTGCTAAATTAATTAGAGAAGACTTCTCTGATAAGGTGATATTTGAAAAGATGCATTAAGGTTGAGATGGAGGAAGCCATATAACTATCTGGGAGAATGGTGTTCTAGGTGTCCTGTGATGTCAGCACGCTTTGGAAAGTTTGGGGAACAGCCAAGGATGACAATGTTACTGTAGCAGAGAGCAGCAGGAGAATGATAAAAAATGAGGTCTATAAGGGAGTGAAATTTTAGGCCACAGAAAGGACTTTGAATCTTACTTTTTTAGTTG
The DNA here is from genome assembly GCF_000001405.40 of Homo sapiens. NCBI lineage: Eukaryota > Metazoa > Chordata > Mammalia > Primates > Hominidae > Homo > Homo sapiens. Next base: position 43,974,712 of record NC_000004.12, on the reverse strand, counting down.
AAAATTCGTTTGAGCATTTGAGCAAAGTAGTGATATCAACTGATTTATGTTTTTAAGGAAACATTATGAGGGCTGGCTGTGGAATATTTAGTAAAATGACAAGAATGAGAAGAGGGAATTTCTCTTTAAAGTAGCTGTGGATAATGCAGGCAAAATGATTGATGTCTATTTCAATTACACAGATAGTTTGAATGATTGACTCCAGCATACAAAGTAAAACAATCTACTGTATTTAGTATTTATAGTGTAAACAAAATACTCTCCGATTTTTTAGTAATTCATATTTTAGGAGGATATTAATAATAACCATAAATATTTATATTCATGGAGAGTGTTTCTTATATTCTTATGAAGCTCAAAATTTACTATCATCAGTTAGTTCCTTTTACTAATGCATTATGAAGAGTTCTGTGTGCACTCCCAGTATGACCTATTCATTTCATACTCATTAAGAAATTAATGTTTTTCAAGCAAATGTTACAAATGAATGTTTAATTTAGTGGCAATTAAGAATGTATATTTACAGAACATTTCTTATTAATTAACACATGGCTAAACATAGAAAAGTTTGACCTTCCACTGTAACTACTCACCTGACTCTGCATTATTTTCAAAACCACCGGAACTTGATCCGACCTGGTCATGTCTCCCTCTGCAAACACATTCCTTCCTAATGAGGTCCTACTCCCCAGGTGGTATGCAGCAAATTCAGTTCTTTGCATTTTTCTGTACAGTCCAACACTTAAACATCCAGCTGATTCTGAGGAAGGCTTAATATCCAGAAGCAATTCTGATAAGCAGCTGTTATAAAATGCCTTCCCATTCCTATTTGAAATGAGCAAAATGAGGGACTTACCTCAAAATCAGGTCTTTAGTACAAACAGTACATGTTTAGATGTACACATGAGTGCTAGCCCTCAGAATCACAAATTAGAGGAAAAACTCCATATTTATTTTACTAGCTTTTTCCCGCTTTTTTTCCTCCTTGGGCTTTTCTTCTCATTAAAAGGCAAGATTGACATCAAATAGTAGCAAACTATGTTGTAAAATTTTTACCAAACCAGTCAACTAGTTTCTGAATGCGTGTGTTCATCAAAGACTGGGGGAATAAAACAGGTCACAGCCTGCTATTGGAAGCTTAGCGAAATCATCTGTGTTCTTCTTCCTCATCATAATTCCCCAAAGAAAAGATTATAAACATATTCTGCTCATGTTATACTTAATCAAACATTAATTAAATACAATACCTAAGGCTCTGAGTCCCAACTGTAGACCATAATGGTTTTACAGTTCACTTCAACTCTTTAGGATAAATAGCCTGCCATTAAAGGCACTAGCTGTGCTTACAATTTTTTTTTAAATTGTAGTCATTTTGCTAATTATAGAGTCACGGAGAAATAAGAGATAGTTTTGTCTACTACTTTGTCATCACTAAACAATGTTTTCTGGGATTTTGAAATTGGTATTTTGTTTGTTATGCATTAGCCATGGATAAGAGAATTAATAGGACCATAGTTATTTTCTCATGAATGTTATGCATTAATGTTTTGAAAAGGTTATTTGAGGATGGGTACTTAAGATTGTTAGAACTAGTAAGCAATTAATCATTGCAGATTTATGCCATAATGTACTTAAGTAACAACAAGCTTTTTTTTTCTTAAATGTTAATTAAGTATCCTCTCAATTTATACAACTCTACGATGTTTCTATACCACTCATATGGCCCAACTTGTATTTAGGCTTACAACTATTTTTTATGAGAATGAGTAATGATTTACATCTTTTATTTGTCCCACTTATTCAGGACATATGCATTTTTCAAATAAATGAATGAATCACAAAAAGGGGACCCGTTTTGGAATGTTATGTGAGCATTTTATGATATGTGTTTCTGAGTTCTCACAGCCCTAAGCGATAGAGTTATGATCTAAGTTTCACAGGTGAAGTTCTTAAGACATACAGAAGTTAAGCAGTTTGACCCAACTAAGTAAGTGGTAAAGCCAGGATCTAAATCAGGATCCATTCTTGCACCATTAACCTTTAGAGAATATTCTTTCTCATTTAATTTTGCATTTCTATATCATAATGGTATTTTGTATAACATAAATATATAGACTCAAACTTTTTGTTGCTTTTTTAAAAGAAAAATGAATGCAAAGAGATAGAAAAACATTATAGAGCACGAAGATGCTAACTTAACAGACACATAGCTATGGTGTAGTAACCAAATTTTGGACTTAGAATCAAAGACTTGATTGAAATTCTTTTTTTTTTTTTTTTTTTGAGACGGAGTCTTGCTGTCACCCAGGCTGGAGTGCAGCAGCGCGATCTCGGCTCACTGCAAACTCCGCCTCCTGGGTTCACACCATCCTCCTGCCTCAGCCTCCCGAGTAGCTGGAACTACAGGCGCCCACCACCACGCCCGGCTAATTTTTTTGTATTTTTAGTAGAGACGGGGTTTCACCGTGTTGGCCAGGATGATCTCCATCTCCTGACCTCGTGATCCGCCTGCTTCAGCCTCCCAAAGTGCTGGGATTACAGGCGTGAGCCGCCGCGCCTGGCCTTAAATTCTTAAAATGATTTCTTTCATTAGACACCTTAAAATTGCTGAAAGTGCTCTTTTCCTTTGCTGTAAAGACAGTAATAACAGCTACTTTGTAAGGTTTTTGTAAATTCAATGTTCAATATGTAACACTTGATTTTATTTTTTATTTTAATTTTTTATTTCAGTAGTTTTAGGGATACAAGTGGTTTTGGTTACATGGATGAATTATATAGCAGTAAAGTCTGAAATTTTAGTACAACTGCCACCCGAGCAGTGTACATTGTACCCAATAAATAGCTTTTGATCCCTCCAACTGCTCCCATGCTCCCCTCTTCTGAGTCTCAGTGTCTAATATACCGCTCTGTGTGTCTTTGCATATTACATAGTACTTTAAACTAAAGCTTTTTATAAATATGAGGGTTCATTATTTCCTTTATGAATGTAGTCTTTGTCTTATGTCATCTTATGTCTTATGTAAGATTATTATTAGACAATTAATTTGACACATCTTTGCTCCCTCTTGTTAAACATTAAGTAATAATACACAAGTTGGGTTAGGTATGTGATCTGGGTAATTTTGCCAGAACAGCTAGATGCTTTTTCATCATCTCCCCTCCTTTCTCCCCTGATAGTAATGGTATGCAGTTGGAAAAACACCTGTAACAGATTTTAGTGATAATCTAGTTAAAACCTTTTTTAAAAAAATACATGAAGAAAGAGATGTTGAGGAAAAAAGTCACTTGTAGTCAACTTGATTAGTGTCTCAGGTTTCTCTCTAAATGACCTCTTCCTCCTTGGAACATTGTTGGGCTATGAATGAGGAAGACATCAACTGGCCTTTACAAGATAATAATAATCAGTTACTTGACAAGTTTTCTACAGAGGAAAGCCATTTTCATTTATGAGTTAAAAGCTGCCTTGGGATTATTGCAAATATTAGAGCATCTTTTCTAGGCATCACCTTGCTAAAATATCATTTGTCAACTAGCATGGCAGAGGCATTTGTTTCTTTTAAAACATTACTCTACAGATGTATTCTGCAAATATAATCATTTGTTCTAAATACTTAATTAGATGAAAGGAAAGTGACAGTATATAGGATATGCATTCAACGTGAACTTTCACTTTTAAATCAGATCTTGGTTTTTGGCCCATTTTCACCACTAAAACTGTGAGAACTTAAGAATTATAATTAACCCTTTTAAGTGTATCCAACTTATTACATTTGTACATAATTTACTAAGGGTTCATTTTGTAGTAAGCATGTTTTAAGCATTCTTTATTTAAAAATATATTTAAGTTTACAAATGCCCAGAATGATAAACATTATTACCTCTACTTTACAAAAAAAAATGCTGAAGAGAATATAATTTAAGTAGCTTGCTCAAAATCATACAGCAAATACGTGGAAGAACTAGGATTCTAATCCAGGTATCTGCCTCTAGGGTAAGTTTTTAATCATTACCTTATACTGTATCTTTCCTACACTGTACAGCTTCACCATTTAAGGACCGACTAGAGATAATGCATGCAAAGAACTTAACACAGTACATACCTCCTTTTGAGGCCTTTATATAGTATGCCAATCTTAGTAAGTCTTATGCATCACTGAAAGCCAAGTGGAAAATGTATAGGATTAAATGCATTCTATGCCTTAGCTTTTATTATGACAATATCAATACTCTATATTTTAAAGATCAAATAAACAAAACACAATCTTTTGTTCCCATCAGCTCCTTTATTCACTCTGCTACTGTTTTCGTCACTGTTTCACTGTTCATTAACACCTCCAGGAGAGGGTGAGCTGAGTCAGGACACCTTTGTGGAATTCAATCATTTAAGTTATCAGGACTTATGAAATACATGGATTTAAAAGAAGGAGAACATAGATATGAAAGATATTGTTTAGAGTCGGCCTCAGGAGTTTAAAGATACCAATTATTTATGCTATCTATTCCTGTCATGCCATCTATAATAGAGTCCCTAAGTGTCTCCATTCCACTTCATTATTGTTAGCCAACTTTGAGTATAAACTCCCAAAAATATCATATTATTTTTGTGGTTTCATTAATAGAAAATTCAGTTTCAGAAGGTGCAAAAGTCATGAAACCCATCTAAGCATTTTAGAAACTCAGAGAACATTTATCTTTTGGTCTGTTCTGTAGGCTTCCATCTTTTCAGTGGTAGTTCTTTATCCACATTGGCCACAATTCCTACAGAATGGTAACTCCCCCCTGGTTTGTGCTGCATCCAGAAAGTTCCACGATGCTCAAAATATAGGCTGGAAATATATATCTTCATTTTGTTGCTGGTTTCAGCCTGCTGTATTCTAAGTGGATAATGGTACTGTTTTAGGGTTTCCATTTTCTGTTTATTGAAGATCAATCTGTTTGGAATGGGAGAAAAGCTGAGTTAAATTAATCTACTTTACTTCTCCACTTTAAATGTCTGTCAAAGATAGTTCATGTTACCAATAGCAAAACCATTCTAAGCTTTATATGTGCATTTGCAAATAAATGAATAAAGTTTTATCCTGTTCTCAGCAGAAGTTCCCTATGTTTTCTATTGAAAACAAATTAGTTGAAATTAGATTTTCAATTATTGTTAGAAGAGAATTATACAGGAAGCCACAAAACATTAAAAAATATTCCATGATGTTTGTGTGAAAGTTATCTCTTTTTTTTTGTTTATTTCTAAGGAAATCTTCCAATAATATTGCTCTGAAAATTATGTTATGGTAAAAACACCAAACTACTGAATTCTGCAGTGATTCAGCAGAAGAGAGGAATCACGATGCCTCTCCCTTCTTGTCCTCTATAGGTTTCTAATTTGTAGTGTATTGGTAACACTCACAAGGGATGCAGAAAATAGATGTCAATTTTACTTCTGTGTGTAAGCACCCAGCAACTCCCAGTGCAAGGAAACCTTAAAGCCCAATTAAAAACTTCGGCTTGGACTTAATACAAAAGAATATTCTATTTTCCACTCTACATTTAAATCTCGAGGCTGGTAACCTCAGATGTGCCTCTTGAAGTAAGCCTGAGTCTAGACATTGTCTTCTGTTACCCAAATAGTTACATGGATAAAGATTACAGGCCTTTATAAGTGAAAGAGAATGACTATGTGAGTCTTTCTGTTAGGAAAAGTGAAGAAATGCTCAGATATTCCGCCCATGGGGGACAGAAGTCCAAGAGATTTAGTTGTGGAGGAGCCAGAAGAAGAAATAATTGACTAGATGATAAACTTGCAAAAGATTGCTTGGAGAATGTACACTACTTATTTCAGGATTACCATAACCCTATAGCAAACCCTGTTGCATTGGCTTAAATGTAGACAAATGGATCAATGAAAGAAAGCAGAGAATGCAGCAATAAACCCCTAATTACATAATCAATTAACTTTTGGCAAAAGTTGTTAAAGTGATTTAATGAGAATAAGAAAGTCCTTTGAACAGATGGCACAGAAAAATTGGATATCTATAAAACATAAAACTTGACCAGACTTCATATCAAACACAAAAATTAAATTGAGATGGGTCATATACCTAAATATAAAAGTTAAAAGAAATAATCTTCTAGGAGAAAAGAAGAGACTATCTTAATAAACTTGGAGTGGGTAAAGTTTTTTTGACAGAATATGGGCTAGAGCAGCCGTCCTCAACCTTTCTGGCACTAGTGGCCAGTTTTGTGAAATGTACTTTTTCCATGAGAGTGATAGTGGGGGAGGGATGGTTAAGGGATGAAACTGTTCCACTTCAGATCTTCAGGCATTAGTTAGATTCTCATAAGGAGCGCGCAACCTACATCCCTCACATGTGCAGTTCACAAGAGTGTGCACTCTCGTATGAGCATCTAATGCCACCGCTGATCTGTCAGGAGGCAGAGCTCAGGTGGTAATGCTTGCTCGCCCATGGCTCACCGCCTGCTGTGCGGCCCAGTTCCTAACAGGCCACGAACAAGTTCCAGTCTGCGGCCCTGGGGGTTGGGGGCCCTTGGGCTAGAGTATATATATGTGATTAAAGATTTTATTCTGAATATGTAAATAACCCACAATTCAATGCTAAAAAGACAACAACTGAGTAAATATGCAACAGATATAAGTGGGCACAAATGAAAGGAATATGAATGTCTCAAAGCACATGAAAAAAATGCTCAACATTAGTCATCACTGAAATGCAAATTAAAACCACAATAAGATAATCCTTCTCACCTAAAAGAATGGCTAAAATTCGAAGATCTGGCAATATCAGGTGTTTGTGTATGTGAAACAACTGAAACTTTCATACATAGCTGGTGAGTGACAATACAACCACTTAGGAAATAATTCTGATAGTTTCTCATATAGTTAAATGTATGTTTGCCCTATGACCTGACAACTCCACATCTATATATTTACAAAGGAAAAATTAAAACATGTACAAGAAAAGACTTATACAACGTGTTTATAACATCTTTATTCATATTAAGCCCATACTAGAAACAATTTAAATGTCTGTCAAAGAAAGAATGGATAAACACATTGTGTTAAATCCATACCATGTAATTAGACCCAGCATCTTAGTTCAGGCTGCTATAACAAAAGGCCATAGACTAGCTGACTTACAACAACAGAGATCGTATTTATCCCAGTTCTCTAGTCTGGAAAGATGAAGATCAGGATGGCAGCATGGTTGAGTTTTCAGAAAAGGTCCTCTTCCTGGCTCGAAGATGTCTGCCTTCTTGCTGTATTTTTTCACATGGAAGAAAGAGGAAGTTCTGAGGTTTCTTTCTCTTATAAGGGTACTAATCCCATCATGGGGGTTTCACTCTCAATGATTTTATTTAAACCTAATTCCTTTGCAAAGGTCCTGCTTCCTAATCCCATGACCCTGGGGTGTAAGTCCACCACACATGCCCTTTGGAGGGAAATGCATATTTAGTCTATAACACTCAGCAATAAAATCAAATATACTACTAAAACATAAAACAGCATGGATGAATCTCAAAAAATTATGCTCAATGAAAGAAAACATATAAAAGAGTATCTACTTTATGATTCAATTCATATGAAGTTCTAAGAGAGGTAAACCTAATAAATAGTGAAAGAAATTAGAAAAGTGGTTGTCTACTTGTTTGGGGTGGGAGCTGGGGAAGACAAGGAGCACAAAGGAACATATAAGGGTGATAGAAATGTTTCTAAGAATGTGGGTTACAAGGCTGGGCGCAATGGTTCATGCCCGTAATCCCAGCAGTTTGAGAGGCCAAGGCAGGTGGATCCCTTGAGGTCAGGAGTTTGAGACCACCCTGGTCAACATGGTAAAACCCCCGTCTCTACAAAAAATACAAAAAAATTAGCAGGGCATGGTGGCGGGCGCCTGTAGTCCTGGCTACTCCGGAGACTGAGGCAGGAGAATCACTTGCACCGGGGAGGCAGAGGTTGCAGTGAGCCCCTAGACCACGCCATTACACTCCAGCCTATGCAACAGAGACTGTCTTAAAAAAAATGGAATGTGGGTTATACATTTATTTATTAAAATGTCATGTAAGCCAGGCGTGGTGGCTCATGCCTGTAATCCCAGCACTTTGGGTGGCCGAGGTGGGCGGATCATGAGGTCAGGATATCGAGGCCATCTTGTCCAACATGGTGAAACCCTGTCTCTACCAAAAATACAAAAATTAGTTGGGGGTGGTGGTGTATGCCTGTAATCTCAGCTACTCTGGAGGCTGAGACAGGAGAATTGCTTGAACCAGGGAGTCGGAGGTTGCAGTGAGCCGAGATCATGCCAGTGCACTCCAGCCTGGTGACAGGGCAAGATTCTGTCTAAAAAAAAAAGGAAAAAAAAAAAGTCATGTAAATTATACTTTAACAAAATTAAAAGTAATATTTTCTATTCAGTGCAAAAATTCTATGGACAATAAAAATATGTAAAAAATAAAAGCATGAACTTTTTTCTTATCCAATTCATCATCAAATTCTGTCCGTTTTTTCTTTAACATACATCAAGATCTAGAGCCTTTCCACCACTTGTACTATTATAACTTTTATCAGTCTTTCTTAGACTACCTCATCAGCTTCTTGTTGTGTCTAATGCAATGCTTACTTCCTTACAGTTATTTTGTCCTTCAAACAATGTCAGAGATAAACAGAGCCAAACACTAAGGTGGTAAGGATAGATTTATGCAGTAATTACTATTGCAACAAGGAAGAGAGTACAGCATAAGCTGAACTCAACTTGGATTTGTGCAAAAATGACTAGACATTTTAAAGGAAGAATGAGGGAATAGGGAACAGCAACAGCAATGTCTCTGCTGGGGCCTGAGCAGCATCAGGAAAATGGTATTTTTATTTTTAATTAAATTAAATTAATTAATTAATTAATTAATTAATTTATTTATTTTTGGGACAGAGTCCTGCTCTGTCGCCCAGGCTGGAGTGCAGTGGTATGATCTCGGCTTACTGCAACCTCTGCCTCCCGGGTTGAAGTGATTCTCCTGCTTCAGCCTCCCAAATAGCTGGGACTACAGGCGCCTGACACCACGCCCGGCTACTTTTTGTGTATTTTTAGTAGAGATGGGTTTCACCGCGTTAGCCAGGATGGTCTCCATCTCCTGACCTGTGATCCACCCGCCTCAGTCTCCCAAATTGCTGGGATTACAAGCCTGAGCCACCACGCCTGGCCGAAAATGGGAATTTTAAAAAAGCAAAAAGCAGGGGTTCACCAATGTGATTAGGCCATGTGCATTTGCGAACTGGCTCTTTATTGTAGAGTTAGGCTGCTGCTCTTCCACAGAAGCTGAGACAAGGACCCTGTCTTCAGGTGTTAGCTGGAACAAACTTTATATTCTTTTAGCAAACTTAGTTTTCCCACAGGGTGCTTAAGGGAGCTCACTTTGTCCTCCTAAGGACATATCTTGAACTACCAGAAATTGTGCTTGTGTTTGTTCATGTCTCTTAGTGTGTGTGTATGTGTGTGTGGGTTAGGGGAGGCAAGGTGTGGACAAAATCATTTGTGCTGAGAGTCTGTAGTTTAATAGGCCAAGGTTGAGGCTTACTCAAGAAGGGGACTCAGAGGAGCCTGACTAGAGTTTAGACAAGGAGACAATCTTTGTCAGCAGCCAGAAAAATATTTTTTAAAAAGATTTTCTGTTGTACCCTACAGAAAACTCTCTAATGGCTCCCCATAAGACGCAGAAGAAGAATCAAACTCTTACTGTGGTGTCCAAGGGTTTAAATAATCTTCCACAGTCTGTCCATCCAAAGTCATCTCCAACACGCTCCCCTTGCTTACTCTGCTCCAACTGGCTAACATTATTTTTTTATTCATTGACTATGCCAAATATTTTATCATCTTAGGGCTTTTGTACTTGTTGCTCCATCTTCCTGAAACCTTTTACTTCATACCTTTACATGGCCTGCTCATTCACATCCTTTAGGAATACTCAAACGTCATCTCAGAAAACCCTTTCTCATCCACCTATCTAGGATTGCACTCCACCATAAATCACTTCCTGATTTGGTTTTATACATGGCACTTTGATTTGACATATGGAACTTTTCATTCCCTTGCAGTGTTTTCTACGTTATTAATGTGTTTATTATTTAAGCCATTGTTTTTAACAATGATGTACACAGCAGAGGACATTAGTGACTTTCTTTTTCACAGCCATCTTCCCTGTGTCTAGAAGAGTGCCTAGAACTTACTAGGTATTCAGTAGCTGCATGGTGGATAAAAGAAAGCATGGAGTGGTTTTCCACATGTACCCTTATATTTTTATTTGAAAATATTTGTGTTATGATGTGAAAGTTTGATTTCACTTCTAATTTCAGGACATCAACTGACCAGCCACCCAGAAAAAGGGCCTGTTCCTTGTAAAGTTGACCTAAGCTTATTCCCAAAGTAAATTTGCCATTTTAGGGCATTATAAATTAGATATAGTTAATCTGATAAAATCTAATAAAGAATCAAAATATTTTTTGACAAACAACACATTCATTAAAAAATAAGCAGCGACCCCAAACATACAAGCCTGGCAGGCAATAGAGAACATTTAACATGCTCTCCTTCAACAGTGTACTTACCTGAATTTAAAACTCCTTTCCTTTGAGTCAAATTTATACAACTCACTGGTCAGGATTTTTTTTCCTTATCTGATATTTCTTTGGTTAGTAAATTAACAGAGCTCGTCTGCCTACAAAATATCCACCTTAGAGCTTTCATCAGCTTGAAATAAAGTAAGCAATTACTTGAGCGAAAAAAGAATTGCCAGTTGATGGTGATGATAATGTGTTATGTACCTTACATTTCTATAGGATTAATGATTAGACATTTGTCCCAGGGACACGGATTTCTCCTGAATGATCATTAATCTACAGGAAACCACCTGCACTTTGATCGTTATCCTTGAATTAAAACTTAGGGGAAAAAACAGAGGACAAGGTAACTGATCGTGATTCTCTCAAATTCAGGTAACAGATTATGTTCTGATAAAGAATTCCAGTCTCATAGAATCTCATAATAAGTGACCGAGGAAAATAAATGAATGTGTCTATGTCCCTGGGCCAAAAGACTGAGAAATCTTGGTCCACTTAAATATCTAAGCAATAACATGATATGTATGCAAGTATTTTAAAAATTTTATATAAAAATTACTGAAAATACCTTTTTACCTCTACTTTACTAATTTTAGACTTTAATAATGGGGTATCCCTAATAAAAATATGTTTGAATATTGAGTATAAGAGTAGAGTTGTGGAGGGAAATAAAATCCAACTCCTATATTGAATGTAAGAGTAGCGTTGAGGAGGGAAATAAAATGAGAGAAAGATTGGAGATTGAAGGTGAACAAATGGTCATCGTTTTGTCAGCTCTTGGGGCTAAACAGTAATAGTAAACAGGAACTCAAGGCCATTTATCTATATAATAAATTGTGAAAAGCCACACACTAAAATAACACATGTGAAGCTCATGTGCAGGCCGTGGATGAGCAGTGAGGCAAAGAGATTTCATTTAATTCAAAGTAATGTTACTATACTTTCTTAAGGCAAAGCAAAGCAGTGGTCCTTTCTATCATGCTGGAGAGGCAAATTGTCTTTAGGAAACCTAAACTAGTAGATTAAAAATAAAGTATGGAATTAAATGTGTGCTGCTGTGGTGTGTATGTTCCTGTGTAAATAAAAAGAACTCTAGAATTGCTTTAAAGAAGTTATTAACCTTGGCTACCTTATGATAAGTGCAAATGAATAACTTTTTGAAAGAATTTGTCAGAGCTGGAAAAAGACATAATAAACAAAAGACAGAAAGGCATCATTTTACTGAGTAGTGACAGAGGAAGTGGAAGAGAAGGATGAAGTAGAAGAGATGCAAGTATAATACATAATTAGGTAGGATAAAGTTGTGTAGGGGAGAGAGTTTTCTGGACTCTTAGGATAAATAATAAACACTGATTCTGAAAGCAACTGGAAATTAGATTATTTTAACCATGACATCACTACTTGGCCTTTCAACAAACTTAAAAAGTCTCAGTAAAATTTAATGAATGTCCCATTATCTCACTAGCTATTGCATCCCTATTTTCTTTCTCAGTTCCTCTTCTGAACCTCTTAAAATGCTTCATGGCAGGGTCCTTGAAACCCTTTTCTATTTAACTCAATCCTGGATGGTGCCCTAAAATTCAAATGGCATATAACCAACTCTCGACTGTATCTTTATCTAAATATTCAACAGGTATTTTAATTATAATACATAAAAACAAACTCATAGTATCTCTACCTAAATGTCCTTCTCTTTCAACATTTCCTTTATTCATTATAGACAATTCTGTTATTGCATTTGCTCAGGCAGAAACACATAGCATTATCCTTTAGCTTCTTCACACTTATCATGCCTTATATTCAAGCCATTAGAAAATCAGGTTGGTTTTCCCTCCAGAACATTTTTATTATTTGACCACTCCTCACCACCACCACTGTTGCCACTAGTCCATACCATCTTCATCATGCACCTGCATTATCATAATATGATTCTAACTGGTCTTTTTGCTTCTACCCTTGTAATTCTATAGTCCGTCTCAACAGCCAGAAAGATGCTGTTAACATTTAAATCAAATAAGTTCACTCCTTTGCTGAAAATGTTCCAAAGTCTTCCCATCTCACTCAGTCTATGAGTATGACCCAGATTAAATACTTCACTGGAATCTAATCATCATTATATCCTTAATCTCATCATCTACGGTTCTTCTCTTCTACCCCTGTGCTCCAACCCTACTATTCTTTGACCACACCAGGTACATTTACACCTCAGGGTCCTCGCACTGTTTCTACTTTTGAAAAGTTCTTTCTTCATATCTTTAAATTGTTCACCCCTTCACCTTCTTCAAGGGTTTCATTGAGGTCATCAGGCTGTCCCTGACAGCCTATTTAATTTGTGAGTCTCTACTCCCATCTCTAACCCCAAAATCCTTATCTCCTTTTTTTAGATCTTTTTTCCAGAATAGTTATCACCTCTACATACTATATGTTAAAATCTATTTGGCTTTAAGTTATCCTGCTTGGTTGTGTTATTTACTTGTTCACTGCTCTTTTTTTAGCAGTTAGAACTTGATGGGCACATAGTGGGAGCTCAATGAGTATTTTGGGGATGAATCAATGAGGGATGAAATATCAACTACTACCAGGCAATAAGCAAATTTAGTGCCTGATTTTTTTTTCCTCGAGAATGATATAGCCAAATTACTCAGAGCCTCCACTCTTTTACCATTAGGAAGGGTTTGATTATTTACAAAATGTATAAAACTAGATGCCAACAATATAGTCAGCTGTTTAAAATTGCTTATAAAGTCTTATTTTTTTCACTCTTTGAAGAAACTTCTTTACTTTCTAGCATATTTGATTTTCAATCAATTTGTCAGAAGGGCAATATGTATTTGAAAAAAAATGATCAACCTGAATACATACTCATGGAAAATTCAAGTAAAATAAGAAATAGCATGTCATTTTTGCCCTGATGTTTGACAAAAACTCCAGGCAGACATAAAAGATGTATATTGGTAAAACCATTCTGGAAAACAAATCAATCAACACTACTTTGTGATGTTGAAATATACACATGACAGTCAAACAGTTTCAATTCTTGGTACATGTGCCAGAAAGAAACTCTTGGCAACAGGCATCAGCTCATATTTACAAGTCATTGACTTGTTTATAATTGTACATAGAAAAAATAGGTGGGCACTGTTTGTAGTCATTTGCATCCTTATTTATATTTTCCTCTTTACCCTTGACACATTTCCCCAATGGTAGAGTATATTTTCAGACACTATTCATTTCAGGTTTTGCTGTGTAACCTGACTTGACCAGTAGAATGTGGGAAGAAATGACATGTTCTGCTAGATCTTTTTAATTTAAATCATCCGGAGTGAATTGTCATCATTTTCTGAGACTTAGGCTTATTCATACACAGTATTCTTAAAACTCCATGGTTTATTCACCTACAGTAGCATGCAAATTAAACATAAAATCTAAGGCTGCCCCCCACCTACTCACTGACCAAATGGACAACCTCTTGGCCAAGGCAACCCCAGAACAAACCTTTAAACTGAGTTTTTGGCCATAACAGGACAGGAGGTCAAACAGGCCTCGCTATACCCTCTCCCTTTTGTGGTTTAGACACAACAAGTGAGGAGCTTTAATGTTAAAATAGAAATTATAAGACTGACAAAGCAGACTCTTTGTAACAATAAGACACCAAATTATAAATAGGACCTAAGGCCATGCCCGGCAAGAGTTAAGTCACCTACCCCTACACTTAAAGAATAAACTATGTTGTAACTGCCACAAGATTTTTTCTTTTTTTCTAACCGCAAAACAAGCACTGGCCTCAAGATAAGCAATATTGAAACAAATGCAGCACATCCACTGGCAGACACTAACAAAACCCCTGTTCTACCAGCCATAACTACAGCTCTGACTGGATAAGAGATTGATATTAATAACTTTCCCCTGGAAAGGAGACCATCAACCATGGGCTAGTTCTGGCTGGTTTACACAGGCTATGCACTTGCATGTCTTTGTGTCCTAAAAATACCTTTTAAAATATAGGGCCTAATACATCTAAGAGCTGAGTCTCTAACCTAAAATGAACAGGGGTCATATGTTACATGCAGGTTTGTTCAATAAGCATGTGTCAGGACCACCTTTATGAATATACATAGCTCCTCCTGTACCCTATTGAATATGCATGTTTGGCCAACCTGTTCAGCATATAGCTTCTACCCTAACACCTTCTCCTTCCAAGGGCTGTGTCTCTGGTCTTGGCTAAAGGTATGTTTTCCAACCTGTGGAATGGCCACTATGCAGGCTGTAGCCCTTTATAAGAAATAAAGCCTCCTTTCCTCTTTCTAAACTTATAGCTTATGATTTTTTTTAAGTTAACTAATAATTGCACCAATAATGCTCAACTGAAATATAAATAAACATTTTTGAACTGGACTAGACAATTTATTAGGTAAGCCTTCCGAGAGATAAGCATACAGAAAAGATAAAGGCAAGCAAATACAAGATTTATTACCATGTATTGTTAAGGCCCCAAATCCAAGGAAGCTAAGACAGGTTACACAAAATCCCATCTCTCCCAGAATCCCAGGATCTCCAGTTGGCAAAACGGAGACCCAGGAGAGCCAATGGTAGAGCTCCAGTCTGAGTCTGAACACCTGAAAACTAGGAGAGTTGATAGTGTAAGTTTTAGTCTGAGTCCTAGTGTGAAGGCAGAGGACTGATGTTCCAGCTCTGTAGTCAGGCAGAGAGGGCAAATTCTCTTTTACTTTGCTTTTTGGTTCTATTCAGGCCTTCAGTTGGTGGAATGAGGCCCACCCACATTAGGAAGGGCAATTCTTTACTCAGTCTACTGATTCCAATGTGTTCTCACCCAGGAATACCCTCTGATATGGTTTGACTGTGTCCCTACCCAAAATTTCATCTTGAATGGTTATCCCCACATGTCAAGGGCAGGATTAGGTGGAGGTAATCAGATCATGGGGGCGGTTTCCCACATGCTGTTCTCGTGATAGTGAGTGAGTCCCACGAGATCTGATGGTTTTATAAGCATCTGGCATTTCTCCTGCTGGCACTCATTCTCTCTCCTGCCACCCTGTGAAGAGGTGCCTTCTGCTATGATTGTAAGGTTCCCAAGACCTCCCCAGCCATGCAGAACTGTGAGTCAATTAAACCTCTTTTCTTTATAAAGTATCCAGTCTTGAGTATTTCTTCATAGCAGCGTAAGAATGAACTCATACACCCTCACAGGCATATCCAGGAAAATACTGAACCAATCACGGCTCACTGCAACCTCCACCTCCCGGGTTCAAGTGGTTCTCCTGCCTCAGCCTCCTGAGTAGCTGGGACTACAGGCATGTGCCACCACACCCGGCTAATTTTTGTATTTTTAGTAGATATGGGGTTTCACCATGTTGGCCAAGCTCGTCTCAAACTTCTGACCTCAAGTGATCCACCCGCCTCGGCCTCTCAAAGTGCTGGGATTACAGGCGTGTGCCACTGCACCTGGCTCACATTTTTATCTTAAAAACTATTTGGGGAAAAATGTGTTTTATTTAATTCAGCCTAATGTTTTAATAGCATGAAAAAATTCAGTGTAGTTATACTATATAAGAAATATAGTTCTGGCTGGGCGCAGTGGCTCACGCCTGTAATCCTAGCACTTTGGGAGGCTGAGGCAGGTGGATCACCAGGTCAGGAGATCGAGACCATCCTGGCTAACACGGTGAAACCCCGTCTCTACTAAAAATACAAAAAATTAGCTGGGCGTGGTGGCAGGCACCTGTAGTCCCAGCTACTCAGGAGGCTGAGGCAGGAGAATGGTGTGAACCCGGGAGGCAGAGCTTGCAGTGAGCCGAGATCGCGCCACTGCACTCCAGCCTGGGCAACAGAGCGAGACTCCGTCTCAAAAAAAAAAAAAAAAAAAAAAAGAAGAAAGAAATTTAACTTGGAAAAATACATATGCCTGGATTCATTGTCTAATGAGAATCCACAGTATGGTGACTATATCTACTTCAGTATCAGTTCTCTACCATATTAATAGAGCCCAATAAATTTGGTGATACAATGTTCAGCTTATGTGACAGTGTTTAAGGAAGTTCTTAGAGCAGAAACACTTGCTTCTCTATCTTAAAATTTTATAGTGCTTTATATCTCCAAAATGGATTTCAAAAATCACTTGCACTTTGAATTTAAAATAATTTTGCATGAATTCATTCATGAGTCAGCTAAAGTTACCATATCAAACATTTAATTTGTAAAGTAACTATTTCAAAGACGATAGAATACTCAGAAGTGCACTGCTGTGAAAAGCTACACCATTTATGATGGTATAGAATTCAGGTTTATATAGATAAAATGGTTTTGGCATAAAATAAGGCTACAAAGTCAACATAAAAAGTAAGTATATATAAAAAATGCAATTCAGCTTGTATGTTTGTTGTAGTGCCACTGAAAATCTGACGATGCTTAGAAGCTCAAGATTTAGAAAAAACAGTTTCCATGTTCATAACCACTATTTCTGATATCTCATCATAGACAGACATAGAAGAAGAATTTTGTATTGAAATATTTACTTAGAGAATAGAAAAATAGAATGTATTTCAAATGAAATATAGAAATATGTCACTTGTTCACAATTATGTAAATGAGGCAGAAACATCAGTTGTATGCAATTATGATAATCATAAATGAAGATAAAATCATTTTCAAGTGACTTTGTTTTCAAATACTTACTTTAAACATATAACCTTTAATACTAGTAGGCCTCCAGGTGTGACATAAGCAGATGACAAAATTCATTATTAAGAGATAATATGATTTTCTAAAATTAAATCATAATATCATTTGCAAAGTACATCGTGTTGGTTTATGTTACAAAATAAATACATAAAATTGTTTCAGTATGACATTTCTTGATTAGCCAAGCATAGAATCTACAGTTATTTCAATTGAGTTTCCTGAAAACTGGAAATTTTATTTCAATGGTACAGGAAACAATAGTCTTTTTTTCTAGAGAGGTTAGTTCTCCAAAGACAGGTATTGAGATTGCCTTTAATTATTGAACTGAAACAGTTCAGAAACACAAGCTTATTTTCCCCTCCCTGTACTGTATATATACTTCTTATTTCTCTTTTAAAGAGATGCAAGTACCTTAGATACCCTGTTGATCATAAAATAGATATTATCATAATTGTATAATGAATCAATGTCTGGTCTAGTACATACCACAAATAAACATAAACCAGCTAATTCATGAAAGAAATCTATAAACTTTCAGCCATTTCCCTAAACAGTGTTTAAAGCACCTATTTATAATTCTTTCATGCCTTGGGTAATACTGTTTTCTGTCTTAAATGGCTTTTGCTCCTATTCTGCCTCAATTTATATGACATTCACTCTGAATCATCCACAACTTTTGGGGCAGATTTCCTGATTCCTTTTATGTTGCTCCTATAGACTTTTGATCATATCATTGCAGTTGGAGCATCCATCATGTTATATTGCTTTATTTTATTTTAAAATCTCTTTCTCTCAGATTTGGATATCTTAAAGGAAGGAATCTTGTTGAATTCCTCTTTGTAGCCATGATGCTTAGGATAGTAATGTAAAAATAGGGTTATCCAATATATAATAATTAAGGGATTGTTTTCTATATCTAATTTGTTAGATTTAAGAACAGATAAGGAGAAGGACCTCACTGAAGCTATTTTTAACATAGTGTAGAACAAAGAATACTAGACAGGTTTTGTAGAGCCTGAAATGATTTGCAGTATAATTTTGAAGAAAAAAAAATGCACAATTTTAAATAAGTGATGAATAAAAAAAGAGGTCATTAGTTTATTATCTGAAGCCATTCCTGCTTCCAAATGGCCACAGTAACTACTCATAGAGGGGACTGCAAATCATATCGATATATTTCTGGAGACCAACTAAATGTACTTCCAACTTGATGACCCCTTAGCTGATTGCCAAAAATGTCCCTGACCATTCCAAAGACACTTGACACCTAACATCATGGAAAATGTAATGGAGTGATAGCTAAAGTTGAAAAAAAAACCTAGCATTATAAAATGTTTGCAGTTAAGATACTTTCACAAAATGTATAAATAACATTATTATGTGGACCCACTGCTTGACCACTCCCAGGGCTTTGGATGGGGCCAGTGAAGGTGAAAGGACATAGGGCATCACTTTGATTAGCTTCAGAAAGCAGCTACTGTGCCAGACAAGATTTAGGAGACTTGTATTCAAGTTCCAGTCTCATCACTTACTAGTGTTGAGTTTCTTTTAAAGTTCAGTTTCCATTTCTCTAGAATAAAACACTATCACGTTTATTCTGGTTTTGGGATTATCTATCACATTCTAAATGTCCCAATATTTTACTATATTTTAAAGTTAGTTAATCCTTACTCCACAAATGAAAAAAAATGAAAGCTTATAGAGATTAAGAAAAATGCCATAACTGTAGAGTGGGTAGATAGCGGAGTCAAATTGAAAAATTAATCCTAATGCATTTAGTACAGAATATACTGCCTCCATTGGTCAAACTGGAAATTTAATAAAGTTAAGTTGCAAGGAGAGTCTGAACCAATGCAATCAACTTTTCTAATCCTTGAAGGAACCTTAATTATACAAAGGAGTATAATCATACCTTGTCATTCAAATAATGCTAATTAAGACTTACAAGTGAATGTAATTCTGTATATCCATTTAAAAACTAATGTTTGTAAATAAGGAAATACTACAAAACTTCAGATCATACTATTCCATAATTTACTATTTCAAATGATAATAATATGTCAGCAAAGTAATTTGTTATTAAATGCAGATTTCCATCATAATTCTAAATGGTTTCCATGAATAATCATCTTTTATTCGACTGATTTCCTATTAATTGTCAATCTAATTTTAACTTTTCATTATTATACATATTGATAACATTAGTGATAATGTTTCACAAATGTGTATTTCCAAGTCAGATTTTTTTCTGTGAGACCCAAATCCATATGTCAAACTGCTTTACTTACTTTTTTCTAGTTGGTTATAATAAGGGGATTGGAAACTCAACATGATCATAAACAGTGAGTGCTACTCCTTCTCTGTCCTTGTCTTCCAGCTCTTTCCTCTCCAAGAATGAAGCCACCACTATCCTTTCACAGAAACCAGAGATTTCAAAGTTGTTATTGGAATCTCTCTCTCTGTTAAACTACATATGTACACAAAATATGTGGTATTTGTTTTACTTTTTATATAACTTTCAAAACTATTACCTCATTTCTATCTTCATAGCTTTCATACTAGTTAAATCATCACATTTTGGCTGGTTTCCAGGAAGTCTTATATTTTCATGAAGTCCTGCAACAGGTTAAAACTATATCCCACATATCAATAAAAATATTTTTGAAATACAAATAGGATCATGCCATTTTCTGCTTGAAATCGTTAATAGGTTTCCCCTTGCTATTAGCATGAAGTAAATATCCTTGATAATTTATATGTATTTGCATAGTCTGGCTTCTCTACATCTCACCTGCCTTCAACTCATTCCACCACCCAGTGCACTATCTACACCACTCATCACAGCTTGCTTTCTCACATTCATCATTCTCCCTACTATTTTAAAGTATGTGAGTGCTTTGTTATGTTAAAATTCTCATCATCTTGATGAAGGAATTGATTAATTATTGTTCAGCTGTCAACCAATTACATAAATTGATAATAATGAATTGGAGGGCAAGCAGAAATAATGGGAAGGATAAAGAAATCTAAACACCAGGAGTTTAAATTGATAAATACACTTTTAAAAAGCATAAGCCTGATTAAAATATAAAAGATTAAGGCAAAAATAAACACGCTTAGAAAACAAAAAGCAAGAGATATTGGTGTGATTAAATAATTATAAGATAATTCTACATGCAATTTTTTGGTGAGAGAAAAATGAATGAATGCTTGCCAGAGGAAATGGATAATTTTCTGAAAGAATAAAATTAACCAAATTAACCTTAAATAAATCAAATGTCTAATTGACTATTTATCTTTAAAAACAATCTGTTGAAGTCCTATCAGTAAAAATAACATCAAGACCAAAGATCCACTAATTCTAATATTACTTAAATAACTCTTGGCCATAAGAGATAAAACTGCCAGACAGTATTAACAAAACTTGATTAGAAGTAGCTCAAAAAATAAAATCTATATACTAATTTATAGGATTGTGGTGATGGATAAATAATTTGAAACAATTTTAAACAATAAAACTCACTGAAGGATAGTTAAGAAACCCTTTAAAAATAGGAATGCAAAAACCATAATTTCAATCTTACTAAAAGGAATTCAGCATGATGTTAGAAGAATAATGCTATGAGAAAATAAAGCTTTAAACCAGGAAACAAGGACAGTTTAGTGTCAGGAAGTAGCATATAATAAAAAATTAATATAAACAAATTAAAGAAAATGATATCAGATACTGTTGAAAAGGTAACACAAAATGTAGTCATTCCTATAAAAATTTAATCATAATAAACATTTCTTAAATAAACATGATAATTGATTTTTATCCCAAAGCAATAGCAAATACTGTGCTACCTATTGAAATTCAAAAGCTGTGCAAAATAAAGCCAGAAACTTGGCAGAGATCTCTCATTGTTACTGCTTACCAAGATATTTTACAAAATGCAGTAAGGCATTTTATTACTTAAAATAGTAAATTCCTGTTGTAATCACCAGAAAAATTGCAATAGCAACATTTTTTCTTTTTTTTTTGCTAATAATATGCATAAAAAACTTGAGTGATAGAAACAAGAAACAGTAAAAATTAATGAGACCTTGGTTAGTGGCTAGATTCAATATAAATATTCATAAGCCAATAGTATCTCTCTCTCTATTCAGTGAAAAAGTATCTAAAATGGAAATGTGAAATAATATTCCATTTGAATAGCAACAAAACTATAGCATTCTTGAGAAATATTAACACTTTTGGATAATATTAAATGGCCCAGGAACTCTATGAAAGAGACTATTCTTTCATATATATCTTTCAATATTATCATTCTATTCAGATAATACATACATATGTAAATGTATAGATAATATGGACAATAGGAAGAAATAACAAATTCTGAATGAGAAGACTTTAGCTAGCAAAAATATCAATTCTTTCTAAAGTAACAAGAAATGTGTTGCCATTCCAATTACAATCCTAAAAGGCATATTAATGGAATCTGAATGGAAAAAATTATGTTTACATTTCTATGGAAGAACACCAGAGACTAACCAAGAAATAAATAAAAAAGAGTAGTGAGAAGGGAACTAATCTAACTAAATATCACATCATACTATTATCATGAATCTATGCAATCAAATCATTTACTCTGTGTCTCAAAATAAATAAGTAGTCCAGAGGAATAGAATGAAGAATCTATAAATAAATTCTTGAATTTATGAGAACACAATATATGGTATTCTTGATAGGTCAATTCAGGAAGAAAATAAATAGGACATTTCATAAAATTTTATGGTACCAATGGCTGTGGGAAGGGGAAACCTTAGCTAAATTTGAAATCTCTAAATTTTAAGGTTACAAGTTTACTCTTAATCCTACAAAGGTAAAGTTAGATATATTCAACTATAATAAAAATTGTTAATGTGTACAAGAGTCAATTACAAAACCATTAGACTACCAATAAAGCTAGAAAAATGTAATACAGAAGATAATGTATTAATATCTATAATTGACAAAGCACCAAGTTGATAAATAAAAGTGGGCAAAACATAAAACTAAATAACTCTTTAGAACAATAAATATTTGAAAAATAAATGTATGAGAAAAAATGTTCACCCTACTCAAGAAAATGTGAAAGGAAAAATAGTTGTATAAATCTTTGTATCCATCAGACTAGTAAAAATCGACAAGTGCTATGTCACCTTTTCTTGAAAGTGATGTGTGGGAAAGGGCTCATATGTTGCTAGTGGAAATACAGTATCATAGACTCTTCAGGAAGTAATCTAGAAATGTCTACAAAAAAATGCGTATATCTTCTCTCAACTTGTCAAAGTCATTCTCTGTCCAGCTTTGTTCCATTGCTGGCGAGGAGCTGCATTCCTTTGGAAAGGGAGAAGTGCTCTGATTTTTAGAATTTTCAGCTTTTCTGCTCTGTTTTATCCACATCTTTGTGGTTTTTATGTACCTTTGGTCTTTGATGATGGTGACGTACAGATGGGGTTTTGGTGTGGATCTCCTTTCTGTTAGTTTTCCTTCTACCAGTCAAGACCCTCAGCTGCAGGTCTGTTGGAGTTTGCTGGAGGTCCACTCCAGACCCTGTTTGCCTGGGTATCAGCAGCAGAGGCTGCAGAACAGCAAATATTGCTGAAGAGCAAATGTTGCTGCCTGATCATTCCTCTGGAAGCTTTTTCTCTGAGGGACACCCGGCCATGTGAGGTGTCAGTCTGCCCCTACTGGGGGGTGCCTCCCAGTTAGGCTACTGGGGGTCAGGGACCCACTTGAGGAGGCAGTCTGTCCGTTCTCAGATCTCAAACTACGTGCTGGGAGAACCACTACTCTCTTCAAAGCTGTCAGACAGGGACATTTAAGTCTGCAGAGGTTTGTGCACATGTACCCTAGAACTTAAAGTATAATTAAAAAAAAAAAGAAAAAATGCATATATCTTCAATACCTTCCATCACAATCCTATTCCTGGAAATTTAGTCTACAGCAAATACAGCAAATATATATTTATATATAAAGTATATGTGTGTGTATATATACGTATATATACACACATAGACCCACAGGCACAGCTGTGCTTTCTTTTTTAATGAGCTAATGTGGATGAAGGAGACAAGGGGAAAGAATCCAGGAAAAGAACACTTATGGGGGAAATAAACCAAGTATATGATTATATTTATGCAGTTACATAAAATTACATGTATATATTAAATAATTTTTAAATTATTATATTTTAAAACTTCAAAATTAAATAAATTTTAAAAAATGGTGAATGAGAGGTAAAGAAGCTGAAATATCAGGCTAGAAAATTATTTTGTGAAGGGTTTTGTTGAGGAGAAGCAAATTTGAGCTAGGAAAAGAGCAACAGTAGTGTAAAAAAAGAATTTTTTAAGACAGGCAGGCAAAACTGTAAAAGATTTTGACATGGATGAGGATGATATCAGTAGAGAGGGAGAGAATGATAGCACAGGAAGCACAGCAAAGAACTGAAGGGACAAAGCCCTCCTGAGAGTGAGGTAAATGGAATTTAAATGCAAGTGGAAAGTTCTATTGGTGTTACAAGGACTTTTTTCCCATTTTGAAAACAAGAGGAAAGGTAGTGAGACCAGCCATTTTTGTATATTGTCCTGTAGACACTGTGATGGAACAGGAGCTACTATATGTGTGGTGCTTAGCTTCTCACTGAAATACACATATTCCCAAATGGTATATCAAATTACACTCACAAGAAAATATTATAACATGGGAACATAAAGTTGTCCTTCCCCACATTTCTTTCAACAATGAGTATTGTTAGTCTTTCAAGTTTTTACAAACTTGATAAAAATGCTATCTCATTTTATTTGTATTTAGTTGGTTACTGTTTGGAGGAGTGTGTTAATTTTCTATTGTTGCTGTAATAAATTACCCTATATTGAATGGCATAAAACCTACAAATTTAGCTTACAGTTATATGGGTTAGAAATCCAACATAGGTCTCACTGGTCTAAAGTGAAGGTGTTAGCAGGGCTGTATTCCTTTCTATGGGCTCTGAATATGAGCCACTTCTTTGTCTTTCTAGTTTGTAGAGGGCTCCCACCTTTCTTGACTCATGACCTCTTTCTTCCATCTTGAAAATCAGCAACAGCGGGTCAAGCTCTTTTCATATGGTATCAGTCTGACTCTTTTCACCACCCTCTTCCAGTTATAGGAATCCTTGAGATTAAATTAGGACTAAACATATAATCCAGAATAATGTCTTTAATGTCAGCTGACTAGCAACCTTAACTCCATCTGCAGCCTAAATTCCTTTTATCCATGTAATTTAACAGATTCATATGTCCCAGAGATTAGAACACAACCGTCTTTAGCGGACCGTTGTTTGACATGCCACAGGGAAGAGTCCTGTCAAAAATTCATTTATTTGTAAGTTTTGTCCCTCAGAGACCTTTGATCTGAATCCTATTTCCTATCTTTCAACTTCAATATGTATAATGTTGATTCATTATTTCCTGACATTTTGTTTCCTAGTGAGCAGGTGGAACTCTAAAATGGCACATAAAGGTAATTTCTAATGTTCTTCTTGACACCTAAGAGCCAATTTATTTTTCAATGGCTCATTTGAATGCAGAATCTCAGGTATGAGGCTCTGAATTGAAGATTTTATAAAAATTTGTATCTTTTATTCTTTACCATACTACTCTGAGGCTTTAATAATTAAAACAAATCTGCTGTAGGTGTGTGTATGTGAATTTTCACTATGAGAATTAGAAAGTATTCCTAAATAAGCATGTAAGCTGATATAAATTGTTGGAAGCCATTACTCTTCCCCTAAATCATGTTTATTACTTTATAGTGAACAATAATGCATTTATGCCAGTAACCCTTTCCATATGCCACTGGTTACAGAGAATATAAAATATAAGGCAAATCACACTGGATTAAATATCAAAATAAAAATGATGGTTGCCATTTAGTATAGTTACGGGGAAAAAACCTTACACCTTGGAAAGTAGGCAAAGTGAGGGCATTATCCTTCCTTCCTTCCTTCCTTCCTTCCTTCCTTCCTTCCTTTCTCTTTCTTCTTTCTTTCTTTCTTTCTTTCTTTCTTTCTTTCTTTCTTTCTTTCTTTTTCTTTCTTTCTTTCTTTTTCTTTCTTTCTTTCTTTCTCCCTTCCTTCCTTCCTTCCTTCCTTTTTCTTTCTTTCTTCTTATGGTGTTTTCACTCTTGTTTCCCAGACTGGAGTACAGTGGTGTGATAGGCTCATTGCAACATCCGCCTCCTGGGTTCAAGCGATTCTTCTGCCTCAGCTTCCTTAGTGGCTGGGAGTACAGGCACATGCCACCACACCCAGCTAATTTTTTTGTATTTTTAGTAGAGATGGGGTTTCATCATGTTGGCCAGGCTGGTCTCGAACTCCTGACCTCAGGTGATCTGCTCTTCTTCGGCCTCCCAAAATGTTGGGATTACAGGTGTGAGCCACTATGCCCAGCTGGGAGTATGTTCTTTTCATATCATCCTTGGGCATTGTTTAACAAGCCTACCTAAACCGTAGTCATCTTTTCAGGAAGATGCATTTGTGCTTGTCTCAGCCATTTACTCTTAATTAGAGTTCATACTCTATGTAATTATAGGTCAACTTCTAGATTTTTGTGTGACAGTTATGCAAATGATTTTTCCTGATAGAAATAACCTCAAAGATTATGGTTACAGTTTCATTACTTATAGAGTATTAACTAGTTTTATATGTAATTTAACAATTTCATTCCCATGTTAATTTCTAGTGGTTATAAATTACTGAGTTACACAAATGCTAGTTCAATCAGCTTTACCATTTCACTGGTTTCTTCATGCAAAAGTTAAATAAATTTTTGAGAAGTTTATAAAATAAGTTCAGTATAGTTGACTAAAATTAATAGACATTCTTCAGGTTGTACTATAATCGTGTAAGACTTGTTTGAAAAATATTTTGAAAATTATAATTTGATGTTTTTCAACCATAGCCTAGTAATTTAATCTGTTTAAATTTGGTGCAGCCCTTCTGAACTTATTTAACCATGGAAATTCTTCGTGTACTATGCATCAAAATCCATAATATTAGTGATGTAAATTGCCTGGGATATGGTTGAAATGACAGCCTACTGAACTCTACAAGCTTTGTAATACTGCTGTCACCAGAGTAACTAAATATCTTGATCAGCACAGTGTATCTCCTAATGTGTTACCAACTCCCAATGTCATCTTAGTAATAATTTTTATTATTCTTTCCTCACATTCAAGAATTACTAGTGGATCATTTCCCCTAGTAAGCAAGTTATGTGCAAACCTGAAATATTTGAGTTTGCCCAACGTATTAGTCAGGGTTCTCTACAGAGACAGAACTAATAGGAGATATCTATATCTATCTCTCTATCTATCTATAAACACATATCTTTCATATATATATATATGAAGGGGAGTTTATTGAGGAGTATTAAACTCACACAATCACAAGGTCCCACAATACGCCGTCTGCAAGCTGAAGAGCAAGGTGAGCCAGTCTGAGTCCCAAAACTTAAGAACTTGGAGTCTGATGAGTGAGGGCAGGAAGCATCCAGCACAGGAGAAAGAAGGTAGATTGGGAGACTAGGCCAGTCTAGTCTTTTTTTGTTTTTCTGCCTGCCTTATATTCTAGTTGCTCTGGCAGCTGATTAGATTGTGCCCACCCAGATTAAGGGTGGGTCTGCCTTTCCCAGCCAACTAACTCAAATGTTAATCTGCTTTGGCAACACCAGGATGAATACTTTGCATCCTTCAATCCAATCAAGTTGACACTCAGTATTAACCATCACACAGGATGTTAGCAGGAGTAACTGGTACTCCTGGTACTAATTACTGTTTTAGCTTCCTGGCAGAAAACAGGTAAATTTTCAATGAGGTAATTAAGGAGAGAATAAATGAATGAGCTAGTGTCAAAAGTATGGTCTAGGTTAGAGGAAACCAATGAAGAATGTTGAAAAATTCCATTATTAGCCACATCAGGGCACCATTACCAATTCTTGGCTTGAAGAAACAATGAAACAAAGAGTGGTTAGCCAGAAAGAGCAAAACATATATGAAAAAGGAGCCTGACTAAACTGTGGCCTTTGATAGAAAAACAGAAACTTGCCACTTACATCCAAGCAGTAAAGAAAGCAGGAAAATGAATGGGGCTATTTTCTACTGGTGCCTCTCATTGGAAGTCAGAAGTCAATGGGGCCCAATTGATGCAGTCCACAGGGTCATCTTCGCAGAGCATGAAGGGTAGAGAGTGGAGCTATAGGAACAAATAAAGAATATTCAGAACAATTCACTATTGTCTGATATTTGCACAGATTTTCCTTGTAAAATAACATGTCTTAACTTTTATTTTAGGTCAATATAACTACAGAAGAGCATTAAAGCTGAATATATAATCTGATAGCCTCAACATTTGCACTATAGATGCGTGATTCACGAACATCCTAATTCCAGAATGAATAATATTTGATTCAATTTTTGACTAAGTTAAGATCTCATATTTTACATTGTTATGAACATCAACAACTGTAAAGGTGGCTGAATTGGTGAGTCATTTTCTTGAAATCTAGCATATTAGAGAATTCCAGAAAATAGAAAATGCAGGGCACAAACCCCTCATTATCTAGCAAAGAACTTCCTTTCCTAAAACAGGTAAAAAACTCACCAAAATAGTGAGATATTTGCTGGGTTGATTTTGTGATTTTATGAAGGCCCTTGGTATCTGTTTCCTAAATTTTTTTGTTTATTTGCCTTTTGAACCTTCTTTACAGGGATAATTCCTCCCTTTAAACATTTTAATAATTGGAATACTCACCAATGGTAGTAAGGAGACACCAGAAAGTGACAATGGAGTCAATAACAAAACCAATTTAAATCCTGTTGCAAATTCCCAAGAAATGTTTTTATTTCATTCTAATTTTCCACTCACATTGTCAGAGGCATTTGAAACAAAGCAACTCCATCTTGAATAGGAGCTGGGTAAAATGAGGCTAAGACCTACTGGGCTGCATTCCCAGTTGTTTAAGGCATTCTAAGACACAGGATGAGATAGGAGGTTGGCAGTGCAAGATACAGGTCATAAAGACCTTGCTGATAAAACTGTTTGCAATAAAAAAGTGGGCCAAAACCCATCAAAACCAAGATGGCAAAGAGAGTGACTTCTGGTTATCCTCACTACTACACCCTCACCAGCAGCATGACAGTTTATAAGTGCCATAGCAACATTCAGGTCTAAAAAGGGGAGGCATGAATAATCCACCCCTTGCTTAGCACATAATCAAGAAAAAAACATAAAAATGGCAACCAGCAGCCCTCAGGGCTGCTCTGTCTATGGAGTAGCCATGCTTGTATACCTTTGCTTTCTTAATAAACTTGCTTTCACTTTATTCTAAGGACTCGCCCTGAATTCTTTCTTGTGTGAGATCCAGACTCTCTTGGGGTCTGGTTCAGGACCCCTTTCTTGTAAGAATATCTTCTTATAAGACCCATATTCACCATGTGCCTTCCAGTCTTCTGGAGTCTGAATGTCCTAACTCATATCAAACTCTGATGTATAACTCTAAGAAGCCTCCAGAGCTCTGAATACTCTTGAATCCATAGAACATACAAAGCAAACAGCAGCTTCAAGCAATTCACATGTGTGAATCCATCTTCAGGGATTTATTATCATTATTGGTGCCACTACTACTGCTATTATTCATGAGAATTCTTGGCAGGTGAATGAAATTAATTAGAGAACTCTGAGCAGATGCATCTCTTCCAATGTCCCTTCACTGGTCCAATATTCCAGTCCTACTCAGCCCTCTAGCACAGTGCCAATAAATATGAAAATATGCAAAATAATACAGGGTTGAAAAACTATCATCTGTGAAGTCAAGGGAGAATTTCGGACTAGTGAAAGCATTCTGTTTCCATGAATATACACTGAATGTTCCTTTCAACCTTTGAATAAATGTAGAGTAAATACGTACAACAAAGTCCATGTTCTCATTCTATGATCAGCAAACTACAGGATTCATGTATTACAGATCTGTAGGATTTTGTACTGCATTTCTCTAAAATCGTTTCTAAAAGTATTTATATTTGTTTTTATAACTATTAAACTTTATAATTTGATATCCTAAATTTTTAAGCAAATGTTAGAAAAGTTTCAATGATGTCAGAAAAACAGGACTCAAGATTGTAGAAACCAGGTTTTTGGTTAATTTGGCTAGAGTCATAATAAAGTGTGATGCTATTTAATTTGAGCAGAACATAACAAAGGTTTTGCTGTGTTGCAGGTACTCCCACATATTCTTCTGTTATCTCCTTGCTGGTTTTAGTATTACCTGTGTTCAATGCACAGGAAAGGTAACTGTGGCAGTGGGTGAACAAGTTTTCCTTGAGGCAGTAGGAAGAGGAAGACTCCTGCTCACAGTACATACATACCCACCACCAGCTTCTAGTTTATTATCTTGCTTTTCTTAATGTTGCAATCTTATGAGGAGTAATTGAAGGGTAGTTTTTGAACACAAGAAACAGTTTTTAAGCAACTCTTCCAATATTTAGTTGTTAGAACGTGGCATTTTCTTTTATTCCTGTTGAATCAGGATTTTTTTTTAAAAAGTTAAGGTTAAAATATAAGAACAGCACACTGAGCTTGGCAAATAGAAAAACAACTCTGATCCCAAATTTGAAACTCTCATCTCCCATCTGCAGACTAAGTTATACAGGATCAACAGAAAAGAGGTGTCTTTATTAGGGTTCTTTTGGTAGCGTATGACACAAAGAAATCCTGGCTGTTGTTTGTTTGTTTGTTTTTTAATGATTTATTGAAATAAAATTTATTTATGATAAGTGTATAGTTGACTGTTTTTAGTAAATTTATAGTTATGTTACCATCACTGCAAATCAATTTTAGAACATTTCTATCACCCTTGAAAAATTTCTATGAGCTCTTTTACAGTTAATCCCTATTCCCAACCCAATTACCTGTCAATTGCTGATCTTATTTTTGTCTCCAACAAGTCGTATTTTCTGGATATTTCTCATAAATTGGACTGTTTGCATTTGGCTTCTTTCACAGCATGCTGTTTTTGAGGTTAATCCATGTTCAAATATGCATCAGTATTCCATTATGTTTTATTTGATTTTTTGTGAATCATTTCCATAGGCATGCAAATATGCTAGAATTTTCCCAGTCTTAAAAATCAAACAAGTAAAAGCTCTGTCTTGATACCACATTCTGTTCACCTACTGTTCTCTTTACACAGAATTCCTCAAAAGAGTTGTCAATACTATTTTCTCCAATTTTTATTTTCCTCTTCTGTTGAAATCCTATTTAACCAGAGCTTTTCTCTCACTTGTCCAAGAAATTACTGTTTTCAAAGTCTACAGTGAGTAAAACCTCAGTTTTTATTTTACTTTACAGTCTGTTCTTAGCACAGCAGTTAGAAAAAAACCCTTTCCAAAGGTAAGTCTGATCACTTCACTCCTTTGCTTAAGTTCCCCCATTCTTTACCATTTCATTCTGAATTAAAGTCAAAATTCTGTCTTACAAATATAGTACCTGGTGTGATTTCATGTCCCCTCCCGCTAGCCAATTTGAGTATTCACAATAGCCACAATGGCATCCTTGCTGTATTTGTAAGACACCAATATGCTTCTGTTTTTGAAAGTGCTATTCTGTCTTCCTAGGAGGAAATAAGGAAATTTACACAAATATTATTAATGACTTGTTTCTCTCTTTATTCTTATGTATAAGGATTTCCCTGAGCACATGTTGAAAACAAGCCCATCACATTTTAAATTATGTTTTTAGCACTTATCAATATCTGACAGTATCTGACTATATATTTCACTCATTTACGCCTTTTTTTTTTTTTTTTTTGCCTGTTCCACCATTAGAATGTACACTCTACACTGGCACATATTATTAGGTGCTTGATGAATATACGTTAATTGACTGAATCAATTTCAATAATTTTATTTTTTTCCCTGCAAATAGCTTGTATTAGTCCATTTTGCATTGCTATAAAGACATGCCTGAGGCTGGGGAATTTACAAAGAAAAGAGATTTTTTTGGCTGGTAATTCTGCAGACTATACAAGAAGCATGGTACCAGCATCTACTTTTGGTGAGGCCTCAAGAAGGCTTTACTCATGGTGGAAGGCAAAGGGAGAGCAGGCATGTCATATGATGAGAGAAGGAGCAAGAAAGAGAGGAGGAGATGCTAGGCTTTTTTGAACAATCAGATCTTGTAACTCATTACCATGAGGAGTGCACTAAGCCATACATGAGGGATCAGCCCCCATGGTCCAAATACCTCCACCTAGGCCCCACCTCCAACACTGGAGATTACATTTCAACATGACGTTTATAGGCGGCAAATATCCAAAATATTAATATATGAAAGGTACTATTGAGTAAAACAGAAGAAATAAAAATCCTGTAGGAAAATATGATTAGGACTGTGAAAAATTATTTTCACGAATAGTACTGATTTCTCATGCTTTCCTATGTCCTCTCCCTTTAGAGGTTGCCATCTCAAATTGACTCTGTGCTCAGCCACGTGAATAGCTATGACTGATGGAATGGTAGCCCACTTGATACAAGTAGGTACTAGATAATACTAGAAGGAGGGCTGGCATGCTGTCATCCTCTCTTTCTCCACTGCCTTCTCTGTTAGAATATCCTTAGGCTAGCCTGCTTCAGGATGAGACATAGAGAGCAGAACCAATTCAACTCAAAATCCCCAGCATTTTCATGTTTGTTGGCCATTTGTATGTCTTCTTTTGAGAAGTGTCTGTTCATGTCTTGAGCCCATTTTTAATGGGGTTATTTGGTTTTTGCTTGTTCAGTTGTTTAAGTTCTTTATAGATTCTAGATATTAGACCTCGTCAGCTGCATAGTTTGTGAATATTTTCTCCTTTACTGTAGGTTGTCTGTTTACTCTGTTGATACTTTCTTTTCCTGTGCAGAAGCTTTTATGTATAATTAGGTCCCACTTGTCAATTTTTGTTTTTGTTGCAATCGCTTTGGAGGACTTAGTCATAAATAGTTTCCCAAGGCTGATGTCTAGAATATTTTTTCCTGCCTTTTCTTCTAAGATTCTTATAATTTGAGAAATGCAAATCAAAACCACAATGAGACACCTTCTCATGTCAGTCAGAATGGTTATTATTAAAAAGACAAAAGAATAGATGCTGGTGGGGTTGCAGAGAAAGGGCAATACCTATACACTGTTGGTAGGAATGTAAATTAGTTCAGCCACTGTGAAAAGCAGTTAGGGGATTTCTCAAAGAAGTTAAAACAGAACTACCATTTGACCCAGGAATCTCATTACTGGCATATATCCAAAAGAAAACAAATCATTCTACCAAAAAGACACATGAACTCACATGTTCATTGTGGCACTATTCACAATAGGAAGGCATGGATTCAACCTAGGTGCCCATTCATAGTAAACTGGATAAAGAAAATGTAGTACATATACACCATGAAATACTACACAGCCATAAAAAAGAATGAAATCATGTTTTTGGCAGTCACATGGATGCAGCCGGAGGCCATCATCCTAAACAAATTTACACAGGAACAAAAAACCAAATGCCACATGTTCTTACTTATAAGTGGAAGCTAAACGTTGGGTACTCATGGACATAAAGATGGCAACAATAGAAACTGGGGACTACTACAGTCTGCAGAGAGGCAGGAAGGCAAAGGTTGAAAAACTAACTATTGGGTACTATACTCAGTACCTGGGTGATGGGATCTTTCCTAACCCAAACCTAAGCATGACACAATATACCCAGGCAACAAATCTGCACATGTACCTCCTGAATCTGAAATAAAAGTTGAAAAAATAAAAAGCCCTAGGAAAGCCCCCGAACATGGGACTGAGCCCAAACAAGATCTGTCAAACCACAGCTGACAGCAATTGCATCCATGAGCCAAATTAAACCCAGCTCAGATAAAAACAACTGACCAGAGAACCCATAGTCTTGGGAGCAAATATAAATATTTATTTTTATATGCCACTGAGGTGTTACGGTTGTTTGCTATATGGCATTATCATGGCCATAGACAACTGATAAAAGAATGATTTTATACTGAAATACCTGAGATGTAACTGCATACATCAAGTATTGGTGTAATGACGGTGACTCTAAAAATGAGAATTTAAAGAATAGAAATAAAATATAAATTGAGACTCATAAAGTACAAAACTTTAAGAGAGTTTGAGATAAGAATGAAGGAAGAAACTGAAGTATGACCTTCAAAACTCCAAAATTAATACTCAAATATTTATTTTTGGACTTAATCTGTAACTTAACTATTGCGTACTATGCTCGCTACCTGGATGACGGAATCATTCATAACCCAAACCTCAGTAGCACACAATATATCGAGGTAACAAATGGATTAAGTCAAAAAATAATATTTGTGTTACCTAAAAATAGATACTAGATGTCAATATTTATGCTGGGAGACAAATAGTAGGCCTGAAATGAAATATAACACTAATGCATGACATTAACAACACATATATATGTTTATATATATATATATGTATATATAATGTATTTGTGTTTTCTTTACAGACAAACAGGAATACAACCTTCAATTTAAGTATCTCTCTTATCATTTAATGTTAAGAAGAAAAAATATAAAATTTCTTTATAAAACAAAGCAAAAGTATAATGAATGATGGGACTTTAAACTTGAAGATTTTCTTTCTTAATCAGGAATGTGCTTATACCCAAAATCCAAAAGTCTTAAAACAATAATACAGATAGGGAATTGTGAATATAACAGCAACATATGGGCAGTGTCTTAGCTAGATATAGCTGCCAACACAATACTTATCTATAGCAAAACGGCCCAGAAAATGAGCTATCAACAATGGGAAGGAAAACACAAACTATAGTAATCTATAATACATACATTTATTCCCTTGTATCTTTTACCATATAGGCAAATTCTTCCAGTAGTAATGAGCAAACCTAGCACTCAGATCTAGTTTTCTAATACTTCTTCCCGAATAAAAAGAACCAGGGTTTTTGAAGAAATTGCGTTTTCAGATCTTCGGCAGGGTAAGTATAAAATGAGCCTGAGATATTTTGTTATACCAAAAATAATATAAGTGCTCAAAAAATGGTAGGCACGTATCTCATGTACACAGAAGCTCCTGTCACCAAATCTAAGGCATCACATGCAACACCAAAGTTATTCAGTAGAGAAATTAGTTATAAACAATTGGACAAATTTGATTTTATGATACTAATAACAGATAGTACAGATGACAGATAAATTAGATGTTAGGTAGATAGATAGATAATAAATGAATAAATAGATAGGTAATGGATTATAAGGGAGACATTTTTATTATAGAATGCCAAGTGTTAATTCATTAATAAGGGAGAAATAAGATTGGCAAAATATCATTTTATAACCTTCACTTTAAAGATTCGTTCAAAAAAGAGTGATTGATGAATAATAAACCAAGGGAGAAATTTTGATGAGAAGAAGAGTATTTGTCTCCAGATAGATTGCTTAGTGGTGTCAAGGGAAAAATCAGTACCTATGTCGTGGAGAAAATCAGACAACACCTTGACAATTAACATCACAGATAAGGGCTAGATGGACACTGTTTGTCTCCTATGAAAGACACAGTTTTGTTTTGTAATATTCTGGCCAGGAACACATACACTGAATTTAATCATGACAAAACACAGGACAACTAAAAATGAGAGAAGAGGCACAATTAAAAGTGAACTAATTAAAGGATATAAAGTATTCAAAAATGTCAATGTCATTAATGGCAAAGAAAGGCTGTGGAAACATTTTATAAATAAAAGAGAAAAAATAGCTGTGACAATCATATGGAGTATATTTGATCCTGTCATGGATTATACAAAAGACATTACTAAATCAATTGAAAAATTATTATATGAGTGATATAAAGTAGTGCAGCAATTTTAAATTTATTGACATGGATAACTATATTGTAGTCATCAAAGTGTCCTTGTTCTTAGGAAATATACAATGAAATATTTACGGATAGGGGACCACATTGAATAGAATATATTCTCAAATGATTTGGGGAAAAATCTTATATATAAAGAGAGAACAATTAATAAGGCAAATAGCATACAATATTAATTAATGAATCAACATAAATAGTGTATCAATATTTCTTATTCCTCCAACGCCCCTCCTCCCACCTTTTTTTTCTGAGACAGGGTCTCATTCTCTCACCTAAGCTGGAGCATAGAGGCAGAATCTTGGCTCACTGCAGCCTTGATCCCCCAGGCTCAGGTGATCCTCCCACCTCAACCACACAGGTATCTGGGATTACGGGGATTCTCTACCATGCCTGGCTGATTTTTTGTACCTTCTGTAGAGACAGGGTTTCACCATGTTGTCCAGGCTGATCTTGAACTCTGGGGCTCAAGCGATCCTCCCACCTTGGCCTCCCAAAATGCTAGGATTACAGGCGTGAACCACAGCACCTGATCCAACCCTTGAATTTGAAATTATTTCACAATAAAAAGCTTTAAAAAAGCATGTTAAAATATAAATTTTAAAGTAGGCAGAAGAAAGAGGGATAACCTTGATTGCTGAGTCTTCTGGTTTTCTTCTTTCTCCCGTGCTGGATGCTTCCTTCCCCTCCTCCTGCCCTTGGACATCAAACTTCAGGTTTTTCGGCCTTTGGACTCTTAGACTTACAACAGTGGTTTGCCAGGGGCTCTTGGGCCTTCGGGCGTAGACTGAAGTCTGCACTGTAGGCTTCCCTGGTTCTGTGGCTTTTGAACTCGACTGAGCCTCTACTGGTTTCTTCCTCAGCTTGCAGATGGCTTATCGTGGAACTTGGCCTTGTGATCATGTGAGCCAATTCTCCCTAATAAACTCCCTTTCATATATACATAAATCCTATTAGTTCTGTCCCTCTGGAGAACCCTGACTAATACAAAGAACACTTTGTAGTTGGTTCAAAAGAGAATTCAAAAAGCAGAGACATATACAAGTAATAAAGACTTTCAAAATTATATTACAAATGCATGAATTTGCATTTCCATGGGCAAGAATTATTCACATTACATTCAGTTTTCTACAACTTACAGATATGTGAAATAGATCAAGATAAATATGGAGATAACCTTGATGAGTGAATTAGACAAGACACCCAAGAACATATTTTTGCTCATTTCAAAGTCTTTTGTG
Organism: Homo sapiens; assembly: GCF_000001405.40. Classification (NCBI taxonomy): domain Eukaryota; kingdom Metazoa; phylum Chordata; class Mammalia; order Primates; family Hominidae; genus Homo; species Homo sapiens. The sequence continues at coordinate 43,938,191 of NC_000004.12, read as the reverse complement.
ATGTGTATACATGCCACGCCTGTGTGAATGTGCACATACACACAGATACACATGCACACGGTTTGTTTGTTTAATCTTATGACATAATTTAGGGGACCCTGAAATTCTCCTTAGATTACATTATCTCCAAATACTTACATTCCCAGCAAACAAACCTCTGAAAAACAGATTTGCTGGTCTGTTCCTCATACCCCCACATCATCCAAGACAGTATATAGTATACAGTTAAGAATTATGTTCATAAATTTATTTTCTTTATTTTTCCTTAGGAAACATAATTGCCTTCCTTTATTTTAGTTTTATTTTTCCCTTTCTTATCTTTATTAATCTTATTTTATTGTTTGGACATGTAGAACCTTATTAGGATTCCAAAATAAAATCTAAATAGAAAGATACTCAGAACAGTGATGTTCCCACCTCTCTCATACCTACTTCCCTCATCACTTGTGTGCATCCAATTTCATTGTCATTTAGCTTATTATTCCTGTACTTCTTTTTGCAAATATTAACAGATATATTGATGTCTTCTTATATCCCTTTCTTTGTTATGCAAATGGTAGCATATTAAATATGCTCTTTTGGACTTTGCTTTTTAAAAATTTAATAATATCTCCTGTAAGTCATTTTACATGATTTCCTAGATATGTTCCTTATTCTTTTTTTAATTTGTTTTATTTTATTTTTATACATTTAGTGGGTACAGTACAGATTTCTTACATGTATATATCACACAGTGGGGAAGTGTGGGCTTTTAGTGTACCCACTACCCAAATAGTGAACATTGTAACTAGTAGGTAATTTTTCAATCTTCACTCCCTTCCCACGTTTTGAAGTCCCCAATGTCTATTATTCCACTCTGTATGTTTATGTGTACCCATTGTTTAGCTCCCACTTATAAGTGATAGTATGCAGTATTTAACTTTGTTTCTGAGTTATTTCACTTGGGATAACGGCCTCCAGTTCCATCTGTGTTGCTGCAAAAGACGTGCTTTCTATCTTTTTTTTTATGGCCAAATAGTATTCCATGATGCATATGTATCCCACATTTTCTTTATTCAGTCATCCATTGATGGACATTTAGGTTGATTGCATGTATTTTCTACTGTATATAGTGTTGTGATAAACATACAAGTGCAGGTGTCTTTTTCCTATTATAATTTATTTCCCTTTGGGTATGTACTCAGTGGTAGGATTGCTCAAATGATAGTTCTATTTTTAGTTCTTTGAAAAGCCTTCATACTATTTTTTATAAAGGTGCTAATTTACATTCCTACCAACAATGTATAAGCACTGCCTTTTCTCCATATCCCCATCAACATCTGTTGGTTTTCCACTTTGTAGTAGTAGCTATTCTGACTGGTGTATTTTTTTTTTTTTTTTTGAGATGGAGTTTGACTCTTGTTGCCCAGGCTAGAGTGCAATGGCATGATCTCTGCTCACTGCAACCTCTGCCTCCAGGACTCAAGAGATTCTCCCGCCTCAGCTTCCCGAGTAGCTGTGAACACAAGCACCTGCCACCATGCCCGGCTAATTTTTGTATTTTTAGTACAGACAGGGTTTCATTAAATTGGCCAGGCTGGTCTCAAACTCCTGGCCTCAGGTGATGCACCTGTCTTGGCCTCCCAAAGTGCTGAGATTACAGGTGTGAGCCACCATGCCCGGCCATGACTGGCGTAAAATGGTGATCTCACAGTGTATTTCACTGTAGTGTTAATTTGCATTTCTCTGATGATTAGTGATATTGAATATTTTTTCTTATGATTTTTGGTCATGTGTATGCCTTCTTCATGTCTTTGCCTACTTTTTAATGGAGTTATTATTTTTCTTGTTGAGTTGCTTGTAGAGTCTAGCTGTTACCCTTTTTCCAAATGCAGAGTTTGCAAATATTTTTTCCCATTCTGTAGGTTGTGTGTTTACTCTGCTGATTGTTTCTTTTGCTGTGCAGAAGATTTTGAGTTTAATTAAGTCCAATTTGTCTGTTTGTCATTTCTGTTGCATTTGCTTCTGAGGACTTGGTCATAAATTCTTTGCCTAGACCAAAGTCCAGAAGAGTTTTACCTTCTAAGATTTTTATAATTTTGGGTCTTACATTTAAGTTATCAATTCACCTTAATTTTTGTACAGAATGAGAGGTATGTTTCAGTTTCATTATTCTGCATATGGTTATCCAATTTTCCTAGCACTATTTATTAAATAGAGTGTTCTTTCCCCAGTGTAAATTTTTGGTGTCATTGTCAAAGATAAGTAGGTTGTAGGTATGTGGCGTTATTGCTGGTTGCTTTTTCTGTTCTATTAATCTATGTGTCTATTTTTATATCATTACAATGCTGTCTTGGTTAGCTTTTATTTATAGCTGCATTATACTCTATTGTGTGTATGCATCATAGTTTATTCAATGATTTGTCATACTTCAGCATATAGGTAAGTACCAGTATTTTTCAGCTACAAATAATGCTTCCATGATGAACTTGGAGGATTTTGCATTAGTGAGGTATATTGCAAGGCAAAGTCCTAGAAGTGAAATTGCTAAGTTAAAAGGTAAATGAACACAAAGTTTGTTAAATATTGTCAAATTTGCCTCCATAGAGGTTGGACTATTTTGTGTCTCTACCAGCAATGTATGAGACAGCTTGTTTTTGTACCAACATTGTGCATTGAGGTTTCCTTTAATTTTTGACAATCTAATGGATAAGAAGGGATAGTTCCCTATAGTTTGATTTTCATTTCTCTTTATGAGTGAGATCAAACATTATATCTTATGCTTAATGGCTATTTTTATGTCTCTTTTGTAAATTTTCTATGTATATTATTCACTGCTATAGAAGTTTTGAACATTATCTTATTAATTTTAAAAGTTCTCTGTAAATTAGAAATATTAACCCTTTGTGATTTATGTTGTTAATATTTTCTCACAGTTGTGTCATTTTCTTTTTACTTTTTTATATATTTTTTATTGTGAAATAATATTTTAAGTAAAATGTATTAGTTTTAAAAATTTCATTTAATATTTGAGTAATAATTAGAAAGTCTTCTTCTCACCCCAGCTTTCTTATGCAACTTACTTTTAAATCATTTATCTTATATTATTTTGAAAAAACAGATATCAATAATTTTAAAATTAAATTTTGGGGTCAACAGCCAAAATTTATTATCGTCAAGGAGAAACAGTTGATTTGTTTCTCCAAAGAAGAATTTTGGGTATCTTGAAATTTTCTTCTTAGGCTACAATATGTTCAAATATGTAAATTCTCAGTACTCAAATGATCCTATCAGCTTTGACCCACTTCTCAGAGTAAGAGGCAAAACAATCCCTACTGTAGATCATAAGTCATAATTATCTAATTTCTCAGCTTTCTGTTGTTCTATCTCCCAGCAGAAATAAAGATGCTTTAGAATAGAATGACTTTAATATGTGTCTCAACCTAATTTTTTTCTCAACTGTAATTCTTCTGATATTATGAATCCACTACTAAAGTTGGATTAGTTAGCATTTTCTCTTCTAATATGATCTTTATTCTTGCTAAATTTTTACTTGTATTTTTCTCCCTTTTCTATTCACCAATTTAAACATCTTATAAGAACCAGTTAATATCTATATCTATATCTATATCTATATCTATATCTATATATATTTTTAAGAGACAAGGTCTTTCTCTGTCTTCCAAGCCAAAGTGCAGTGGCATGATCATAGCTCACTACAGCCTGGAACTCCTGGACTCAAAGGATTCTCCCACTTCAGCCTCCTAAGTAGCTGAGACCATAGGCATGAACCACAGCACCTGGCCTGCAACAGCTTTGTAATGAGAACACAGTGATAACTAGGCTTTCTAATTTAATTCAGTAAAATTAATCTATTCAACATATATTGATTAAAGACTATGTCTATACTAGATGAATTGGTATGAATTCATAGACTTCTTAACATTATTATTGATATTGACATTTAAGTATTAATTATATTCTTATCTGTATTGGCATTTTCATGTTTTAATTTGCATTATTTAATGCCATTCAAAATTTAAAAGAGTTTTCTGAAGAAAGAGAATGTTTTATAATTCCTTTGGGGTGTGAACTTTTGCTTTGGTTGCCTAGGAACAATTCCTTCCCAAACTGTCCTGGTGCTTCATTGGAAGCAGACCTCCCCCTCATGATGAGCATTGCACTCTGGCCTCAACTAATGGAGTAATCTCTCTCTTATTAGTCTAATTAGCCTAGAGCCCAGGGTTTCAGTCTGAAAATGGTGATAAAACATGTTCCTTCTTTTAGACAAGAATGAAGAAGGATTTACTGTAGAAGTCATTGACAGCCAGCTTGGTTCCAAGAGCAGATGCATTTGATGGATATGACTTCAGTGCTAAGGGGCCAAAAATAGGAATTATTGAGCCAAAGCCACCATTACTTCCAGAAGTTCCATCTCCAGTTTTTACTACTAACTTTTAGAAAATTAGGCACTGGGTTAGTTAAAAAAAAAAAAAAGAGTCTTAAATTGAACTGAAAGTTTCTCCAATCAGGGTTATTAAGTATTGCTGTTGCTGGTTAATATTGTGATCTATTTAAAGAGTAAGCTGTGATTTTGCTAAAGTATACTTTTCAATCAATGCATACCATTCCCTTTGAGTTTTTGCAGATTAAATATTTATTTCAAAGGATCTATAGAACCGATAGAAAGATATTTTGGAAGGTATGTAATAAGAAAGTAAGCTCTTATGTTTAGTTTGTAATTGATAGAGTTAAAATTTTCTTTTAATATACAGATATATGCATGTGTAATTTTTCATATATATATATAGAGAGAGACTTTTAAAAGAAGTAGCATAAAATATGCATTTTATCAAATTACATCATTTAAAAATTTTCTCAGCTGTCAAATTAAGAATGTATTATTTACTGAATCAATGGCACCCAAAAGTTTTGTCTTCATAAATGTATTTAACTTGAATTAAGACTCACCAGCAATACAGAAGAATATTAATGAGACTTAGTATCAATTACCTCTAATATGATCTGATGTTTTTCAAGAGGGAGTTGTGCTACTTATGATTATCATATTTTTGCTCCAGTTAAGGACAACCTTACTTTGTTATTTCTTCTATGTAGTTTACACAAGGCACCGGCCTCTCATAGAAAATCTTTCTTACAACTTGGACAGGTTTCCTCAAAAAAATTGTGTCATTTCTGATTTGAAGAGTTCAAATTATTATATAAGTTATTGCAAAGCTTCAAGCTGATTAACTGGGAAGAGAAAATGTGCTGTGGCTTTCAGGAAAATTCTTTGATCAAAACTCTTTGTTTCCCTAAAATTCTACCTGTGCCACAGTGTTTCAGTAGAGGAGAGTTGAATGAGCTATTGATATTACAAAGTTCTCGTAAGAAAATGCATGATTAAAGATCTAAGTAAATAACAGAGCTGAAAACTTCAGAGGCACAAGATGAGGCTCAACAAGAACAGAAAATTCAGAAACACTTCAACACAATCAGAAAATGCTTTTGGAAAGCACAGACACTAAAGCAACTCTCTTTAGTATTGTCGCAAACTAGGAGCTTGGAATAGAATCTGGCTTCTTGCCAAAAAACATTGTAATGGTCCTGAACTTATTAATTTTTATAAATGAAAGAAAGCAGAGAATAACATTTCCAGCCTTGGAAGGATACCATCAAGGCACTCAAGTTTCTACATATTTTAAATTAAACTTTGTGGAATGCTGACACAAAAATGTATCAGTAACAAAGATTTAATCTTTTATAAGAATTTTGCATAAGGTGAAAGGGAAAGCCTTGCTTAAAATTCTTCACTGAAAGAGAGCTACTATTTTAATTTGAATTTATTTTGTCCAGATATGTAAATTTTAGTTGCTAAGCAATGCTGACCTCTTTTGTGAATACCCAAGATGTACTTAAGCCAGATTTCTTACTTTCTTTCTTGTTTTCTTTATGTTTACTTAATTCCTAAAGAAATAGTGAAAGCATTCACTTTACTTAGCAAAATGCTAAAACCAAAACAAAAGTAATAAATACAACTTTACATACACGGTGTTTTTGAAAGTCAACCAGCCTTAAGCTTGGCTAAGTACCTTATTAGAAATGACCTATCTGGAAAAACAGACTGCTTTCATGGCATAATATTATGCTATTATATTGAATTTAGCAAAAAGACTATGAAACATTCAAAAATGTTGTTAGGTTTGTGTTTAGTAAGATGTCACTGGCGTTAAACTTGATTCTTTTGGACACCTATGCCTATATTAGAATTTAATATAACCTCTAGCTCTTACTTACTGAGTTTAAATTTTTTTTTGTCCCTGAGTACCAAGAATTTTATTCTCTCACTACCAAGTGTATTAAATCAGTGTGTTCAGTAGAGTGAATTATTATTGCCCTTTGCTTCTCAAAGTCCTGATTCAACCCCTGGGTAAACTTTAGACACTGAAAAGAATATATACTCATCATTTTTCTTCAAACAAGGTGTGTTTTAATGGCCTCATTTTATAAAGTTTTATTTTTCTTCTATCTTTTTCAAACAGTCTGGCTATAGCCTCTCTATATTCCAGTTCTTTCCTCTGTAAAATAAACGTAGTAACTGCATCAGATGATTGATCTAAGGTTCACATGAAGGTACACAAGTGACCTAGCACAATGCCAAGCACAAAGTTAAGTATTATATACAAATAATGTGCTATTGTATTAGTCTATTTCACACTACCATACCGATATACCCGAGACTGGGTAATTTAAAAGGAAAAGAGGTTTAATTGACTCACAGTTCTGCATAGCTGGGGAGGACTCAAGAAACTTAACAATCATGGTGGAAGGCGAGAGAAAAGCAGACACATCTTACATTGTGGCAGGCAAGAGAGGGCAAATGAGCAAAGAGCCCTTTATAAAACCATCAGATCTCATTAGAACTCACTCACTATCACAAGAGCAGCATGGGGAAACCACCCCCATGATCCAATTACTTCCACCTGGTCCCACCTTTGACACATGGGGCTTATGGGGATTACAATTCGAAGTAAGATTTGGGTTTTGACACAGAGCCAAACCATATTAGTTATTATTTTTAATATCAGGTATTGGAGAATTATTTGAGATTTATATCTTTAGGCAAAGTGTATGGCAATATCTGGTACTCTAAGAAAATGAGCTACTTAATTTTTTTAAAGTAATCAAACCTTATTCTTTCAGTCAATCTTAAAAAATTTGTTTTAAATTGAAATTTTTCTAAAATGTACCATGTTTTGCTTCGCCTAAGTCAATTAGAATATATAATAATTAAAATTTGTTCTTAATTAGGCCCTTTATGAGGGGTAAATATTACAGATATATCTTAGTAGCTGCTTACTATATGCCAGGACCTATGCTAAATACCATGTAGATTATCTCATTTCATCTTCCTCAAAAACATTCAAGTTAGGTACCGATAAAATATTTATAAGCAATGTAACTGAAGGTTATGGAGGTTAAGAAACTTACTCATGGTCAGAGAGAGTAATAACAGAGCTATATTTTTAATCTAAAATTGTCTAATTTGAAAACTTGCAGATTTAATTGTTATGAATAATCTTTTTTCACGTACTGTTTTTATGTATACGAGTTTTGTGGACAAATAGAATTATGTCTATTTCATGTGCATAATAGGGAAACTAGTTAAATTAGATTACATATCTTGCCAAGTTTGTATAGTAACTGGTAGATAGTTTTTCACATTCTTCCAATATATGTTGCCTAAATGAGGGACAGAATGTATGAGGAGACATGAACCTAGTTTTCATTTAAACAAATGAGAAGTAGTGTATTATTGAACTAAACAGATTCTTACGTGGTGCCTACTCTTGGTTTAAAAACTAATTATAAACTTGGGTTGTACTAATATATAATAGTGTTTGAATCAAGAAAGATCCTTTTTTTCAGTGTACTGAGGGTGATATTTACTGCCGTTGGTACAATTCTGTATAGGACACAGAGAATGAAGACAAATTAATAGCAGTGTAAACAGTGTTTGTAACTCTTGTCATTGAGGAATATTTGCAAGTGCTGAAGAATTCAGCTCTAGAGAAATTGGAAACATGATTTCTCTTTTTGAAAATGTGGAACCTGGAGGAGGAATTAGAATTATGTTCCACAGAACTACAGAAATGGTCTCAAACTATCGAATGAAAGGTGAACTTTCATTTCAATATAAGAAGGCGCTGTCTAGTGGAGCTATCCATCAATGTAACAATTTGCTTATATGACTGGGGAATCACATCCTGAAATGTTTTGTCTTTTCCGAAAAAAATGTGTTGTAGGTTATATAAAACTTAATAGTGGGGCCGGGCGCGGTGGCTCAGGCCTGTAATCCCAGCACTTTGGGAGGCCAGGGAGGGCAGATCACGAGGTCAGGAGATCGAGACCATCCTGGCTAACACGGTGAAACCCTGTGTCTACTAAAAAATACAAAAAATTAGCCAGGCGTGGTGGCGGGTGCCTGTAGTCCCAGCTACTCGGGAGGCTGAGGCAGGAGAATGGTGTGAACCCGGGAGGGGGAGCTTGCAGTGAGCCGAGATCACGCCACTGCACTCCAGCCTGGGCAACAGAGCAAGACTCTGTCTCAAAAAACAAAAACAAAAAAAGAAAAACTTAATAGTGTGTAAATTATATGCCTTGATGACAATATTTATTTTTTTGGTCACAAACATCAAATAGGTGCTCATTACTCTCAATTCTCAGTTCTCTGTAGAAATAGAAAGTAGCACATGAATAAAATCTAAAGCAAATCCCAAAATCTCATTTGAACAATTAAATTTCCAACTTCTTTTTATATCAAAATCTTCCTTAAGTTATTAACAAGCAGGCCTACTAAATTTATTTGCATTTCACAGCTTCTTCAATTATCTGTTTTGTGCAACAATGGGGAAGTGAGAGGTGGGGTAATAAGCAACAGGAAATAAAAAACAAAAACACTAAAAGTTTGTAGATGATATTTTGAAAGTGTTAATTTATTTGAATATCGACTTTCCATTGTATGGACTCAATGTCTTCATACTTTCCGTAATAGCAGATGTTTGCAAAGTTTCATTAAAACTATTTTACTCATTTTCTTTTTTGAAAACAAGTCTCATTCTCTTTAGTCTTTCTCTCCTCTGAATACTCTTCTAGCTTTCCATACTATTTCTCAGCAGTGACCTCACTTGTAATTTCATGATAAACTGTCAACTCTTTCATGAAGAAACAATGTCAGTTTAACCTTCATTTGTATTTATGTTTGTCGAGTTAAATCATACTTGATGCCATTGCCACTCAGTGAGTGGCAGCAGGACCAGCAGCACTGGAATAGGCTGTAGTTTTTAGAAATGCAGAACTTCAACTCCCATCTGAGACTTACAAAATCATAATCTTCATTTTACAAGATTCCAAAGTGATTTCATGCCACAACGAAGCTTGAGAAGTAATATTCTGTGTCTATTTATAGATGCTTTCAAGTCTCCAAACCCTCAATTTCTGCCTCTATGCTGATTTGCTGATTTGTTTGCCTGTTAGATCATTCAGCTATTTTTTCATTAGAGAAATGTTTATTGAGGACTTATTATGTGCAGAGCACTATTCTAGACGTTAGGCACAAGGCACTTAAAAATATGAGCAAGACTCTGACCGTCAAGAAGCTTATATTAGCAATGAACAGATAAACAAGCAAAAGAAATGATTTCAGATGCATGCTGTACAAATATTCATTATACACTCTATGGCTTGTCTTTGTATTATTTTACTACTTTTTGAAAAGCAGCAATTTTAAAAATTAAAATTTTGATGAAGCCCAGTTTACCAAGTTCTTGTTTTATGGCTTGAGGTATTGTGCTACATCTAAGAAATGTTTTGCCTAATCCAGGGTAACAAGATTTTATTTCTTTATAAATTGTAGGTTTTAGGTTTTATAGTTAAGTCTATGATCAATTTTGAGTTATTTTGGTTTATGATATAAAGGATGAATGAAAGATTATTTTCTTGTGAAGCCATATCCAATTAACTAAATGCCATTTGTTGAAGAGACTATTCTTTTTACACCGAGTTGCCTTTACACATTTGTCAGGTATTAGTTGTCCATAAATGTTTGTCTATTTTTGGACTCTCTATTCTGTTTCTTCAGTCTATTTGACCACTTTTACCCCAATTCCCCAATATGGGATTCCTCGGATCACTGCAGCCTTGAAATCACGCTTCAAAGGTAATAGTGTTTGCCCTCCAACATTATTATTCTTTTTTCCACATTGTTTTGGCTATTCCAGGCCCTGCATATTTACATAACAATGTTAGGATATGGTTGCTGATTTCTACAAAAATAAAAGCCTGTAAGAATTTTGATTGTTATTGTGTTGAACCTAGAGATCAATTTGGGAGATTTATATCTTACAACATTGAGTCTCCTAACTCATGAACAAGGTACATTTATCCATTTATTTAAGACTTCTTTAATTTCTCCAAGCCATAATTTGCAGTTTTCACTGTATATATTTTGCACATCTTTTGTCAGATTTATACATAAATATTTTATATGTTTGATGACACTGTAAATGACATTATGTTTTTACTTTATTTTATTTTATTTTTCTGAGACGGAGTCTCGCTCCGTCCCCCAGGCTGGAGTGCAGTGGCGTGATCTCGGTTCACTGCAAGCTCCGCCTCCTGGGTTCATGCCATTCTCCTGCCTCAGCCTCCCGAGTAGCTGGGACTACAGGCACCGGCCACCACACCTGGCTAATATTTTTGTATTTTTAGTAGAGATGGGGTTTCACTGTGTTAGCCAGGATGGTCTCGATCTCCTGACCTCGTGATCTGCCTGCCTCGGCCTCCCAAAGTGCTGGGATTACAGGCGTGAGCCACGGCGCCCGGCCCATTATGTTTTTACTCTCAATTTTTGATCATTTGTTGCTGTTAAGTGTCATTTTTTATATTGCTCTCCTATCCTGCAATGTCTCTAAACTCAACTTATTAATTATATTAGCTTTTTTTGTAGTTGTATCAGCTTTTCTACATGGATGATCATTGCCACTACAAATAAAATAAGTTTTACCTCTCTCTTTTCAATCTGGATTCCTTTTACTTCCTTCGTTTTTGCCTGAGAATCTTCAGTATAATGTTTATAACACATTTTCTTAAAACTCATTAATAAAAAAACAAATAATGAGATAAAAAAGGACAAAAGATTTAAACATTTTACAAAAGTTGATGTGTAAATGATAAAGAAGTATATGAGAAGATGCCTAATATTACTGGTCAATAGGGAAATGCAAATAAATAACAATGAACTTTCGCTACACACCTACTAGCATGACTAAATTTGAAACAACTGAGTTTACTCAGTGCTGGCAAGAATGTAAAGGCACTGTAAGTTGGATAAACCACTGCTGGGAATACAAAGCAGTAACAACCACTTTGGAAAATTTAGTCTTTTAATTAAAGTTAAAATTCACCTATTGTATGATTCAGACATACTGCTTGTAGGTATTTACCAACAAAATAGAAAGATAGGTCATACAAACACTTTTTCATAAATGTTTAGAGCAGTTTTATTTGTAATAGTCCAAAACTAGAAACAATTAAATGTTCATCAACAAGTTATAGAACAAACAGACTAAGATATACCAATACTAAGGAATATTGCTCAGAAAAAAGTAATAAACTATGGATACACAAAAGAAAATGGATAAATCCCAAAAAGAAGAGAAGCCTCACACAAAAGACAGTGCACCTCCTATGATTTTATGAATGTATAATGAATCTACAGTAACAGGAAGCAGTAAAATTGTCTCCTATAGGTGAGAGGGGAATGAAATAGCTGGAAAAAATTTCTTGGTGAGGTAGATATGTTCACCATCACCACAATCAAGGTCACAGACTATCCATCTCTATCTATATCTATATCTATCTATCTATCTATCTATCTATTATCTATCTATCTATCTATCTATCTATCATTTGGCTATCTAGTTTCAGGCTAGATGTATACATATATGGTTTCTTATATGTCAAACATCAAATTATAAACATTAAATATGCACAGTGTTGTTATAAAAATACCTTGGTCATTAGATGATTTAATACAGAATAATACATTGGAGGGATTAGAGCAAACTTGGTCAATGAAGGTATTTCTGTGAGGGAGTAATCATTCTGATGAAACACAAAGCGTGAATCTGACCTGATGTCTCCAGACTCCAGTTTGGCCTCCTGAGCCTCAGACTCACACATCCATTATGTACTAGATAAGTCCATTTTGATGTAACAAATGCATGTATAACTTGTGTTCAAATCTGAACTTGGCATCTTTCCCAGGATACACTTCGGTTTCTCTATACTATCTCAATTGAAGTTAAGTCTATCCTTCCAATTTCTTACATCTTCAGGTTGCTGTAATACAGGTAGGACAGGCAGTAAACGTTACTTGAAGAGGGTTCTCTAAAGAGATAGAGCTAATAGGGTACACGTATATATGATGGGAAGTTTATTATAGGAGAATTGACTCACACGATCATAAGGTGAAGTCCCACAATAGGCCGTCTGCAAGCTGAGGAGCAAGGAAGCCAGTCAAAGTCCCAAAACCTCAAAAGCAGGGAAGTCAATGGTGAAGCCTTCAGTCTGTGGCTGAAGGCCTGAGAGCCCCTGGCAAATGACTGGTGTAAGTCTAAGAGTCCAAAGGCTGAAGGACTTGGAATCTCATGTTTGAGGGCAGGAAGCAACCAGCATGGGAGAAAGATGGAGGCTGGCAGACTCAGCAAGTCTGCTCTTCCATCTGCTGCCTGCTGTATTCTAGCTGTGCTAGCAGCTGATTAGATGATGCCCACCCAGTTTGAGGGTGGGTTTGCCTCTCTCAGCCCACTGATTAAAATGTTAATCTCCTTTGGCAGCACCCTCATGAATACACCCAGAAACAATACTTTGCATCCTTGAACCCAAACGAGTTGACTCTGAATGTTAACCATCACAGGAGGCATGGAGAGGAGAGTTCTTAAGTTATTTTGGGATTTTTTTATTTTGTCTCACCCCACATTGAATCAATTACTAATTTCTGTTTATTCTACTCTGCAATGTTCTTCAAATTTGTAAACTATGCCATTTTCTTCTCCTAGAGTTCAGTAAACCTCCCTTATAATTCCAGCTTCCAAACTGATATACCTGTCTCCTCTTTTTTACTCTCTTCAATCAATTTTGTGCCCTGAAACCACAGTAGTCTTTTCTATAGGGCAAATGTAATTGTCCCCAAAGTCAAAGACAGTGCTTATTATGTGGGGCACTCAATAATTATTTATTTCATGAAAGAATGGATTAGTGTCATTTTCCAGATTATAATTCTTTAGTAGCTTAGCATTGCATGCAGTATAAAACTCAAATTGCTAAGCATAGCCCAGTAGTTCTTTCCATCCTAATATCCCACATCAACCCTGCCTAAAGCCTAATACAATTTTTGAACTTAATGTAGTTCTCTGAATGCACCCACTTTCATTTGTTTCTTGATCCTGTACTTGGGGACTGTAACTATCTGCACTGTGCTTCCTCTCTTCTTTAATGGCTTCCTCAGGTTTCAGGACTCAGCCAAAAACTCTTGGTTAGGAAAATTCCTATGCTTCTATCCATTCCTGAGGCTATTTATCTACCCTTCCTGTGTGTTCTCAGAATATCCCAAAAATAGAGAAGCCATGTCCTGGTGAGTAATAAATAACTGATTACAAAAATTTCCTAGAATGCAGAGACTAAGCCTTCTTAATTGTTCCTTCTGCACTGCACAGCTCTGAACCACAGTGCGTATTCTATTAAAATGATTTGAATAAACGGATTCTATTTATTCATTTTATGATCTCCCTAAAAAGATTGGGAACAAATCTGAATTTGAGACAAAATGCATTTTATATTCATCTACAGAATATAGAATCATTATAGTTATAAATAGAAAGGAGCCAATGGTCTAATTATGAAGGTAAGAACACATAATCTCCAAAATTATATTGAAGTTGATTTGGAATAGATTTCGTTTTGTAGTATTATTCATTCCACTGACTTAAACTGTTATTGGCATATTGATTTCATCATACCTTCATTCATTTATTCATATATTCAATCAGTGTAGTACATATTCCATTAATTACTTAATAATTCTATAGAATAATGATTATAGATTCTGGACCCAAACTACCTGGGTTTACTCCTGGTTTTACCACTAGTATACTGTGTGATCTTGAACATACTGTTTAACCTCTAGGCTTCTAAAATTTATAATGAGGCAAATATTAGGAACAGTAATGCCTCAGGGAATTAAACAAATGGATTTAATAAAAGTTAAGCAACTAGAGAGCCAAGTACTACGTACATATAAAATACTGCTGGCTATTTATTTAACACTTAGGAGCAGCCATTGCCTTTCACGGCTTTCACACTATTTCTCATTGCTTCCATTTATTTCCTATCTGGATATAAAAATGTAGGCACCTAGATGGCTCACAAAACTTGCATAGGACCTTCAGGGAGGCATTTTCAACTGAATGAATTCAAATTCTCTGTATGCACTAGGTGTAGAATGATATAATCAAATGGAAAATGATGTTAGTAGAAAACCTCATTCAGCCTCTTTGTCCATAAAAACCTGTGAATATAATGAATGATGCCTTCACAGCTGAAAATCAGCAGGCATTATAAATACTTACAAAGTAGGTTAAGAAAATGTCTTTCTTCTTATGGGAGCAGCAGTTAAAAGGCCTAATGACGCTAATTATAATAAGTAGCTGCTCAATGTCTCATCAGAAACACTGACCCACAGTCCTAGCAGGTGCTCATTACATGTGGTAAATTTTGCTCTTAATAACCATTTACCCCCTTGTGATGTCTACATATGTAGTAAAGAAAAAAATAACATAATGCATTTTGCTGGAGAAATTCACGAGGCTGTAAAAAAATAATATAAATGCTGTAATAAAATGTTTTCATTTCTCAGGAATGAATACAGGAAGCTAAGTTTTATGTATGCATAGTTTTGAGTCACAAAATGATTTTAAGAGAATGCCATTTTTAGATAAGGTATCGAAAAGGTCCAGCATTCTATAATTTTTAAAACTATGTTAATAAATATTTATTAGAAAAAGGGCATCTTGGAATAAAGTAATATCTTGGTTATTTTTTTTACCTTGTTAATTTATGATTCACATCAGAAATCCCAACTAAAAGGAATGTAGGTGGCTCAATTAAAATTCATCCAGCATAGTACAGGACAAAATAGTGCTTTTAAAAAGTAAAGTAATACATTTACTTGGTTAAAAATAAAAAACTATACAAAACTATACAAAAATAAAAAACCATACAAAGGTTTACAGGAAAATTCTCATTCTCTCCCCTTTCCCCTCCTACTCAATCACCTATAGAGAACATTCTATTCTATAAGGTCTATCACCTATAAGTAACTAATTGTGTTAACACCTATTGTTTCCAAGGAAACATGACCATCCATATGTAATTATAATTTTATTTTTTTCCCACATAAGTTAGCATAAAATATGCATTTATCTGCGTCTTTTTTCTGTTTGTTTGTTTTAGATTCAACAATATGAACCACACAAAATTTCCCGAGTACTATCTATTTGGCTCACCGATTTCACATTGTTCAACCCAGTATCTTGGAGATCTGTTTATACTAATATGTTGAGAATTTTCTTAGTTTTCTTTCCTTTTTGTTTTCAACAGTTACAGAGCATTCCATTATGTAGATATTTCAGAGTTGATTCAATCTGTCCCATATGCATGACCCGTGGGTTGTTACCAATCCTTTGTAATTATAAAAAGGATTAATTAATAAACTCCCAAAGGCATTGATCATATGCATTAATAGCTACAGTATGTATTCTTAAAGGTAAAGTTATTGGTCAATGAGTAAATGTATTTGTAATTTTTATAGAAACAGGTAAGATTATTCTAGGTTTCTTTATTGATTACTAACAAAAGAGTTAAAAAATGAAGCTGCAGCACAGCCTTAGGGGCATCCCTTTGGCCAGAACTTTCATAACTATTATGTAAGTATCTTCTGGATGGAGCTGGAAGTTTTATAGTTTGTGCTTCACTTGGCCCAATATATTGTACGTGCCATAGTTCAGAAGTAGCCAAAACTTCTGATAATTTTTTTTCTACCTACGTGTCTGATGTAAAATGAAACTTCTCTAAGCTACTAAAATATTTTCCTCAGGGAATAGTCTGTAAAGAAATAGAATATTCTTCCTACCCAGGCCACACAGGAACTGGTGCATAAATAAACACTGTCTAAATTTGGTGTTTGGGGACCTGCTTTTAGCAGATGAAGAAAATTAAAAATTAGAATATCTTTGTTTACATGTAAAATGATGCATCAAAATCTGTTAATGATGTTTATCTTTTTAATTTTAAGACAAAGTTATTTTTCCCTAGGTAATGCTGGATTCCTTCCAAATTATCACAAATTCCGACCAAATGGGGTTTAAATTAATAACCTCTCTTCAAGGAGAAGTCAAATCATAAAATACCACCCACACTATTTCCACAGTGACAGCTGAAGGACATCCTCGACTTATAGATTCTATTATATAAGATTCCAAAAGAGCATTTATTGTTATTTGTAATGGAGATTTTTTTTTTTTTTTTTTTGAGACAAAGTCTCGCTCTGTCACCCAGGCTGGACTGCAGTGGCGCAAGCTCTGCCTCCTGGGTTCATGCCATTCCCCTGCCTCAGCCTCCGGAGTAGCTGGGAATACAGGCACCCGCCACCACGCCCGGCTAATTTTTTGTATTTTTAGTAGAGACGGGGTTTCACCATGTTAGCCAGGATGGTCTCGATTGATCTCCTGACCTCGTGATCCGCCCGCCTCGACCTCCCAAAGTGCTGGGATTACAGGCGTGAGCCACCGCGCCTGGCCTTGTAATGGAGATTTTTTTAAGCTAAAAATGGATACGTATTTTATTTAATTTATTTCCTATAGTCTTCTAAAAACAATATATAATATTCAAAGAATACAAAAATTACAGTTGATATGTTTATAAATGAAACAATATAATTCATAAAATATTAGAATAATTTCAGAATCCAAATACTCCAGAAAACAAGTGTTAGTTCTGCTTATACTTCAAGGCCTCAAAACCTAGGCATTTTCCATCTGACTGCTTTATGATTCTTCAGGCACTTAGTTCAGGACAGTGACATTTACATTCAGGTATCCATGTTCTAGGAAGGAGGATAGAGGAAGAACTGAAGAAGAACAGAACAAAACTTGATGCCAGTTGTCTCTTAAAAAAGGTTCTCTTCTAAATTTAAGTTCCTTGCAGATTCTGGATATTAGACTTTGTCTGTTGGGTAGATTGCAAACATTTTCTCCCATTCTGTAGGTTGCTTGTTCACTCTGGTGACAGTTTCTTTTGCTGTGCAGAAGCTCTTAGTTTAATTAGATCCCATTTGTCAACTTTGGCTTTTGTTGCAATTGCTTTTGGTGTTTTAGTCATGAAGTCTTTGCCCATGCCTATGTCCTGAATGGTATTCCCTAGGTTTTCTTCCAGGGTTTTTATGGTTTTCAGTTTTACATTTCAGTCTTTAATCCATCTTGAGTTAATTTTTGTATAAGGTGTAAGGAAGGGGTCTGGTTTCAGTTTTCTGCATATGGCTAGCCAGTTTTCCCAACACCATTTATTAAATAGAGAATCCTTTCCCTATTGTTTGTTTTTGGCAGGTTTGTCGAAGATCAGATGGTTGTAGATGTGTGGTGTTATTTATGAGGTCTCTGTTATGTTCCTTTGGCCTATATATCTGTTTTGGTACTAGTACCACGCTGTTTTGGTTACTGTAGCTTTGTAGTATAGTTTGAAGTTAGGTAGCATGATGTCTCCAGCCTTGGCAAAGGATATGAACAGACACTTCTCAAAAGAAGACATTTATGTGGCCTAAAACATATGGAAAAAAGCTCATCATCACTAGTCATTAGAGAAATGCAAATCAAAACCACAATGAGATGCCATCTCATGCCAGTTAGAATGGCAATTATTAAATAGGAAACAGATGCTGGTGAGGCTGTGGAGAAATAGGAACACTTTTACACTGTTGCTGGGAGTGTAGATTAGTTCAACCGTTGTGGAAGACAGTGTGGTGATTCCTCAAGGATCTTGAACAAGAATTACCATTTGACCCAGCAATCCCATTACTGGGTAAATACCCAAAGGATTGTAAATCATTCTACTATAAAGATACAAGCACAGGTATATTTATTGCAGCCCTATTTACAATAGAACAGACTTGGAACCAACCCAAATGCCCATTAATGATAGACTGGATAAAGAAAATGTGGCACATATACACCATGGAATACTATGCAGCCATAAAAAAGAATGAGTTCACGTCCTTTGCAGGGACATGGATGAAGCTAGAAGCCATCAGTCTCAGCAAAGTAACACAAAAACAGAAAACCAAACACTGCATGGTCTCACTCGTAAGTGGGAGTTGAACAATGAGAACACATGGACACAGGGAAGGGAACATAACACACTGGGGCCTGTCAGGGAGTGGGGGGCAAGAGGAGGGAGAGCATCAGGACAAATACCTAATGCATGCGGGGCTTAAAAACCTAGATAACAGGCTGGTAGGTATAGCAAACCACCATGGCACATACCTATAACAAACCTGCACGTTCTGCACATGTATAGCAGAACTTGAAGTAAAATTTTAAAAATTTTTTAAAAAAGGTTCTCAAATCTACCAATTGGTAGTTTCCATCTGCTTTTCACTGACCTGTCTTAATCACCTGGCCATACTAAGAAAGGGAGCTGGGAAATGTAGGTTTGTTGCCAGGCAGCCAGTTTCCAAGACTGACAATAATAGGGGCAAATTGATAATGGGGGGAAAAACAGCCATTTCTTCCCATATCCTTATCCAGTCCTTAAAAAAATATTCCATACCTGTAGCAATATGTTAGGACAAGCTTTAATACCAGATGATGGCAGCTGAAAGTAGTCATATAATTCTAAACAAAACATGTATATCTTCCAGAATAAAATAGTGTCTGGCTAGCAGCCTCTGAAGTTCTGGCAAAATAGAAAAAGAAGAGAAAAATGAAAACATTTTAAAAGATAGAAACACATGACAGGACCAAAAATTAAAATGTGTGGTCCAATTGTTCGAGTCTGTGAAGACGTTTCATTGACTGAAAAGCTTCACTAGAAGACAGATGGATCAAGCTTAAATACATTTTCTTATTTGATGCCTACCAGTCTGAACTAACCAGGAAATATTGCCTCTATCTGCTCCAGATTTGGAAGATTTAGGGTCTGCTCTTAGCCTCCAAATTTTTAGACTATAATTCCCACAAAAACTAAAAAGTGGGCTTCCCTATGGTACCATGAATATAGGGAAAGGAAGTAAAATCCTATAAAATTCAATGAAAACCTTAGTAAGACCAAAGGCTGGGAATTATTGGTTTTTAATGTGTGCGTGCATGTGTGTCTGATAAGGAGTTAATGTATATACATAAAATTTCCTTAGGGATTTGAAAACTACTCTCGTGTAGGAGTGGGAATAAAGTAGTTGGAAGCCAAAACACTTGTAGGTTTTCATAACTAAAAATGCTCCATTAACGAAAAGTTTTATTGCTGACATAGTGAATTAATTTTAGTGTGGCTTTTGATTAAGAGATGTGTGATCAATTAAAGGTTGAATAAGGATCATCATGGTTATATGATATTGATTTAGATTTTGTATAATGATTAGACAGAATATATTTAAAGTTTATAAAGGAAGGCTGAAAGCAATGAACACATTTATCACCATAATGCTATTTCTTTGTATCTCACAATAGAATGTAAGCTTCTCGATGACAAGAGCAATGGAAGCCAATTTATCTTTGTATCT
Organism: Homo sapiens; assembly: GCF_000001405.40. NCBI lineage: Eukaryota > Metazoa > Chordata > Mammalia > Primates > Hominidae > Homo > Homo sapiens. The sequence goes on along the minus strand of NC_000004.12, from coordinate 43,918,321 downwards.
AAAACACTGGACACATTGAACATGTTCAATTAATGTTTGATTGATGAATACACTTATGAATAAATGAAAAGCAACTGAAAGCAATTATTCATGTCATGCCAGCGCAGAGACATTTTTAATTTGAAAGCGTCAATCTTATTGCACTTTTAATCCCCAACTTTTTTTCTTCTAGATTTCTCACTATGTCACTATCACCAAAATTCTTATCTCTCACCCTTTCCTTTATTTCTATTTATTCATTTCCTTATTATTTATGATAGATCCTATGACTTTTCCATATCCATTATTCTCTCATGCATATCCTATATTCTTTTACTGTCCTTGATTCCAACCTCCTTGCTCTAGGCCCCTGTCCCTGGTACAACCTAATGTGATTGAATCCAGGTACCCTTTCCTGTTTTATCACAGATTAAAGTTGTCAGAGAAAACTCTTCCACTTATATAAATGCATGGTTATAGTTTCCAACTAGAGCCCCACATATCTGCCTATCCAGTATGATAGCAACTGTTCACATGTGGTTATTTAAATGTAAGCTAATTAAATTTAAATGAAATTTAAAAAGTTGTTCAGTTGTGCTGACGACATCTAAAATGCTCCATAGACACATTTGTTTGTTTTTTTAACTTTGATTTTAAGTTCAGAAGTACATAGAAGTACATGTGCAGGATGAGCAGATTTGTTGTTTAGATAAATTGTGTCATGGGTGTTTGTTGCACAGATTATTAATATTTCATCACCCAGATTTTGTGTGTGTGTGGTGTGTGTGTGTGTGTGTGTGTGTGTGTGTGTGTGTGTGTGTCTCCCAGGCTGGAGTGCAGTGGCATGATCTCAGCTCACTGCAACCTCTGCCTCCCAGGTTCAAACGATTCTCCTGCCTCAGCCACCTGAGTAGCTGGGATTACAGGCACCTGCCACACTCGGCTAATTTTTGTACTTTTAGTAGAGACGAGGTTTCACCATGTTGGCCAGGCTGGTCTTGAACTCCTGACCTGAGGTCATCCACCCGCCTTGGTCTTCCAAAGAGTTGGGATTACAGGCGTGAGCCACAACACCCAGCCCATCACCCAGATATTAAACCCAGTATCCTCCAATTATTTTTCCTGATCCTTTCCCTAATCCCATCCTCCACCCTCTAGTAGGCCCCAGTGTGTGTTTCCCCTCTATGTGTCCTTGTGTTCTCATCATTTAACTCCCACTTATAAGTAAGAACCTGTGGTATTTTGTTGTTTGTTCCTGCATTACTTTGCTAAAGATAATAGCCTCTAGCTCCATCCATGTCCCTGAAAAGGACATGATCTCATTCCTTTTTATGACTGTATAGTATTCCATGGTGTGCATGTACCACATTTTCTTTATCCAGTCTATTATTGGGCATTTAGGTTGATTCCATGTCTCTGTTATTGTGAATAGTGCTGCAGTGAACATATACATGCATGTGTCTTTATAGTAGAACACTTTATATTCCTTTGGGTATATACCCAGTAATAGGCTCACTGGGTCAAATGGCATTTCTGTCTCTAGGCCTTTGAGGAATCACCACACTGTTTTACACAATGGTTTACCTAGTTTACACTACCACTAACAGTGTAAAAGCATTCCTTTTTCTCCACAACCTCACAAGCATGTGTTATTTTTTGACTTTTTAATAATAGCCATTCTGACTGGTGTGAGATAGTATCTTACTGTGGTTCTGATTCGTATTTATCTAATGATCAGTGAGGTGGAACTTTTTCTCATGTTTGTTGGCCATATGTATGTCTTCTTTTGACATGTATGTCTTCTTCTTGTCCCTTGCCCATTTTTTTTCTGAAGCAGAAAATATTTATTGCATTGTATAATAATAATAATCTTCACTTAGGACAATTTAAGGTGTTAAAATGTGTTACCAGGAGAATTCGTAATGGAAAATATGAGGAAAATACAAATTTTAGTTTAATATGAGACATCACTGCTTGGAAATATCTGTTCAGGACAGAATTCAAAATGCAATGTTTATAGATGCTGGATACTATACTTTTGTCAGATGCATAGTCTGCAAAAATTTTCTCCCATTCTTTAGGTTGTCTGTTTACTCTGTTGATAGCTTCTTTTGCTGTGCAGAAGTTCTCAAGTTTAATTAGATCCATTTGCCAGTTTTTGCTTTTGTTGCAATTGCTTTTGGCATCTTTGTCAAGAAATCTTTGTGCCTATGTCCTGAATGGTGTTGCCTAAGTTTTCTTCTAGGGTTTTTATAATTTTGGGTTTTATATTTGTCTTTAATTCATCTTGAGTTGATTTTTGCTTATGGTGTAAGGAAGGGGTCCAGTTTCACTTTTCGGCATATGGCTAGCCTATATTATCAGCACCATTTACTAAATAGGGAATCCTTTCCTCACTGCTTGTTTTTGTTAGGTTTGTCAAAGATGGGATAGTTGTAAGTGTGTGGTTTTATTTCTGTGTTCTCTACTCTGTTCCACTGGTCTATGTTTCTTTTCTTGTACCAGTACCATGCTGTTCTGGATACTGTAGCCCTGTAGTATAGTTTGAAGTCAGGTAGCATTGCCTTGGCTATTTGGGCTCTTTTTTGATTCCATATGAATTTCACAATGGTTTTTTTTTTTTGTAGTTCTGTGAAGAATGTCAATGGTAGTGTAAAGGGAATAGCATTGAATCTATAAATTGCTTTAGGCATTATAGACATTTTTACAATATTGATTATATGTATCCATGAGCATAGGATGTTTTTCCATTTGTTTCTGCTATCTCTGATTTCTTTGAGCCGTGGTTTATAATTCTTCTTGTAGAGATCCTTCACTTCCCTTGTTAGCTATATTCCTAGGTATTTTATTCCTTTTGTGGCAATTGTGAATGGGAGTTCTCGGCTTGCTTATTGTTGGTGTATAGGAATGCTAGCAATTTTTGCACATTGATTTTGTATCCCGAGACTTTGCTGAAGTTGCTTGTCAGCTTAATAAGCTTTGGGGCTGAGATGGTGGAATTTTCTAGATACAGGATCATGTCATCTGCAAGCAAAAATAGTTTGGCTCCCTCTCTTCCTATTTGAATATGCTTTATTTCTTTATCATGCCTGATTGCCCTGGCCAGAACTTCTAATACTATGTTGAATAGGAGTGGTGAGAGAAGACATCCTTGTTTTGTGCTGTTTTTTTCAAGGGGAATGCTTCCAACTTTTGCCCTTTCAGTATGATATTGGCTGTGGGTTTGTCATATATGACTTTTATTATTTTGAGGTATGTTCCTTTAATACCTGGTTTATTGAGAGTTTTAACATGAAACGTTGTTGAATTTTATTGAAAGCCTTTTCTGCATCTTTTGAGATAATCATGTAGTTTTTGTCTTCAGCTCTGTTTATGTGATGAATCATATTTATTGATTTGTCTATGTTAAACCAAACTTGTATCCCAGGGAGGAAGCCTACTTGATCATGGTGGATTAGCTTTGTGATGTGCTGCTGGATTCATTTGCCAGTAATTTGTTGAGGATTTTTGCATCAATGTTCATCAAGGATATTGGCCTGAAGATTTTGTTGTTATTGTTTTAAGTTTGCCAGGTTTTGGTTTCAAGATGATGCTAGCCCCATAGAATGAGTTAGAGAGCAGTCCCTCCTTTTTAATTTTTTGGAATAGTTTCATTAAGAATGGTACCAGCTCTTTGTACATCTGGTAGAATTCAGCTGTGAATTCATCTGGTCCTGGTTTACACAATGGTTTGATTGGTAGGCTATTCATTACTGCCTCAATTTCAGAAATCATTATTGGTCTGTTCAGGGGTTCAATTTCTTCCTGGTTCGGTCTTAAGAGGGTGTATGTGTCCAGAATTTATCCATTTATTCTAGATTTTCTAGTTTATGTGCATATAAGTGTTTATAATATTCTCTGATGGTTATATTTATGTGGGGGCTCAGTGGTACACAATTGTTTGGGCAGCACTGATATAAAATTTTTCCATCACTATGGAAAGTTCATTTTGAAAACACTACTGTGTCCCATTCAGCATTTTTTTCTATGTGTCATGCTTTCTCATTCTGTCTTCCGTGTTTATTATAAATATTCTCCATTATTTCCTAACAGTCAATGTAATCTCTGCTGCCACACTCTGAGGAAAATCTTTTTTATCCTTTCTAGAAAAATAGAGGAGAGTATCCTGAGTAAAATTCCTTCTCTTCCTGTCTCAAACCTACAAACTTAAGTGCATGCAAAGCTAGCAACTCCTTTCATCTCAAGTTCCTTTCAGTGCTGCTATTTTTAATTTCCATATTTTCCTTTCTTAGTAGGGAACTGACACTATAAACATTTTCCATTTCTCTTCTTTACCTCAAATACTTCTCTTTGTATTGACTCATTTAAGTAATAATTACATTTTTTAAGTTTCTCCTTTTTTTATAGAAATAAGACAAATTTGTTTTTGATCTCACATGTACTCTTGTATTCTCCCTCTTTTTTCAAAGCGTTATTCATTCTACTTCCTGAGGGTGTAGTATTACACACCTCTATCTATCTCTCTGTACAAAATCTATCTGTTCCAAATCTGTCTCTATGAAAGTGACTAAATTCCCTGGCCATTAAATTCAATAGGCACTTTTCGGTCCTTACCTTACTTAACCTATACTAAATAAATATTTTCCCATTTTTCTCATTCTTCAAATGTTTTATTTTTATTGATTCCACTGCTCCAGAGTTATAAAATTGTAACCTAATCTCAATTATAACCTAATCTCAGTACCATCAAGCACTGTGAAGAGAGAAAACTCATATTTCTTAAACTTTATAGTATTCCTTACACTTCACACAGCTCCTAGTGCATGGAGAGCACTCTATAAATATATTTTTAATTCTAAAGCTGAAGATATACCCCTTTGTACATAAACATTTTTTAGAAATTTTTAGAGGGGTCTCCTGAATAATCACTTAACAATGAGCTAGATTTTAGAATGACCATGGAAACATTATTGGATGTGAGATTTTCTTGATGAAGACATAGATTTTATCTACTTAACGCCTCTTGCTTTGGGAGAGAAAAGGACTGGAAGTAAAGCATTTCACCTGATCTTTAATATTAATAATATAGTCTACTCTTCTTCTCTGGCAAACAAACTGATAATGATTCTCTATCTTCCTTAACCAGAAACTGATTAAAGCTTAATTTAGAGTCTATTTGTCAAACTGTTTTAGTCACTTCTAGTTGATAAAATACAGTAAGAAGTAAGAATTTTACTGCAAAGAATTTACAATATAGAGTAAGAGATTTCTAATGGATACACAAAAAAATACTTGTATGAGATAATGACAATTACTGATGACTCCTGTGGAGAGGATGAAATAAAATGTTGTTCACAGTGACTATGAGTTGGTGGCCAGGAAAAGGTTCTATAAGGAGATATCATTTGAACTGACCCTTGGAGTAGGAAAGAGGCAGCATTGTAGAAACAGCTTGAGAAACAGACACTAGGTCTATGATACTTTGTTATAGCAGTCTGAACTGACTAAGACAAATAAGACTTCTGAGGGTGTCCAGTGGAGCTGTATTAAACTCTAATTTATAGTTCTGAACTATCATGTTGGTTCACATTTGAGGAGACAATAATGGTAGCAGGGAGGCCAACAGATAGAATATTTTTATGTTATATATAAGAAAAGATGTGACTTGAACTATGAATTTAATGGGTGAGATTTTGAATAATTAATGTTTTTTAGAGGTATAAATTGAGCAAAAGTGCTTTACTGAGCACCATTACGAGAAGAATTTAAAAAATCAAATATAAGTCAGCTGGATAAACGTTGGTGTCATTTACTGAAACATGGAAGGCTTAGGTGGGAAATAATTTCAATGAGAATAGATTAAGACCTTTATTTTCATTATTTAATTAGAGATGATTATTGAGCATTAAAATGGAGTATCCAGGTAGGCAATAGCAATTTTATATATAATACATATACAGATTTATACACATATATGTACACACACAAATATGTATATAACACTTATATATTATTTATATATGTTTGATTCCTACATATTTCCTACAACATATCTTTAGCCAGGAAAGCTATGATTATTCACATGTATGTTTTTTGGGGGAGGGTCGGGTTGGCAATATCATTTAAGGATCATATTTGAAGCTGTTGCATCAGGTAAAGTAATTAACATATAAATTGTAAATAAAGGAAGAACAACCAATATAATCCCCTACTTACTATAATATTTAGAGGCCTATTAAGGACAAAAAGCTGACAGTGAAAAGTCAAGCATGAGTAGGCAATCCGTGAAAAAGTGATATTCTAAAACTCAAGAGAAGAAAGTATTTAGGTGAGGAAATTGTCATCTATAACAAATGTTGAAGACGGTTTGGAGTAAAATGAGCCAGAAAATTGGCTTTTGGCTTTTGCAAAAATGTATGAGATATAGTACAAAAAAAAAAAGGAAACATGGAATTGCCTCTCACATTATAGTAAGAAGGAAGACAGTGTATGGTACAGATGTCAATGGCTTGTTTAAATTAACGGTGAGAAGAAGTCATCTCACTTGATGCCTATTTCTTTTCTAGGAAATATAGAAAAGAGCATTAACTGAGATTTAGAAGAGCAAGACAGAATAAGACATTGTATAAATAATAGTCATAGATTATAGGAAAATACATATTTAAGGAAAGTGCAGTGGTATCTTCTGGTAGTGTAGAAAATTTAGTATTTCTGGACATAATTAGAAGAGATTTCAGTCAAAACTTCTTTATATTTTTCTACAGCAACTTTGGCTTGACAGCAGTGAGATTCCTAGATTTAACCAGGGTTGGAATTTTGTCAGGTGAGAAAGAAACGAGGGATAAAGAAATAGTTATAGGTGTTTGCAAAGGAATGACTATAAAACAGGACCATCGGAATTGGGCTGGGTTTGAAAGAAATTGACATAAGAAGGTAATGTCTACTGTAAATGTCATTGTGTCTCTAATCATCAGAGTAAAATACTAGGGCAGTGATACGAAGGATGGAGATAATGACTATAAAATGTCATGTTTCAAAATGAGACTTAGATACATTTACGGGGGATAACAGTAGAGGTAGTTAGATGGTTCAGTGAAGAGATCAACAAACTGAGTTATGTTTAATGGATCATTGATGGACCTTGATGTTTAAATCACCATACAGAAGTTAATCTGAGTACTAAGCGAGTTGAAGGCCAGTGATCTAGGTGTGGGGGTCCTTAGTGAAAGATGGAGAGGAAATGGGAAGGCAGGAGATGCCTGCACTCAGGAAAAGAAGTGGCTTACTTAGGTTGGGATTGGGGAAGCCTCTGCTGAATTTCTTCCTCAACCTGATAAATGTGGATCTCAGACTTTCTAAAAGAGATGAATGCTAACACCCATGTCTGTAACTACTTGCAATCTGATTTTACAATTTACCAAAACACATAGAATTTAAGATAAATAAAAGTTAGCAGTTAACTGTTTTTTAACCTGAAAGTATGTAAACACTGGTACGGCTCATAATTCAGATACTACTGTCTTGTTTTTTTTTTGTTGTTGTTAAGTGATTATTACACAGGCATTACTCTGATTTCAACTCTCATTAAAAAGGTATCTTAACTATATAAATGTGTAAGGTTAGCGGAGAGAAAGGACGAGTAGAACCAAAGTCAGGCAAGCAAGTTTTATTGTCCTGCTGGGCTGCTCCTTGATAGGCAGAGGAGGTAGCCTTGCTTACAGACTACAGCAGGGCTTTATAGGGTGAGGAACTGGGTCGGGGTGTGGGGACTGAGTTGGGGATACAGATGTCCTAACTGCATCCTGGAGATGTTTTTTTGCCAGCTTTGTTATGCAAGGTAGGCAGGTGTTCTGACCGCATCCTGGGACCATCTGCCACTTCAGCTGAAGTATTTTGAACAAACAGTTACTGGAAAGGTCAGTGTGTAGGGGGTCTACTTCTAGCCTCGGGAGAGCTGTGTGGGGTGTCACAAAGGTTTGTATTGGAAGACTTATGGGAAAGGAGGCGAACAGTCTAGTTGGATTGACCCTAACAAAATGTACCTCTCTGTCTTGGTAGAGATCATGAAACATTAAAGTATATTTTTAATAGTTAAGGATGTTGCAGTGCCGGCTATCATGATTCAGAACATAACTTTATTAATATGGATGTGTGTCATAATAAATCTGAATCAATATAACTTCAGAATTGTTTTCCTCAAAATATATGCCTTTATTGATTTTAAAAGCCCAGAATAACTTGTTCTTATCATTTGGGTGACCTTACACAAAACCCTACATTATTGAGCACCCTGTGAATCTTTTAAATACATTGTCTTTAAAAACAGAAGCTTTAAAAAGAGAAGTCTTTTTAAAAACGTGTGTAAACTACCTAAATTTTGAGTGCCTTCTATTAAAATATACCTGTCACAGCAAATAATGATGAAAAGTTATTTTAACTGTAATATTACGTTTTGTTTCTAAGCAAATAAAGTAATCCAATATTTTATTTTGATATACTAGCAAAATAACTTTAGTTTTAATTCTGAAGGACGCTAGTAGTACTACTGTGTTGCCATTGTTATGGGCATAAGGAACATTTATCTAAATAAGGCAGAAGAAAACAGAAAAATACATGACAGGTTGGCAAACATTTTCCCTTAAAATGTAGAAACTGTACTCAGTTTGGCTGCTTCGACCATTAGATTAAAATATGTATATATACATATATGTGTGTATATATATAACGTGTTTCCAATATGTTCAATTTTCATACACTTTCATTTCTTGAGTTTCTCTATATTTAAACATCTCACTGAATTGACACCATAGTAGCACCTTATATTGTAACTTTTTCTTTCTTTCCTTCCTTCCTTCCTTCCTTCCTTCCTTCCTTCCTTCCTTCTTTCTTTCTTTCTGTCTCTCTTCCTTCCTTTCTTTCTTTCTTTCTTCTTTTCTTTTTTCTTTTTTTATGAAATCTTGCTCTGTTGTCCAGTCTGGAGTGCAGTGGCACAACCTCGGCTCACTGCAACCTCTGCCTCCCCAGTTCAAGCAATTCTCCTGCCTCACCCTCCTTAGTAACTGGGACTACAGGAACATTTTTTGTGTTTTTAGTAGAGACAGGGTTTCACGTGTTAGTCAGGATGGTCTCCATCTCCTGACCTCATGATCCGCCCAACTCGGCCTCCCAAAGTGCTCCGATTACAGGCATGAGCCACCGCACCTGGCGGTAACTGCATTTCTTAGTAACTTACCTTTTCATTGGAAAATGTTCAAAATTTTGGTTTGTAAAAAACTTCATGTTGATTGATTTTTCTTCTCATAATATGAAGTTGAACAGAATAAACCTATGAAATCTTTTCCCTGAAGAGTTAAGTTCACTGTTATATTTTTTAACTGATCTGTTTGATATGCATAAAATAAGAGCTTTCTAAAATTAATTGAATTTTCCATTGAAAGTAAAAATTAATTTACTTTATTTTTAAACCTACCTTTTAAATCACACTCACATATTGAACACTGCAATGTGTCAAGCTGTATATCAAACACATTACATATTTGTAAATGTGTTCTTTGTGGTTATTCTAAACCAATATAAATTTTGCAGTTTCCCATTGACAACATATATTAATAGATATGTTGTATATCAGAGAGAAAATGTCATGAGTATCTTTTAAAATATTTGAAAGTAATTTATTTTCATTAAAGCAAACAGTATAAACTAGACAAATTAGAATATTATTGTGTCCTAAAAAATAACAGTTAGTTATTAATTCAATTAATAAGAATGCCTCAGTAACAGTGTAGAGTGACTACTGAATATGTAAGTAACTAAAAAAAGAAATAATAAAAGTGGTGAATATATTACATGCCACATACTTCCTTGTTAACTTTGGCATTGTTCTCTTGATAATTTTTACTTCAGATGTATTCCAATACATATTAGAGTCTAATCAAATATTTAACTTTCACCAAATTTAGAAAGTATACATCTCAAAAAGAGACATTAATACCACCCAAGTGGTTAAGTCTTAATTCCCTGAAATGGATAAATTGAGAATGAATATAATGCTCATGGAAATCTTAAGTCAAGTAGCATAAAATTTCAAATCAAAAACACATAAGAAGTATACACATAAATACAAGGGTTGATAAGGCATTGATTTTTTTCTGGGACAATCTCATGTGTCTTTACATGGGCCTACAAGGGCTGTATAGTGTATCGATTAAGCCCCTGCCTTTCTCTGAACCCCATCCCTATCTCTACTGTCAACTATTTCATCTCCTGAAGCAGAAGATGAATGAATGAAGCAAAGATTTTACCTCCGATTTTTTTTCATCCAAAATCAAGAAGAGCTGCTTCAACAAAACATTTGCTAATGCCTCTTTTCTTGATTTTTTGAATTCACTGGATTTTTGATTTTGAAACTCCCTAATTTTTAACATTATATTTTATGTATAGTACATGCTTATTATTAATGGATTGCATATTTTCAAATTTACCAACTCACTAAAATGTAATTGTAACCGCCAAATCCATCCTCCTAGTGCTCTTGTGGACATTACAAACATGCCAGTTGAGTTGCAGTGAAACAGTTGAGTTGTCAATGCTCATGTTTCCAGCTGAGGTTGAACAAGGCCATGCTGTCTTCCTGTTTCAGTTCTCACACTGTAGAAAAAATTCCTTTTTGTGTTATATATAGTGCCATGTTTTTTTCCACAATTTTGTGCTTTGTGTTGTTGATTTCGCCCCAAGCACAGTGCTGAAGTGTTGCCTAGAAGTCTAGAAATCCAAGAAGGTGAGGCTAGTGAAAGTGGAAAATTTCCCTTGTACCCTCGCAGGGCATGCAATGGGGGTGTGGCTCGCTTCTTCAGTGCTCCGTTGCTCGAATCTCTAAGGAAGCATACAGACAGGCAGGCTGTGGGGCTCCGACCCAACGGCCGTGGCTAGGGGTGAATATTTAAAGCTGAAGCCTCAGTGGGTGTGTGTTACAGGGTGCTCTTTTAGTTTAGCTGTCCATAGGCAGCTTGTGTTACACAACCCAATTAGACCCCTGCCTTATAGCAAAGACAGAGTCCTTTCTGTATCCCAGTGCTCTTGCCTTGGTGTACTTAAATAATTGGATCACACGTGGGCTTAGAGAATGAGTGCAAGGTTTTATTGAGTAGAAGTAGCTCTCAGCAGATGGGGGAGCCAGAAGGGAGATGATTTTCCTCTGGAGTTGGGCCACTCAGTGGCCTGGGCTCTCCTCCGGCTGCTCTGGCCAAACTCTGCCTTATTCCACAGGTCGATGGCCTGCAGGCATAATGGCATCTGTTGTGTGTTCTTCTGCTGGCATGCTACCCTTGATGTACAGCTGCTTGTGTCTTCTTCCACTGATCTGCTTCTCTCAACATCCAGCCGTTTGTGTGTGTGCCCCCTAGGGTCTCAGGTTTTTATAGGAAAAGGATGGGGGCATGGTGGGCCAGAGTGGTCTTGGGAAATGCAACATTTGGGCATGAAGGCAGGAGTGCCTATCCTCACCTAGGTCCATGGGCACAGGCCTAGGGTGGAGCCCTCACCAGGGGCCTCCCTTTCTCCTCCCCACCCTTCTCTGCCCCTCTTGCTTATCATTTCTTCCCTCTGATAAAGTATATCTAATTGCTGTTAGACTATGGACAATGACTGGTCTTAGCTGCTTGCTATTGACAGGGGGCATTATTTTGGGGAAAACAGCAGTCAGACTCCTCCCAGAGGTCTATCTAAGGGTTCCTAGCAAAGGGGGGCCATCGTCCGAGGCTTGGGTTGCCTTTTCGGAGTTTGATGCTTCTTAGGCATGAGAGAAAAAAAGTTTCATAAGGTTAAGTTTGCGTCATAAGGTTAAGTTGCATGTGTATTATATGAGGAAAGAATTTAGTACCAAAGATTACAGAGATAAGAAGTAAAATATACTAACAACATTGTACCCTGAGCTGTCTCACCCTAGTGAAATAAATTAAACCTTGTATGGGAGCAGTTAAACTTTAGAAGAGAGATAACTATTCTTGCCATATCTTTAGCAGTTAATAGGAGTACCCTGGGAATTTGGGGGTTTGTGGGCTTGCACAGTGGCCATTAAAGCTCCTGTCTTTTTCTTGTGTCTCCTTGTCCCTATTGTAGAAAGCCGAGGTGGCCACTTTCAGGAGGTCCTCTAATGTACTATCTGGTCCCAGGGCCCACTTCTGCAACTTCCTCCTGATGTCAGGAGTTGCCTGAGTAATAAATTTATCCTTTAGGATTAGCTATCCCTCAGCTGAATCAGGAGATAGAGAGGTATGCTTTACTAACACCTGTCTTTGCCTTTCTAGGAAGGCAGTGGGATTTTCATCAAATCCCTGGTTGATAATGGACAACTTAGTATAACTGAGAGGCTTGGTCTTAGCCCTAGGTAAGCCCTCCATAATGTACACCTGAAAGCGTCTCCTTTTCCAGTCTTCCATCTCGTCATTTGGATCCCATTTAGGGTCATTCATTGGTATTGTTTCTCTTCTAGTTGGATACTAATTGCCCCCCTTCCTGATGCTCCATGTGATACAAAGCTCATCCCCAAATCTGTCTCCTGCTTGCAGAGCAGCCGGTTTCTCTCTGTCTGTCAGGGTCTGATTCAAAAGTAACGTAACCTCTCTCCAGGATAGTTCAAATATTTGGGTAAAATTCTGGAAAACCTCTATATATCAGGGTCATCTGAAAACTTTCCAAGATCCCCCTTAATTTGCTTTAAGTCCTGTAGGGAGGAGGGGACCTGGACTTTACTGGGCCCAGATTCACTGGGCATCTGTTGGAGGGGCAAGAGTGAGATTGGGGCTTGTTTGGGGTGAGGTTTTCTAGAAGGGAGCAAGTGAGAGGCTGAAGCTGGATAGGGAGGTCGGGGTGGACATGGAGGAGCAGGACTGGAGGGAGATGGCTCCTCTGCTGAGAATGCCTCTGGGATTTGTATCTTTAATTCACTGGGCTTGCCCCTTGCAGCCTTCCCTGAGACAACAAACAGGAGGGCTGGATCAACCCTACATTGTCGGCAAAGGGCTGAATTGCCTTGCAAGGTATAGAAAGCCTGCACATATGGGCCTCAGACCATCTGTCTTCATGTCTACAGAAAAGTTCCAATTGCTGGATGATATCAAAATGGATGGTTCTTTCCTGAGGGCAAGCCAGTTCTTCCAGTAAATCATAATTTGGCCAAATCTTTGTGCAGAGGGCTATGAGGTGCTTTTCCTTCAGATTCGGAGGGTCAAAGCAGTCCTAATAGTTCAGGATACACTCCAGAGGAGTGTAAGCTGAGGGTGGTGAAGAGAACTGGTGGCCCATTCTGAAAGACAGGGAATAGACGTGTCCCTCACTCCCTTCCTTCTTTCAGTGAAAAACTCAGGATGTGATGGAGAGAGAAAGCGAGCATCCTCCCTTCACCTTCTACCTCTTGTCCGTGAGCCCCGGTGACCTTGGCAGGTGCCAGCCATAGGTACCAATGCAGTATGTACCCATGAAGCAGGGAAAATCTGGAGAATAGGAATCAACCACCCTCACCCATGCTTCCCTTTCTCCCTGCTAAGCAAATCTTGAGTTCCCTGAGCCTGTTTATGCCATGAAGCATGGCCTCCTTCCATGTGGTGGGGTTCAGTTGGCAGGAATTTGTCCTGCTCATTTACATTGTGCCTGTTGTCTGGCTTTGGATCCCTCAGACCTGGTTTTTCTTTCTAGGGCCTCTGCCTGAAGCTTGGAATCAAGTTTGGGAAGGAAAAGGTATTTCAGAGGCCCTTTGTGTCTGTGTAGTGTCTCAAATGTGCCCTGCTGAGTTTGCAGTTCTCAGCCAGCAAGGGTCGTTCATCCATTAACTGCCCTATCAGAAACAGAGCTGGGAGGGAGAGCCTTCTCACTTAAAAAAAGGAAAAAAAAAAGAGAGAGAGAGAAAGAAAAATAGTTAAAGGGGCAAAAATCAGGGGATTCTGGGGGAATCTTTTGCTTAGTGCAAGTAAGCCCCTCTAATCCTTATAACTTTCCCATCCTTCCCCTAGTTCAGACCAGGTTGAATTCTTTGGCCAAGGAAGGAAAGGTTCCATTGGCACAGCCAAGAAGCACCCTGTAGGGTCCTGGCTACTGCCTTGGCTTTCTCCCTCCCCCCTTGCGGCTGTTTGGCTGGACCTTTGCCTGCCTTGGGCACGCCCAGACACCCAAGCTGGGAGGGGGAAGGATAAGGAGAGGTGCCCTGAGCTGTATGTGCCTGCAGCTGTCAGTCGAGAAAGAGACATACATGGCACTTCTAGGAACAGCTGATCTGATTTGCACCTTTGGTGGCTGAGCAAATTGCTCATTTTACTTAGTAACGTTGCCTCAGCTGGTAGCCAAACTCTTAATGTTATAAAGAAAGAGATAAGAGCCATTCCAAACTGCGAGAGAAAAGAGACGAAATTGGGGGTTTTGACCGGCCCAGTGAGGGCAGTTTAAAACTCCGTGAAGGGAAACAGAGCCTCTTACCTGCAGAAAAGAGAGAGAGGCAGCAGGGTTTGGGAAGAGAGGCAGACCCAACAGTTTTGCATTGCTCACACTCATCTACAGAGATCCCGAACAAGCCTCCAGTTGAAACAGAAGTTCTCTTTTCCCTTATCCCCCTTGCAGGGCATGCGATGGTGGTGTGACTCACTTCTTCAGTGCCCTTCTGCTCAAATCTCTAGGGGAGCATACGGATGGGCAGGCTGTGGGGCTCTGACTCCACAGCAGTGTCTAGGGGTGAATGTTTAGAGCTGAAGCCCCAATGGGTGTGTGTTACAGGGTGCTCATTTAGTTTAGCCATCCATAGGTGGCTTGTGTTAGTCAGCTCAATTAGAGCCCTTTTTTATCACAAGGACAGAGGGCCTTCTGTATCCCAGGGTTCTTGCTTTGGTGTACCGGAAGAATCAGATCACATGTGGGCTTGGAGAATGAGTGCAAGGTTTTATTGAGTAGAAGTAGCTCTCAGCAGATGGGGGAGCCAGAAGGGAGATGATATTCCCCTGGAGTCAGGTTGCTTGGCAGCCTGGACTCTCCTCTGACTGCCCTGGCCAAACTCTGCCTCCTTCCACTGGTCAATGGCCTGCCAATGTGCCAGCATCTGTTGTGTGCTCTTCTTCCGGCATGCTCCCCTTGATGTTCTCTCTTGATGTCCAGCCACTTGTGTCTTCCTCCACCGATCCGCTCTTCTAAATGTCCAGCCGCTTGAGTGTGTGCATGCTAGGGTCTCGAGTTTTTATAGGAACGGGATGGGGGCATAGTGGACCAGGGTGTTCTTGGGAAATGTAACATTTGAGTGGGAAGGCAGGAGTGCCTGTCTTCACCTACATTTGTGATGGGGTGGAGCCCTCGCCATGGACCCACCTTCTCCTCCCAGCACTTCCCTGCCCCTCTTCCATATCACTAGGACTTCTTGAGAAAATAAGTGTGTTAGATATATGAGTTATATTGCTGCTGGTTGTGAGTTCAATTTTAATTAATCAAAATATATATTAAATAAGATGTCTAAACAGAGACACACATAAAACCAAGCTATGTATTGATCAGTTAACAAAACTGTTGTGAACAGAGGCTCACAGGAAGCTAACCCTATATTTTCCCTAGGAGAAATAATTCAGTACATGCTAATTTAGCATTTATGATGACTTTATAAAATATAACTACCAAGAATAACAAGAATCAACTGTATATTATTTTATATATAACTATCTATATATGATACTTCTATTTACTTGACTTTCTAATTCTTTTTAAGTAATTAGTTCTTATGTCTTGTCTACTATCAATTACTTTAATCATTTAATGTATTTGTTATTTTATTGTTGTGATTTTCTCTCATTGTTATAAATATTTTTATATTTAAATTTGTATCTATTTAGAATATTTTATGCAATGTCTGGTCTCTTTGTCTAGTCTTCATAGGAAGAAACTCCACTGACAGCTAACCCCATCTGATTTTCATATGGAGCCAGAGTCCATGGGTAAAACAATAATATGCCGTGTCTACAATCAGGTTCCAGTTATATACAGCTATGTGTACTGAATTTGAAGACCAGGGGATAGATCCTAAAGGAAACTACTGAACAATGAAGTTCATAACACAAAAAGTGCCAAAAGTGAGGAAAGATGTGCCTGATCTTTAGTATATTTATGGTGTAAGAGACCAGAGAATTTAAATAGAGTGTAGATATTTACTTAAATCAACTCCAACTCAAGCTTCTGTCAAAGAACATTCCTATGTGGCCTACAAAAGAGATGTGTGTGAAGTAAAATGGAAAGAATGGAGATTTTAGAGGTTCTTGAAATTCTTTGGTGAGACCCTCCTAGTGCCATGTAATAAAATGGTAAGAACTAAATCACTAGGGTGCATCAGTTTGTTAGGCGCCTGCTGTGAAGCACTTTAGATCCTCATGCAGCCTCCTTTTGTTCTAACCACCACCACCATGATCAGCCTATTCTTGGCACTGATCAGCACCAAGAAGGTGCATCTGACAATACCTCAGCCCTTTACTTCCCACTCCAGACTTTCTTTTGATGTTTTTAAAAGAAAAGCAAGAGCCTGACAGTAGTAAAGTGGTGAAAACATATTTTTCTATTGCAGCAGGGGAAAAGAGACCTCATTATAAAACTGGGCTCAATTCTGAATGCAGCATGGACAAGTGGGGATTTATAGCCAATAAGCAGACTGGGGGTCAGGGGATAGAAAGTTACTAAGTGGAAACATCAGGAAAATTTCTAGCTAAACCGATCTAACATAATGCTTGCTGAAGGCAAGTGAGGGTAATTAGGTATCACCTGGGGGATGCTGGAGGATGAGAAACCCAGTAAGATACTGAGAGTGATCAGATATTAATGGTGCGGGGGTTCTTACTAAACTGACTTAGCAGAATTCTTCCTCTTGAGTATAAGGCCCAACGACAGAGACTAGTCAAAGCAGGGATGAGAGAAGCCTGGCTAGAGTTTGGAGAGAGTCATTGTCAATATAAATTTTCAGGACACCTTGGGACCCTGTTTAGCACCCATGTTTTTCAACCCAGAAATATGGGGAGACATAGCAGTCTGTCTGTGGGCTTAGCATTTCACCAATGAGAAACAGGAGCTGATGGGTATATTTACCATTCCATTTCTCCACACCTTCCATCACTGGACTATTCTGATATATAGATTGTGTACTATATTGACTTCTCAGAAGAAGATCCAAAGTGGCTAAGAATCAGTCATCCCTAATGGCCTCAAATCGGCTCTCTGTCTTTGCCTGTGATTTTCTTTGTCCTCACGTTTGCTTCCTTGGATTGAACACCTAATGAAGTAGTAGCAAATAAAATATTTGCCTGAGAGTTGGCTTTCTAAGAATCACAGGTAAGATACTCAGTTCGAACTTTTGTTGTTGCTGTCGCAAGTTGCAGAACATTCAAACCAGAAATGCCTGGTGGTATGCAAGTTTTAGAAATGACTCAATTCAGGGCAGAAACATTATCAGCAGGATGTGATTTCTATCCAATTCTTGCTTGTTTTGCAATGTCTTGTCTTTATTCTGAAGCTTCGTTTAACAACAAAATGATAGTGTTTATGTAGTTCTTGAATTCCAGGTCTCAGAGCAAAATTAAGTGACCTTTTCACATAACATACTGCCAATGTATTTTTAATGTAATTGTCCTGATTGAGTCATATTTCTACCAAATTACCAAACACTTTTGTAATATTAGCTTAAGATATGTTCTCATTCCTTGCATTAGAGATGGTGTCAGCTTGACTTGAACTTTAATGGCCTGAAAGTGAGAGCAATGGTGTTTCACCAGAGGGAAATTGAAGTTTGGTCGTAAGAAGAGGTCTGAGTGGCTGCTGCAAAGTCAACATTTGTTATCCACATAGGACACAAGCTGTTGTGTTATAAAATACCATCAGAGATAGAATAAGCATTTTCTTACTTCAAACTTCTAAATCAGAAGCATCTAGGAACATAGCTGTAATTGGTGAAGCACAGAAATAAAAAGACATTTCTAGGTGAATCAAAATCAGAGGAAGTCATTGTCATTGTGTGCATGGTTGCACAAAAGCATCAGGGAGCCCAGCAGAGTGGTGCATTAAAGAAATAAGAAAAGCAACGTCTGCCAGCAGTCAAGACAGGTATCTGAAGCAGCAGTTGAAACAGATGTGAAGTAGAGGCAATGCCATGAATGTCAGTTGTGTGTTTTAGTGGGTCCCATTGACTCTTGGAGATTAGAAAAAAAGAAAAAAAAAGATGAGCTTAAATTTTTGTTGTTTGGAAAGTGAAAGCTGTTGAGTTAGTGGATTTGAGCATAAACTGCTAAATAGCCTATCTATAATATCACCAGATTGAATTCATCAATTCAATTTGATGAAGTTTAGTAAAGCCTTAGTTTTCAATTATCTTTATTTTATATTAATTCATACTAATTTATGTTTTAAGTTTTCTTTTTTTTTGGAGTTTGGATCTCAGATTTCTACTTATCTATAATCATGAGAAAATTATTTTCTTTCTACCTCAGTTTCTACATTTCTAGTAATAGCTATTTTATAAGATTGCTTAGTTAAGAGAAAGTGCTCTGGAGGCCATCTACCTGCAATCAAATATCAACTCTACTAGTTATATGATCTTCAATGCCTTATTCTCAAATTCTCAGTTTTTTCTTTCATAAAATAGGGATAATTAAAGTATTTACTTTGTAGGTTTAAGAATTAAATAAATAAATTTTTGCGAACTTATTAGAAGAGTGCCTGGCATACATAGGTACTACAGCATTGCTTGAAAATAATCAATCTGTGTTTGCTTCTATTCATCATAAGTTAATATAAATTGGAAAGTTAAATCAAACCACCGCCTTTTAAAAATATACTAATTAATTAGGGGAATTCATTATAGATACAATTTTTGTCACTTATACTCACCTGTGTACTATAGAGAACCCTGGAGAGTAATATTTCTTTTCTTTTTTTTTTATTAATAGTCAATTTATTTATGCAGGGATACATATAGTCATCATTGCCAGACTTAATATGATAGGTGAACTGTTCGATCCAATTTTCCTTCCTGCATAAGTTTTTCTTTCCTATCCCTCTCAGTTTTGATAATATAATAAATGAAGATGAGGGGCCCAAATCCACACAGAGCTCCCATGAGTGAGTTTTTAGGAGTGGGTCTGAAATTAGGATAGACATTTGTTGTTCTTGCATAGGCCCAACGAATCAAGGCAGGATTTTCGATGAGCCCTTGGCGGTTGGGATCATTGTACTGAAGCAGGTACTCTCGTTTCAGCCGGGCTCTTATGGCCAACCGCTCGGCTTGCACCCGCTGGGTTTCCAGAGATATGTTGTATTCGGCTGGGTCGAGGGTCTCAGGCACAGTGGCCAGGCTCGACGGCTTATACTATGGGAACAACATCTTGGCGACCCAGGGCACAATTGCGCCTGCACGATTCTGAGGCCCTTAGAAATATATAATATTTCTATTATATAACATTTAAGATCAGGCAGAAATAACTGTTAAGTTAATTTAGGCTAACAATCAAGATACTACTCTGTATTGTGAAATGAATATGTCTCTGTAATAGAGAAAAATATTAGATTTGTGATAGATGTCTACAAATTGAAGAATTCAGTAGTGATTGGCAATTCTAGGGAGCCAAATTCAATTCAATATAAGTTTTATCTTCTTTAAGAAGTTAGTGTCCAGTGCTGGAATGGGTCTCCTTAACAGGTCACGAGCTTGCCCTCATTAAAGGTAAGCAAATATGTCCTACCTTTTTTGTAGCTTTTATTGTAGAGTCCATTCAAAAATCTGTTGGCGAATAGGTTCAATACAGTTTTTAATCTTTTCTATCCCAGAATAATATGATACATGTCCATTTCCTTCAAATTTAAAGAAGTCATACCTTTTCAAGAGAAACCAAAATGAAGCCAAATAACTATGTTTGCTAAAGGAATTGAATCTAAACCTAATCCTTATGGATTCATGTCACAGAAATCTCTCTTCTGCTTTTTTTTTTTTTTATTTTTGAGTGATCTGAACTCCAGTGTAAGGCAAAGGAAGCATTTAGAAATTTTAAAAAGACAGCTGTGTCAGTTAAATCCTGCTACTTACCAGTGAAGACTTTTCCTTCTTATGCTTTGCTGAATTCCTAAACATGCCTCACATTACACTGCTGTAGTGATTTAAACCTGTTTCTCTGTGACATGCAAGTAAGAAAAGCCCTTTATTTTTTCTTTAAACTAAGCTCCTTATGGGGTGAAAAAGCTCCCACAGTTTTAATTTTCTTGTCTTCGTTTACATAGAGTCATAATCTGCCTGCAGACTTGTACGCGTCACATGGCTTGCAGAAATAGAAAGATGATAAAAGTAGCTTTATGTTGAGCCACTAACCAGTAATTTCAATGAAATATCATGAAAACCTCCTTTTCTGTTGCTTTTACTTATCCTATCGAATTTTGTGTTGAAGATCTGGTGACAATAGATAATTTACAAATAGATATGAAATATTAAATAAATAAAATATACTTATCCATTAAAATGATTAGTAACATCCAAATACATGAATAATTTTAGCAAGATATCAGCCTCAGCAACAATAACCAAAAACAATTATAAGAAAATTAAAAAGTGAAAAACATGAAGGGCTGTAGGGGAAAAAAAGTAACATATTTTCTCACCCATCATTAGGTTCACAGCTCAGACTTCTATTAAGAAAAGACAAATTAGAGAGTTTCCAAGATGGCTGAATAGGAACAGCTCCAGTCTACAGCTCTCAGTGTAAGTAACGCAGAAGATGGGTGATTTCTGCATTTCCAACTGAGGTACCAGGTTCATCTCACTGGGGCTTGT
The DNA here is from genome assembly GCF_000001405.40 of Homo sapiens. Lineage (NCBI taxonomy): Eukaryota > Metazoa > Chordata > Mammalia > Primates > Hominidae > Homo > Homo sapiens. The sequence goes on along the minus strand of NC_000004.12, from coordinate 43,897,524 downwards.
CGGACAGTGGGTGCAGGACAGTGGGTGCAGCCCATGGAGAATGAGCAGAAGCAGGGTAAGGCATCACCTCACCCAGGAAGTGCAAGGGGTCAGGGAATTCCTTTTCCTAGCCAAGGGAAGCTGTGACAGACGGCACCTGGAAAATCAGGTCACTCCCACCCTAATACTGCGCTTTTCCAACAGTCTTAGTGAATGGCTCATCAGGAGATTATATCCCACGCGTGGCTTGGAGGGTCCCACACCCATGGAGCCTCCCTCATTGCTAGCACAGCAGTCTGAGATGGAACTGCAAGGCGGCAGCAAGACTGGACGAGGGGCGTCCACCATTGCTGACGCTTGAGTAGGTAAACAAAGCAGCCAGGAAGTTGAACTGGGTGGAGCCCACCACAGCTCAAGGAGGCCTGACTGCCTCTGTAGACTCCACCTCTGGGGGCAGGGCATAGCTGAACAAAAGGCAGCAGAAACTTCTGCAGACTTAAATATCCCTGTCCGACAGCTGTGAAGAGAGTAGTGGTTCTCCCAGCTCGGAGTTTGAGATCTGAGAATGGACAGACTGCTTCCTCAAGTGGGTCCTTGACCCCCGAGTAGCCTAACTGGGAGGCACCCCAAGTAGGGGCAGACTGACACCTCACACCACTGGGTACTCCTCTGAGACAAAACTTCCAGAGGAATGATCAGGCAGCAGCATTTGCAGTTCACCAATATCCACTGTTCTGCAGCCACCACTGCTGATACCCAGGCAAACAGGGTCTGGAGTGGACCTCCGGCAAACTCCAACAGACCTGCAGCTGAGGGTCCTGACTGTTAGAAGGAAAACTAACAAACAGAAAGGACACCCACACCAAAACCCCATCTGTACGTCACCATCATCAAAGACCAAGGTAGATAAAACCACAAAGATGGGGAGAAACCAGAGCAGAAAAGCTGAAAATTCTAAAAATCAGAACGCCTCTTCTCCTCCAAAGGAACACAGCTCCTTGCCAGCAATGGAACAAAGCTGGACAGAGAATGACTTTGACGATTTGAGAGAAAAAGGCTTCAGATGATCAGTAATAACAAACTTCTCTGAGCTAAAGGAGGATGTTCAAACCCATCACAAAGAAGCTAAAAACCTTGAAAAAAGATTAGACGAATGGCTAACTAGAATAAGCAGCATAGAGAAGACCTTAAATGACCTGATGGAGCTGAAAACCATGACATGAGAAGTACGTGACACATGCACATGCTTCAGTAGCTGAATCAATCAACTGGAAGAAAGGGTATCAGTTATTGAAGATCAAATGAATGAAATAAAGTGAGAAGAGAAGTTTAGAGAAAAAAGAATAAAAAGAAATGAACAAAGCCTCCAAGAAATATGGGAATATGTGAAAAAACCAAATCTACGTCTGATTGGTGTACCTGAAAGTGACGGGGAGAATGGAACCAAGTTGGAAAACACTCTGCAGGATATTATCCAGGAGAACTTCCCCACCTAGCAAGGGAGGCCAACATTCAAATTCAGGAAGTGCAGAGAACGCCACAAAGATACTCCTCGAGAAGAGCAACTCCAAGACAAATAATTGTCAGATTCACCAAAGTTGAAATGAAGGAAAAAATGTTAAGGGCAGTCAGAGAGAAAGGTCGGGTTACCCACAAAGGGAAGCCCATCACACTAACAGCGGATGTCTCAGCAGAAACTCTACAAGCCAGAAGACAGTGGGGGCCAATACTCAACATTCTTAAAGAAAAGAATTTTCAACCCAGAATTTCATATCCAGCCAAACTAAGCTTCATAACTGAAGGAGAAATAAAATACTTTACAGACAAGCAAATGCTGAGAGATTTTGTCACCACCAGGCCTGCCTTACAAGAGCTCCTGAAGGAAGCAGTAAACATGGAAAGGAACAACTGGTACCAGCCACTGCAAAAACATGCCAAATTGTAAAGACCATCGATGCTAGGAAGAAACTGCATCAACTAATAAGCAAAAAAACCAGCTAACATCATAATGACAGGATCAAATTCACACATAAAAATATTAACCTTAAATGTAAATGTGCTAAATGCTCCAATTAAAAGACACAGACTGGCAAATTGGATAAAGAGTCAAGACCCATCAGTGTGCTGTGTTCAGGAGACACATCTCACATGCAGAGACACACATAGGCTCAAAATAAAGGGATGGAGGAAAATCTACCAAGCAAGTGGAAAACACAAAAAAGCAGGGGTTGCAAACCTAGTCTCTGATAAAACAGACTTTAAACCAACAAAGATCAAAAGAGACAAAGAAGGCCATTACATAATGGTAAAAGGATCAATTCACCAAGAAGAGCTAACTATCCTAAATATATATGCACCTAATATAGGAGCACCCAGATTCATAAAGCAATTCCTTAGAGACCTACAAAGAGACTTAAACTCCCACACAATAATAATGGGAGACTTTAACATTCCACTGTCAACATTGGACAGATCAACAAGACAGAAAGTTAACAAGGATATCCAAGACTTGAACTCAGCTCTGCACCTAGTGGACCTAATATACATCTACAGAACTCTCCACCCCAAATTGACAGAATATACATTCTTCTCAGCACCACTTCACACTTATTCCAAAACTGACCGCATAGTTGGAAGTAAAAGCACTCCTCAGCAAATGTAGAAGAACAAAAATTATAACAAACTGTCTCTCAGACCACAGTGCAATTAAACTAGAACTCAGGATTAAGTAACTCACTCAAAACCACTCAACTACATGGAAACTGAACAACCTGCTCCTGAATGACTTGGGTACATAACGAAATGAAGGCAGAAATAAAGATGTTCTTTGAAACCAATGAGAACAAAGACACAACATACCAGAATCTCTGAGACACATTTAAAGCAGTGTGTAGAGGGAAATTTATGGCACTAAATGCCCACAAGAGAAAGCAGGAAAGATCTAAAATTGATACCCTAACATCACAATTAAAAGAACAAGAGAAGCAAGAGCAAACACATTCAAAAGCTAGCAGAAGGCAAGAAATAATTAAGATCAGAGCAGAACTGAAGGAGATAGAGACAGAAGAAACCCTTCAAAAATCATGAATCCAGGAGCTGGTTTTTTGAAAAGATAGACAAAATTGATAGACTGCTAGCAAGAGTAATAAAGAAGAAAAGAGAGAAGAATCAAATAGATGCAATAAAAAATGATAAATGGGATATCACCACTGATCCCACAGAAATACAAACTACCATCAGAGAATACTATAAACACCTCTACACAAATAAACTAGAAAATCTAGAAGGAATGGATAAATTCCTGGACATATACACCCTCCCAAGACTAAACCAGGAAGAAGTTGAATCCCTGAATAGAACAATAACAGGCTCTGAAATTGAGGAAATAATTAATAGCCTACCAACCAAAAAAAGTCCAGGACCAGACAGATTCACAGCCAAATTCTACAAGAGGTACAAATAGGAGTTGGTACCATTCCTTCTGAAACTATTCCAATCAACAGAAAAAGAGGGAATCCTCCCTAACTCATTTTATGAGGCCAACATTATCCTGATACCAAAGCCTGGCAGAGACATAACAAAAAAAGAGAATTTTAGACCAATATCCCTGATGAACATCAATGCAAAAATCCTCAATAAAATACTGGCAAACCGAATCCAGCAGCATATCAAAAAGCTTATCCACCATGATCAAGTGGGCTTCATCCCTGGGATGCAAGGCTGGTTCAACAAATCAATAAATGTAATCCATCATATATACAGAACCAAAGAATAGAACCACATGATTATCTCAATAGATGCAGAAAAAGGCCTTTGACAAAATGTAACAGCCCTTCATGCTAAAAACTCTCAATAAATTAGGTATTGACGGGATGTATCTCAAAATAATAAGAGCTATTTATGACAAACCCACAGCCAATATCATACTGAATGGGCAAAAACTGGAAGCATTCCCTTTGAAAACCAGCATAAGACAAGGATGCCCTCTCTCACCACTCCTATTCAAAATAGTGTTGGAAGTTCTGGCCGGGGCAATGAGGAAGGAGAAAGAAATAAAGGGTATTCAATTAGGAAAAGAGGAAGTCAAATTGTCCCTGTTTGCAGATGACATGATTGTATATTTAGAAAACCCCATCATCTCAGCCCAAAATCTCCTTAAGCTGATAACACCTCCAGCAAAGTCTCAGGATACAAAATCAATGGCAAAAATCACAAGCATTCTTATACACCAACAACAGACAAACAGACAGCCAAATCATGAATGAACTCCCATTCACAATTACTACAAAGAGAATAAAATACCTAGGGATCCAACTTACAAGGGATGTGAAGTACCTCTTCAAGGAGAACTACAAACCACTGCTCAACGAAATAAAAACACACAAACAAATGGAAGAACATTCCATGCTCATGGATAGGAAGAATCAATATCGTGAAAATGGCCATACTGCCCAAGGTAATTTATAGATTCAATGACAACCCCATCAGGCTACCAATGACTTTCTTCACAGAATTGGAAAAAACAACTTTAAAGTTCATATGGAACCAAAAAAGAGCCTGCATTGCCAAAACAATCCTAAGCCAAAATAACAAAGCTGGAGGCATCACGCTACCTGACTTCAAACTATACTACAAGGCTACAGTAACCAAAACAGCATGGTACTAGTACCAAAACAGAGATATAGACCAATGGAACAGAACAGAGCCCTCAAAAATAATACCACACATCTACAACCATCTGATCTTTGACAAACCTGACAAAAACAAGAAATGGGGAAAGGATTCCCTACTTAATAAATGGTGCTGGGAAAACTGGCTAGCCATATGTAGAAAGCTGAAACTGGATCCCTTCCTTATACCTTATACAAAAATTAATTCAAGATGGATTAAAGACTTAAATGTTAGACCTAAAACCATAAAAACCCTAGAAGAGAACCTAGGCAATACCATTCAGGACATAGGCATGGGTAAGGACTTCATGTCTAAAACACAAAAAGCAATGGCAACATAAGCCAAAATTGACAAATGGGATCTAATTAAACTAAAGAGCTTCTGCACAGCAAAAGAAACTACCATCAGAGTGAACAGCCATCCTACAGAATGGGAGAAAATTTTTGTAATCTACCCATCTGACAAAGAGCTAATATCCACAATCTACAAAGAACCTAAACAAATTTATAAGAAAAAATCAACCCCATCAAAAAGTGGGCAAAACATATGAACAGACACTTCTCAAAAGAAAGCATTTATGCAGCCAACAGACACATGAAAAAATGCTCATTACTGGCTATCAGAGAAATGCAAATCAAAACCACAATGAGATACCATCTCACACCAGTTAGAATGGCAATCATTAAAAAGTCAGGAAACAACAGGTGCTGGAGAGGATGTGGAGAAATAGGAACACTTTTACACTGTTGGTGGGACTGTAAACTAGTTCACCCATTTTGGAAGACTGTGTGGTGATTCCTCAGGGATCTGGAACTAGAAATACCATTTGACCCAGCCATCCCAAAGGATTGTAAATCATGCTGCTATAAAGACACTTGCACATGTATGTTTATTGCAGCACTATTCACAGTAGCAAAGACTTGGAATCAACCCAAATGTCCATCAATGATAGCCTGGATTAAGAAAATGTGGCATATATACACCATGGAATACTATGCAGCCATAAAAAAGGGTGAGTTCATGTCCTTCGTAGGGTCATGGATGAAGCTGGAAACCATCATTCTGAGTAAACTGTCGCAAGGACAGAAAACCAAACACCGCATGTTTTCACTCATAGGTGGGAATTGAACAATGAGAACACTTGGACACAGGAAGGGGAACATCACACACTGGGGCCTGTTGTGGGGTGGGGGGCAGGGGGAGGGATAGCATTAGGAGATATACCTAATGTAAATGACAAGTTAATGGGTGCAGCACACCAACATGGCACATGTATACATCCGTAACAGGCCTGCACGTTGTGCCCGTGTACCCTAGAACTTAAAGTATAATAATAATAAAAGAAACACAAATTAACAAGGGAAAAACATATAAATTTATTTAATAGAAGTTTTATGTGAGAGCCTTCACAAATGAAGACCCAAAGAAACAGAGAAAACTATCTTCATGGACAGCTGTGCAGAAGTGTAATTGGAGGTAGAAATACGTGGTCTAATCATAGTGAGCCAAGGGCAACTTTAAAAGGCCTTTTTGTTTAAATTCTTCGTGGCATCTCTGTGTGACATTTTTTTCTTGTAAGTATAAACAGAACCCCTTTAGAATTAAGGTCTTATGATCTCTTTTAGGGAAAGGTCAAAAGGTTGGCCTGCTTTTAGCCTGCTTCAGAGTAGAAAGGCAAGTGGAAGGTGAGTGTGAACTTTTTGCTTCTCCTGTTACCTCAGATGCCAAGCTGGCGTATTTTGGGGTGGCATGTCCTGAGCCCCATCATTCCACTGTCTGGAACTTCTCAAAGAAGTTTTGCAAAGAAGAAACTGGGTTGTAGATTGTTCCAAAAGCCATAGAACCAGTTTCTCAGTCCCAGAAATAGTTCAGTTCAGTTAAACAGTTAACACTGCGTCCTCATTTCTGAAGGCCCTCACGACATGTAAGACTTCTATCAAATAAACGGTATGCTTTTTCTTGTTAATCTATCTTCTGTTATAGGGATCTCAGCCATGAACCTAATGATGAGGGAGAAAGAAAAATACTGCTTTTTTCTCCCCTACAGGGCCAGTTCAGATTAAGAGGACAATATGTACTAATACCGAGTACCTACAAATATTTTCATCACTTTACGTACCAGTCTTCACTAAACACTCCAGATTTATTGTTTATTAAGTATTTATTGAGCACTGTTTATGTGCTGAGTGTTGGACTTATAGCAGCAAGTGAGAGGCATTATCTCTGTTCTTATGAAGCTTCTAGACTACTAGTCTCAGTTATCCTGTGATAAAATATATAATCTTAACAAGTTCATAGCTTTATGATGACTTTCAAAGTAAGGAAACCAAAGCCCAGAGAAGTGCCACATTTGTTTCTGTGTAACATAGCTATTGAGTGGCATAGATCAGAAGTGGGATTTAAACTATTTGGGGGACTTCATAGTCTAGCTCCTTCAATTTTCCATTAGTTTGGGGCATCTACTTCAGCACAAACTTTTTTCTTTATAATGTCTTCTTTTTTGATCATAAAATAGAAACCTATAATTCCTTCAAAATTTAAGGAGAGATAAATATGTCTATAACTTTGAATTTCCATAAATATTTTGATCTGGAAAATAAGAAACTACTTGTCAAGTCTGTTAGATAAATTAAATTTTTAATTTATTTTAATTTGTCTTTAATGACAAAAATGAGGAAGATAATTTTGATTTTAGATATGTACGGGCCTAGACTGAAAAATCATGTTTACAGATTCTAAATTGTGCTCACATTCAACAATTAAGTTCTAAAATATGAGTAAAATCCCATCTGCTCATGGATTTGCAAAGATCAAAAATAAGCCCATCAAAAACAACAAAAAAGTCTAATAACTGTATCATGAGGGAAACTATGTATGTATGTATGTATGTAGGTACTAAATGAATGTGTAGTTCACCTTTTTTTTGTTATCTGTTTTGTTAAGAAAAACATTACTTTAATATATTCAGCCAAGTGTATTTCATTTTATATTTAACTGGCATATGTTCTTAATAATCCTTCAGTTCCATATAACTGCCATTGTTTCTCCAAAATCAATCATGAGCTCTATGATGCTTTCTAACTCTAGACTGTTGAAGACATTCTCAACATAAACTATGAAAAGTATAAAAGATTCCCATGAGAACACGCTGACATTAATATAGCCTCTGAGACTCCAAATGATGAAGTAAAATATTATTTACCATCTGCTTCAGTCTTCTTTTTTCTAGCATATTTTCATATTTTAGTTTATACATTCATACACTCATTATTTCCTTTACTAATTCAAGCATGCATAGGAACATTTATTTAACATGAAAATATGACCCTCCTGTCTGTTAGGTGCTGTGCTTTTGTTATAGACATGAAATAACAACAACATTTACATAATACCTATTATGTTTCAAGTGTTTCACTTATAAAATTTGTTTCCAAGCCCTGAAGAACTCCATTATTTAGAAAAAGAACAGACAAGCCATTGAGATTAAACCAAGCATGTTAACATAGATATCTGTGGAAATAAAGGGTTTGGAACAAAGAGAAATGATCAGCTATGTTTTGGAAGTGGATTTGGGGAATGTTACATAGAATAACTTTTTTGGTGTTTGTTTTTGTTTTTTCTTTGTTTACAAGGAAAATTAAGGTATCTACAGGCTCAAAATTGAAATAATATGAGGTATTTGGAGAATATCATATAGTTCAGTATATTTATTGCATAGTGTATAGAGAGATTATGGGAGGAAGATGAGCTTTTGAGCTATACTTAAGTAATTCAAGTATTTCCAAAATTGTAGTGGCAAAGCCATTGAATAGTTACATCATATGCTGACAAATTCAAATTTCAAAAAGATCATTCTACTTATAATATATTGAATTCAGGCAGTGATAGGTGCAGGAAGTGAGATGTCTATTCTAGTAAACCAGGCATAAACCACAAATTGAACAAAAATGTGATAATAGTAATGGAAAGAAGTAACCTAGTGTATAACTATTAAAGAGTTATATTGGACAGAATTAGTGATTATTTCAAAATGGGAATGAAGAAGTGTTGAATGCCAACTAGGAACCATGCACTGTTCTCATTAAGAAAGAGAAATCAATGAACAAAGGAACAATAGTACAAAAAATAAAACAGAGTAATATGGTAGACCACCCACATCAATAATTACATTGGATCTAAATATACTGAACCTTCCAATTTAAAGACAAACCATCAGACAGAATAAAGACAAACAAAAGGTTGTATATATAAGACATACTTTATGTACAAGGATGCTGTCAGATATTGGGATATTTAGATTTCACAAGTGGAGAAGTTTGAGACAAAGCAAAGTTCCAGAGTAGAAGTCACTGAAATGGAATATGAGCTGTGTAAGACGGATACCTGTATACACGCGACTTTCTTTTTCATGCATTCTCTACATAATTTGTTTTAATCTAAAGGCCTTGGTTGCCTTGGAGATAATTAGCAATTCAAAGATAAAGCAAGAGAAGTAAACAGAATTGCTATTTTTCAAAGGCAAGATTAATAAAGAGTTGAAATTCACATACTGTGATCAGAAAAAACAGAATCCAGAGGTAGGACAGTGACTAGAAAGGAGGGAGCCAGGCATATTCTATTGAGATCTGTGACCCTCACTTCCCTCTCCTTTATCAGAGACTTTATGGAATCAGTTATATTAGAAATACTGAAGCCCTTAATGCAAGTGTGATTGATACTCTTGAAATCATTGGTCACCAATCAAAGCATTGTAACATTAAATTGTTAACGTTTATTATAAATTAACTTCCAAAATATGAATGAGAATAATAACAGAAAATCTCTAGGCCAAACAATTCTCTTCTATAATTAAGAAAGTCAGATAAAAAAAGCCAACACCTGGCCAGGCGCGGTGGATCACGCCTATCATCCCAGCACTTTGGGAGGCCGAGGCAGGCGGATCACGAGGTCAGGAGTTTGAGACCAGCCTGACCAACATGGTGAAACCCCGTCTTTACTAAAAATTCAAAAATAAGCTGGGTGTGGTGGCACACGCCTGTAATTGCAGCTACTCAGGAAGCTGATACAGGAGAATCACTTGAACCTGGGAGGCGGAGGTTGCAGTGAGCCGAGATCACACCACTGCACTCCAGCCTGGGCAACAGAGCAAGACTCTGAAAAAAAAAAGAAAAAGAAAAAAAAAAACAAAGCAGGCCAACACCTTTAAAGAAACTGATTTTTTATAATAAAAATCAAATTATCTAAAAGGCCCAGAGAAATATAGTATACTGTTCTTTGACAAAGAGCAAAGACAATACACTGGAGAAAAGAGGGTCTTTTCAACAAATACTACTGAAACAGCTGGATATCCAGATACAAGAATCTAAATACAAATCTACAACTTTCACAAAAACTAATTCAAAATATATCATAAGCTTAATGTAAAATGTAAAACTATAAAACTAGAACATAACATGGGAGAAAAATCTGGATGACCTAGGTTTTCACAATTACTTTTTGGATACAATACAAAAGTCACCATCCATGAAAGAAAAAAATTGATAACTAGACTTTACTAGTATTATAAACATTTACTCTGCAAAAGACACTGTCAAGTGAATAAGAAGGCAAGCTACTAACTGGGAGAAAATACTTGTCAGAGTCATATTGCACATTGATTATTATCCAAAATAACAAAAAGTCTTTTAAAATTCAACAATAAGAAAACAACCTGACTAAAAAATGGGCCAAAGGTCTTAAACCCCTTATCAAAGAAAATGTACATGTATCAATTAGGTGATAAAAAGATCCTTCACATCATATGTCATCAAGGAAATGGAAATTAAACCACAACGAGATACCACTAAACATTTGTTACAATTGCCAAAATTCAGAACACTGACAACCCCAAGTTCTGGTGAAGATGTGAAACAAGAAATACTCATTCATTGCTGATGGAAATGAAAATAAGCCAGCCACTATGGAAGACAGCTTGGCAGTTTCTTGCAAAACTAAACGTAATCTTACCATATGATACTGTATGAGTGTTCCTTAGTATTTGTCCAAAGGAGTAGAAACTTATATCCACACAAATACAGGCTTAGGAATGCTCACAGCAACCTTATTCATAGTTTTCAAAACTCAGAAGCAACCAAGATGTCCTCTAGGAGGTGAATGGATAAATAAGCTGTAGTATATCCAGAATGGAATATTATTCAGTGCTAAAAAGAAATGAGCTATCAAAGTGTAAATAGACAGGGAACAAAGTTAAGTGCATATTACTAGGTAAAAGTGGACAATCTGGAAAGGCTATAACTGTATGATTCCAGCTATATGATATTCTGAAAAAGACAAAACTAAGGAGACAGTAAAAAGATCAGTGGTTGCCGGGGGTTGAAGGGAAGAAGGTGTGAATAGGCAGAGCACAGAATACTTTTAGGGCAATGAAACCTTTCTGTATGACACAATAATGGTGGATACATGCCATTACATGTTTGTCAAAATCCATAGAATGTACAAACTCAAACGAGACTCCCTGTGTAAACTACAGACTTTCAATGCTAATGATGTGTCAATGTGAGTTCATCCTTTATAATAAATATGTGATTCTGGTATGGTATGCTGATAGTGGGAGAAGCTACGCATGTGTGGAGACTGGGGATATATGAGAACTCTGTATTTTCTATTCAGTTTTGCTATGAATCTAGAGCTGTGCTAAAACTAAACTCTATTAAAAATCAAATGCTCTAAAACTTGTATGAAATAGATATGTTAATGTATAATTGCTTCAATTCACTAATCTTAGAGCCTTAAGCAACCTAAGTATAAATTTTGCCATCTTTGACTATGATTTATCACACTCAAATTCAGTTAGCAAATAAACTGCAGCCGCAACAGCCAAACAATATCATGCTATTATCTTAGCATAATATTCAAAGCAATGTTGTATTTTTAATTAAGTGTAAACAAAATCTAAGAAGAACTTTTTATTATGGAATAATCTTTTAAATTTCATATAAATTAGAATTATTCTCAAAATGATTTTTAAGATGAGAGAGGTTTTCAAAAATGTTTTGAAAGAAAACTTGGATAAAGACTGTTACAAAACATTTTTTGTTTTGTGTGATTTGTTCACAATACTTTCTTTTTATCCCTGAGTATTTTTATGTTAATTCCAAGTACTATGAGAAAGCACAAAAGTACAATGATTTTAAAAACACCTTAGTTTTCCTAGTGATTTATATTTTCACTTTCATTTAATTATGAAAATAATCCTACTGTGACAGAATATCTTTGCTATCCAGATAAAATTCAACATTGAAAAAAGGAATAAAATTCTTCTGATTTCCTATTGATTTGTAAAAACCATTAGTGAAATCAAATTGTAAAATATTTGTATAGATCAGAAAAGGTCTGGAAAAGTCAGAACATTGCTCATGGGAGATTTCAATTCTCTAAATATTTACTGTGTAACAGCTATGCAGAAAATGTAGGACTGCTTCTTTAGAAAAAATTCTGTTCATAATTCAATTTGATGAATAATTATTCTTGCAGAATAGAATGGACTGGTTTGTTATGTGTTCTAACACTGTCAGTCAGGAATTATTGACAAATGAATAAGAAACTAGGATCTTTGAGCACATGATAATAAAACCATGGTACAACTTACAAAGAGAAAGTCAGTTCCACACCTACTGATTATAAATGCCATTTCATTTTCTCCCGTTCTTACACTAGATATGTTTCCCCAGGAAAGGCTACATTCAACTAAGCTCCCAATTAATTGTCTCTGTGTTTCCTCATTTTGTGTGAGTGACATTGTTTTGTCAATTAGAAGGAGGGAGGGAGAAAGAGAGAAGAGACAGATTTCAATTCAAGATAGAACTAAGTATGAGGTTGGTTGAATATTAAATAGACCCAGTTCTACTAACAGTTTTCCTGGGGCAGAGGTTTCTCTTGGTACTATCAAGCATGTTTTCTATATTCCTTTCTCCATCTTCATTCCAGGTATAATTCTGACACTCAGGCTTTTCATGTTTAGAAACCTTATTAGAAAATATACCAATGGATTTATTAACTTTATTTTATGGAAAACGGATTTGTTGTAAATTACTCCTCTATAAAAGTATTTATATTCTAGTTAGTCAACAAAGCACTACGCCAAAGAAAATAAAATACTGTAGAAATGGAAATTAGAAATTAGAATCACAGAGAGGTATTCCAAATAACAACTAATGAAAGGAAGGAGAAATTAATTGGAGCCAAACCTGATTCAAGCAGGTGTCTAGGGTACCAATGAATAAAAAGGATTAATTACATTATTGGTAGTTATACGCAATTTTGGTTAGAATGATGCAAATTGAAGCTACACTGAGGTGCTATTATTTACCTATGAAATTTGTAAAAATCCCTAAATTTGGTAACATACTCTATTGGCAAGGCAGTTGGAGAGTCAGATACTTTAATGCATTGTTGATGGGAGTATAAATTGCTACAATTCCTGTGATTAGATATTTGGCAATATCTACTAAATTTCAAACACACACATACTTTTGACCAAGCAATTCTGCTTCTGGGAATTTAATCTTCACATGTGGTTGTACATATGAAAAATGAAATAAGTTTATTTGTTACAGCATTATTTATAGTGGCCAAAGACTAAAATTACCTGAATGCCCATCAAAAAGAGAAGCCTGTGATAAATTATGATTATATCCATATACGAATGAAATGTGAATTAATGAAATCATGAGTAGCCATATGGAAAGTCCTCCAAGATATATTGTAAATACAAAATTATGTTCAGGACAAATCATATAATGTGTTGCCTTTTGTGTAAAAATAGAGAAAAAATAAGTATTGATATCTGGGTTTACTTGAAAAGGTTACTTGTGTGAAGGGAAAATAAATCTTGGGGCCCCAAAATCACTAAGCTAAAGGGAAAAGTCAAGCCAGGAACTGCTTGGGGCAAACCTACCTCCCATTCTATTCAAAGTCACCCCTCTGGCCAGGCGCGGTGGCTCACACCTGTAATCCCAGCACTTTGGAAGGCCGAGGGGGGCGGATCACGAGGTCAGGAGATCGAGACCATGCTGGTTAACATGGTGAAACCCCGTCTCTACTAAAAATACAAAAAATTAGCAGGGCGCGGTGGCAGGCGCCTGTAGTCCCAGCTACTCGGGAGGCTGAGGCAGGAGAATGGCATGAACCCCAGAGGCGGAGCTTGCAGTGAGCCGAGATCGTGCCACTGCACTCTGGCCTGGGTGAAAGAGCGAGACTCCGTCTCAAAAAAAACAAACAAACAAACAAAAAAACAAACAAAGTCATCCCTCTGCTCACTGAGATAAACGCATCTCTCACTGGATAGGCTAATAAAAAATTCAAAAGAATGCAACTGTTTGTCTCTCACCTACCTGTGACCTGGAAGACCCCTCCCTGCTTGAGTTGTCCTACGTTTCCAGAGTGAATGAATTTATATCTTATACATATTTTAACGAACAACTCCAAAATCTGTGTCTAACAAAACAAGTTTATTCCTCATGCCTCCCTAAAATGTATAAAACCAAGCTGTGCCTCTACTACCTTGGGCACACGTGGTCAGGACCTCCTGAGGCTGTGTCACAGGTTCACGTTCTCAACCTTGACAAAATAAACTTTCTGAATTAACTAAGACCTGTCTCAGATACTCGGAGTTCACCCTGGAAACTCTGAAAAGATATGTAAGCATCTAATGACAACAATTTTCATGGTTAAAAGGAAGGAATGAAGAAAGGAACCAGCAGGAAAGGAGGAAGACTTTTCATTGTGTATCATCTTATATTTATACATATATTATCCATGGGAAAATTAAATGAATAAAGGTTTTATCAAATATTATTGGAATAAAATTGAAAATGTGAAATCATTCAACTCTTGTATCTGCATAATATGTAAATTAGATACAAATCCCACTAATTAATATATTTTAGTTTTTAAAAAATAATTAAATGATTAAGACAGATTTTATTTGTTAGGGCCAAGACAGTGGTCCCCAGACTTTTTGGCACCAGGGATGAGTTTTGTGGAAAACACTTTTTCCATGGGGTGGTGGGGGGGTTGGGAGGATAATTTCAGGATAAAACTACCACCTCAGATCATTAGGCATTAGATTCTCATAAAGAATGCTCAACCTAGATCCCTCACATGTGCAGTTCACAACAGGGGTCGCCCTCTTACAAGAATCTAATGCCCATGCTGTGCAGCCAAGTTCCTAACAAGCCACACACAGAATGGACTGGTACTGGTCCTGGCCTTGGGGTTGGGGAATCCTGGTCTAGGTTATGTTGTAGTAACAAACAACTTGAAAAATCTCAATGTCCTACAAAGTGAGTTTCTTTCTCATGTTTTAAGTCCTTTAAGGATCTGCTTCAGTTCTTTCCCATGTTATCTGCATTCCAACTCGATGTTGATGAAACTGCTCTCATCTGGGAGTCTCATGGCAGAAGGAAAAGAAGGAGGTTGTGAATCATAAGCTCTTAAAGCTTTATAAAACTGAAACATATTACTTACCAACATTTTTTCAGCCAATGCAAGTCACATGGCCACTCCCAAATTTAACAAGACAATTTTTCTATAGAAAAGGGGTACATCTTTTCTATAGAAAAATCTTTTTAATGGCGAAGGGAACTATAAATCTCTCCTGGGCAGGAAATATTCTGATGAATAATATGAAATTCCACATACACTTTATTACTAAAAGATCTTCATTTTTAAATGCTTTTCATTTTTAATATATTTTCATTCAATGCATGCTGAACTAATTACTTCTCATGTTCAATCTAACTTTGTATAATGAATACAAATTTTAGGGAATCTTCCTAGCAGTCCTACATATTTCATTGCTATCTGGACAAGAGTAGATGTTGAAATTAATAAAATTACCAGGAAAAAGTTTACTGTGATTACAGGTGAGGTGCTCCATTTTAAAAGTTATTTCTCAGCGTTTTCTAACAGATCACCTCATGTGGCTAACCTCTTCAATGTACTGAAGCATTTTTACGAATGTGCATCACTTGACAAAGTGAGATCTAAGTGAAAGATTATTTTTTAGTTGTGAATGAGCAGCGATTTTTTATCCAACTGAATGAGTAGAAGAAACTTGCATGTCAATCATTCTCAAATATGCAAACTTTTTTCATACTGAAATAGCAGATTGAATATTATCCATGAAAATACTTCAATTAAAATTATAAGCTCTAATACTTAATTCCATCAGAACATTCCATATCTTACTCAGATAATAGGAAATAACTATAGTGCTTTAATTTAATATCATTTTAATTCTGAATATTCCTACAAAATTCTATTATCTATGAAGCTGTTAACCAGGTAACAGCTATGTGGATTTTATTACTATTAAAACACATAAACTGCCTTTGGCTCTAATAAAATCTTCCTTTTGGGACTAAAAAAAAATCCTAAACTAAAAGAACATTTTTCAGTTTAAATCATCACATAGGAAGGGCGATTTGACCATAATTTGAAATTGGCCAGAGACTTGAATTTCATTTTAATTCCACTTCTTAAATTGCTTATCCTGCTGTGATTGAAACTGAGCAGTGAATGAAATTGCATGACTGAAGTGGAATAAAGTGGGGCAAATGGTGTGAACTTAGGCTTAGAGGCAGGATTTAAGATAGCATATTGAATAATAAGAAAAGCAGCCTGCTGAAATAAAGGGATTATGATGGTAAGTATTGGGAGGCAGTTTTGGAAAAATAAATTAAGATAAATTGTGGAGGACTTATATCCACCCCAAGAGTCTAATGAAAATGAGAAGTTAGCACAAGTTTTCAAATGAGAGACTGAGAATTAGAATGTAGATAGAACCTGGTGCAAAGCAGATTGGGAGGACACAATTGGAAGTGGAGAAATCACTGCCTCCTTGTGCATTAATTAGGAGTGACAAAGAATCTAAGTTGACTATATCAGTATAAAGACATGCAAGAGAAGAATTCAAAGCAAGGAAAAATATAAGTTATCAGAATTTTAATAAATTAATATAAGATTTAAAAACAGAAAAATATAAATTGACTCATTTTTAGGCTGGAAAAACTAGAGACTGGATGACTGGGAAAATTAGAATCCACAAGAATAGGAAAATTGAAGGTCAGGCTTAGAGGTTGGAGTGGGAACGGTGTGTGCATATGTGTTTTATGTGTAGGAAGAGATTAAAAACTTACCTTAAATGAAAATATCAAGTAGATATTTCAAATGTGAAAATCTAATTTAAGAGGGCAGGAAAAATATGTTCTTCCCTTCTTCCCTTTCTGCCTGCCTCCTTTCCTTTCCTTTCCTTTCCTTTCCTTTCCTTTCCTTTCCTTTCCTTTCCTTTCCTTTCCTTTCCTTTCCTTTCCTTCCCTTTCCTTTCCTTCCTCCTTCCTCCCTTCTTTCCTTTCTTCCTTCCTTCTTTTCTTCCTTCTTTCCTCTCCTCCCTCGTTTCCTTCTATCTCTCCCTCTCTCAATCTGTCTTGATTCATTTGTTTGCATGTGGATGTTGCAAACATGCTAGTCATTCTAGCACTATTTGTTGAAAAAATTGTCTTTTCTTTCATTGGATTGCCTTTGCTCCTCTGTCAAAGATCAGTTGACTATATGTGGGCCCATTTCAGTGTTCTTTATTCTGTTACACTGATCTATTTGTGTGTTCTTTAGCTAATTCAAAACTGTCTTGATTACTGTAGTTTTATAGTAAGACTTGAAGTCAGGTAGTATTAGTCTCCAGGCTGTTTTTCTTTTCTTTTTTTAATTTAATTTTATTATTATTACACTTTAAGTTTTAGGGTACCTGTGCACAATGTGCAGGTTAGTTATATATGTATACATGTGCCATGCTGGTGTGCTGCACCCATTAACTCGTCATTTAGCATTAGGTATATCTCCTAATGCTATCCCTCCCCCTCCCCCCACCCCACAACAGTTCCCAGAGTGTGATGTTCCCCTTCCTGTGTCCATGTGTTCTCATTGTTCAATTCCCACCCATGAGTGAGAACATTCGGTGTTTGGTTTTTTTGTCCTTGCGATAGTTTACTGAGAATGATGGTTTCCAGCTTCATCCATGTCCCTACAAAGGACATGAACTCATCATTTCTTATGGCTGCATAGTATTCCATGGTGTATATGTGCCACATTTTCTTAATCCAGTCTATCATTGTTGGACACTATTCACAATAGACTTGGAACCAACCCAAATGTCCAGGCTGTTTTTCTCTTTCAGAACTGCATTGAATATTCTGGGTCTTTTCCCTCTCCATATAAATTTTTCAACTCAGTTGGTGAATATCCACACAATAACTTTCTGGAATTTTGACTGGGATTTGATTGAATCTAATGATTAAGTAGTTATAACTGACATTTTGACAATATTGAACCTTTCTATCCATGAATATGAAATATCTCTCCATTTATTTAGATTTTCTTTGATTTCTTTTATCAGAGATTTGTATTTTCTACAAATCAGATTTGTATACAATTTGTTGGAATTATATGTAAATATTTCATTTTTGGGAAGTGCTAATGTAAATGATATTGTATTTTTAATTTCAAATTGTTCTTGCTTATTGTTGGTATATAGAAAAGTGATACACTTTCATACATTTACATTATATTTTGCAATTCTGCTATAATCATTTATTAATTCTAGGAGATTTTTGTCAATTCTTTTGGACTTTCTACATAACTGATTATGTCATCTGTGAACAGTTATATGTATTTCTTCCCAACCTGTACAACTTGTATTTCCTTTTCTTGTCTTACTGCACTAGTTAGGACTTCCAGTATGACATTAAAAAGCAGTAGTGAGAAGAAACACCCTTTCTTTGTTCTTGATTTTATTGGAAAGCTTCTAGTTTCTCACCATTAAATGGGATGTTACCTACAGGTTTTCTGTAGATACTCCTTGTCAAGTTGAGGAACTTGTATGTTCTGAATTTTTAATCATAAAAAAGTGTTAGATTTTTGTCAAGTGCTTTTTATGCATCTATTGATATGATCATATACTTTTTCTTCTTTTGATTTTTGGTGATGGATTATATTAATTTTGAATGTTCAACTATCCTGGCATACCTGAGATAAATAATATTGTTTGTGGTACATAATTCTTTTTATATGTTTTTGGATTCAATTTGCTTTTTTTTTTTGAGATGGAGTTTCGCTCTGTGGCCCAGGCTGCAGTGCAGTGGAATGATCTTAGCTAGCTGCAACATCTGCCTCCTGGATTCAAGCGATTCTCCTGCCTCAGCCTCCTGAGTAGCTGGGATTACAGCCGCCACCACCATGCCCAGCTAATTTTTGTATTTTCAGTGGAGACAGGGTTTTGCCAGGTTGGCCAAGGTGGTCTCAAGCTCCTTACCTCAGGTGATCCGCCTGCATTGTCATTACAAAGTGCTGGGATTACGGGCAGGAGCCACGGCACCCGGCCTGCAATTTTCTTTAGTTGAGGATTTTTGTGTCTGTTTCATGATAGATATTAGTCTTTAGTTGTCATTTCTTATAATGTCTTTCTCTGGTTTCAGTATTAGATTAATTCTTGCCTCACAGAATGAGTTCAGAAGTAAAACTCCTGTTTCTATCTTCTGAAAAAGATTGTATAGAATTGGTAGTTTCTTCCTTAAATGTTTGATTGATTGTTTACCAGTGAAACCATCAGAACCTGGTAATTTCTGTTTGAAGGGAAATTAATTATTGATTCAATTTTAATAGATAATAGACTTATTTGGATTATCTATTTCTCCTTATATGAGTTTTAGCAAATTTCATCTTTCTACAAACTGGTACATTCATCCAGGTTATTAAATTTGTGGGCATAGAGTTGTTTACAGTGTCCTTTTATTATTCTTTTTGTGTCCATAGTATCTGTAGTGACGTCATCTCTTTCATTTCTGGTATTAGGAATTTTCTCTCCTCTCTTTTTCTTAGTCTGCTAGAAGTTCAGTTTTTTTTTTTTTTTATTGGTGCTAGCATGATTTATCTTTCCTATCTTTTTCATTTTAGCCTATTTGTATCTCAATTTTAACTTTATTTTTGCTAGAAACCATAGAATTTTTCCTTACTTTTTAAATTCAGTAAATCTCTAACTTTCACTTGATATATTTAGTTCACTTACTTTTAATGTGATTATTAATATTTTGAATATTTTTAGATTTAAATCTACCACTGTCATATTTGTTTTCTATTTGTCTCGTGTATTCATTCTTCCCTTTTCTTTGTTTTTTCTATTCATGCTTTGGATTTTTAAAAAATGATTTCCTTTGTTGTTGATTCCACTTTATTTCCTTTGTGAGCTATAACTCTTTTGTTGCTCTTGCTTTTGTTGTTATTTTAGTGGCTACTTAAGAATTCGGACTATACATCTGGTATGTATACCATATCATTTCAATTAGCATATAAGAATTTCTAACTGTAACTTTTCATTTCTCCTGTTGTGACAATATATTGCTTTTGCATATATTATAAGCCTCAGATTGTATTGTAATCTGTTTTTAATGGAGCTTTAACAAAGAAAAAAAGTATATATGTTTACTAACATACCATTTCTAGAGCTCTTTATTGCTTTGTGTCACTCAGATTTCCATCTGATATCATATTTTTCTATCTTAAATACTTACTTAAATTTTTTTTGCAGTGCACATCTGTTGGTGTTGAGCTCTTTCAACTCTTATGTGCATAAAAAAGTGTTCATTGAAACCTCATATTTATAGGGTATTTTCTCTGGGTATAGAATTATTGCTTGATGTTGTGTTGATTTGTTGTTGATTTTAAGACTTTAGATATATCTATCCTCTGGTCTACATTTTTTTTTCATAGCAATCTTGTGTTGTCCTTTTCTTTGTTTTTCAGTAAGTAAGTTATTCTTATATATTTGGCTGTTCTAAAGACGTTTTTTCTTTGCCGTTGGTTTTGAGCAACGTGATTAGAATGTTCATTGGTGTATATTGTTTTCTTTTTATGATTTTGATTGACCTTATTGGATCTGTCAATTTATAGCATTTATCAAATTTGTAAAATGTGGTGGCAAACATCTCAGCTAAAATTTTTCCATTCCCTCTCCCCTCCTTTGGAGACTCCATCTGCATGTAAATTAGACTACTTGAAGTTGTCCCACTGATCATTGGTGCTTTGTGCATTTTTTAAAAGTGCTTTTCTACCTGTATTTCATTTTTAATAACTTCTGTTGCTATGTTGTCAAGTTAACTAAACTTACTTTTATAATATCTAGTCTTACATCAAACCCAACCATTATATTTTTCATCTCAATCATTCTAGTTTTCATCTCTAGCAATGAGATTTGGCTCTTTTCCAAAAGATTTTCTGTGTACACAGAAGATCTCTATTTTAACATGTTAAATCAGACTTATAGCTTTTTGAATTTGTAAAATGCAGTTACAATAACTTTTATAATGTTAATCTGAGAAGTATTCCATTTGTTTCAGTTTTGTGTTGGTTTCGATTGATCAACGTTTCTCCTCTTTATGGGTCATATTTTCCTGCTTCTATTCATGTCTGATAATTATTTTTACATTGATAACATTAGTCTTGCCTTGCTGGGTGGTGTATATATAAATGTTCTTGTGCTTTTTTTCCTGGACTTGTTCAAACTACTTGTAATAGTTGAATTCTTTTTTGTCCTTCTTCTAATATTATTTTATTTGTGACAAGAGCAACAATTTTCCTAGGGCTTATTTCTTCCTCTTACTGATGAAAGTTCTTCTGAATACTACCAATTTCTGCATAAATTATGAGGCTTTCCAATGACTGGTTTACAGGCACTATTCCTGCATTCTGTGAGCTTTACATGTTATTCCTTTAGGTATTATTCCTTCTAGTTCATTTGGGTGGCTTTTTCCTATGGCCTCTCGTAGCCCCATGTGTACTGAGAAGTACTATGCTTAATATTCAAAATGGATCCTCTGCAAACCCCCTGAGGTTTTTTTCTGTTTAGCTTTAAATTCATGAGTACTCTTCCCTGGAAACTATGGCTTTCTTTGTCTCCTTGAACTGACAGTGTTGTCTCCTCAACTCAGAGCACCCATTGGTCTCTGCCTGGTTTTCCCCTCCCTGCAGTACACTCTGCGAACTTTCTCAAGGCAGAATGACTTGGTAATTGCTGGGATTCTTTCATTCGTTTCTTATTAATCAGGAAAAGATGTCTTATCGCTTGATCCCCAGTGTCCTGAATACAGTTATTTAGTACATTTTGTCTGATTATTTGATTGGTTCAGGTGAAGGGGTAAAATTCTTGTAAGGTTACTCCATTTAATCCAGAAGCAAAAGTCTATTTCAGTCCTAAATAATAGAAATGCATAGAATGAACCTACTAAAAACTAAATGCATATACAAACTCAGCACAAACCTTGAAACTGGACTTGCTGTGTTTAAATCTTGGCTACATCAATGTAACTGCAGACAATTTTCAAGAATTCATATCACTCACTTACTCATATATAAAATTAGGGTGATAAGAGTAGCTACTTTACTAAGTTAATATTAAGATTAAATGTGTTAGTGTATATGAAGTGCTTATAGTACTGCTTGTTTCTTGGTAAACCCTCAGTAAGCACTAGTTTCTATTAATTACTGTTATGTAGCTGTAAGATGCAATTTTTTATTATTATTACTTAAAGGGAGAAAGTACAATAAGGCCTCCTTAAGCACTAGACTGAGGAAATGAAATGCATTGGTAACTAAGGTTACTCTCTTTCTTTCTGTTAATGGATGTTCCTTATCTCTGCTTCTTTCAGGATCTTCTTCATTCTCACCTTTCCCTTTGTAAAGCAACTTTCTCTGCTTCTGCTGATGTATGTGGCTAATATTCAGTTGCTGAATTTCTATGTGCTCTTGTCAAGAAATTGGCTTATTTTGTTGACTGCATTGAAAAAATACAATAGCTGACTGTGTGGGAGGAAAATTATTAGAAAAGGAATATTGTGAACTAGACAGGTGTTTACCGTAGGGAAAAAAACATTCTAGTCAGGATTGAAAAATACACATGAGGATCATACATGTAAATCTTTGTTTAAGGGACTAGAATACTGTTTCAAAGATTTTGCTTTGAAGGGGGTAAAAGAGAAAAGCTTAACAGGTGAATTGGGAATAATTTAGGAGAGAAAACCACAGAGGCGAGAAACTGTGCTCTCTGTCTACTTAACAAATACCTCTCTCCTTTTGGTATTCAGTGAATCTCACTGTGAGTGAATAGGTGTCACTTCAGTAAAGCCCTGTTTCTAACTAGCTGTCTGCTATTTCATATGAGTGAAAGAATTTCATGAATAGTAATTAATACATGGGAAAAGTTAGTCATGATTTTTTAATTATAAAAGAGATCAAATTTTCTTCCATTATTTGGTTAAAAATATTGTTGATCGCTATTTTAGAAGAGAAATGAGCTTTCTTTAGTTAATGTCTAAAAAAATAATTTCAGTGAGGGCCAAAGAATGTTAATTAGTCTTGGTGGTGTATGTATTAAGCTCTGTATTTTTTAAAACAGAAGTCTTTTTAGACAACATGCTTATAAGTACACATCTAAATGTTATTACAATCTTTTTGATACATTTGGGTCTGACCCAGTGCAGTCCTAGTGGTGGTGGCCACAGGAGTGCTTGTGTGACCCCTACCTTAGTACCAGGCAGCTCAGCAAAAAGAAGGAAGCTCCAACTGTTTTGAGGGAAAGTAAGGGAAAAGAACAAGAGTCTATGCTTATTAATTCACAGTATTCTCCTGGATATTACCTAAGACCACCAAGGCAGTGCCTCTATGAGTCTGTAAGACTCACAGCATTACTGGGTTCGAGGTATCCCCTGATGCAAGTAAAGCTGCAGTGGCCAAAGACTTAGATCACAACACTAAATTCCCTTTGAATACTTGGAAAGTCTTCCCAAGAAGGATAGGTACTAACAAGCCAAGGTGATGAAGGCTACAATAAATACCTTACTCTCCAGTGCCCATGCATTCACCAACATACACAAGCATCAAGATCATCCAGAAAACCATGACCTTACTCAACAAATTAAATCAGGCACTAGTGGTCAATCCTGGATTGACAGAGATATGTGACCTTTCAGACAGAGAATTCAAACTAGCTGTTTTGAGGAAGCTCAACAAAATTTAAGATAACACAGAAAGGAAACTTAGAATCCTGTGAGATAAAATTAACAAAGAGATTGAAATATTTTAAAAGAATCAAGCAAAAATTCTGAAGCCGAAACATTCAGTTGACATACTGAAGAATGCATCAATCTCTCAGCAGCAGAATGGATCAAGCAGAAGAAAGTAGTGAGCTTAAAGACAGGATCTTTGAAAAAACATAGAGGAAATAAAAAAGAATAAAGCACATTTACAACATCTAGAAAATCGTCTCAATGTGACAACTCTAAGAGGTACTAATTATAAAGAGAAAAAGACAGAGATTGGGATAGAAGGTTTATTCAAAGGGATAATAACAGAGAACTCTGCAAACCTAGAGAAAGATATCAATATTCAAGTACAGTAAGGTTATTGAACATCAAGCAGGTTTAACCCAAATAAGACTACTTCAAGGCATTTAATAATCAAATTCCCGATGGTTAGGGATGAAGAAAAGATCCTAGAAGCATCCAGAAAAAAGAAACAAGTAACATACAAAGAAGGTCCAATATGTCTGGCCTCAGACTTCTCAGAACAAATCTCCTAGGCCAGAAAAGAGTGGCATGACATATTTAAGATGCTGAAGAGAATAAACAAAAGAACCTTCATTCTAGAACTGTATATCCAGTGAAAATATCCTTCAAACATAGAAGAGAAATTAGCCCTTTCCCAGACAAACAAAATGCTGAGGGATTTCATCAACACAACACAAGACTTGTCCTACAAGAAATGCCATAGGGAGTTCTTCGCTCTAAAAGAAAATGTTAATGAGCAATAAGAAATCATCTGAATATACAAAATTCACTGTAGTAGTAAGCACACAGACTATTACAACACTGTAATTGTGTTGTGAAAACTACTAATATTTTGAATAAAAAGACTAAATGAGGAACTGATCAAAAACAGTAGCTACAACAACTTTTTAAGACATAGTACAGTAAAATGTAAATAGAAACAATGAAACATTAAAAAACAGAGGGAAGAAGTTAAAATGTTGAGTTTTTTTTTTTAGTTTTCTCTTTGCTTTTTTGTTTGTTATTTGCTTTTGCAATCTGTGTTGTCATCAGTTTAAAATGATGGGTTAAGGATGTTATTTGCAAGCCTCGCAATAACCTAAAACAACAAAAAAATACCTAAAACAGATACCCAGAAAATAAAAAGCAAGAAATTAGAACATACTACCAGAGAAAATCACCTCATAAAAAGAAAGACAGAAGGACTAAATTAAGGAAAGAAGGAAGGTAGAAAGAAAGGAAGGAAGGCAAAAAGGAAGGAAGGAAGGAAGGAAAAGAAGATCACAATATAACCAGGAGACAAATTATAAAATGACAGTAGTAAGTCCTTACTTCTCAATAATTACATTGCATGTAAATGGACTAAAATCTCCAATAAGAAGACATAGAGTGGCTTACTGGATAAAACATACAAGACCCAATAGTGTATTGCCTACATGAAGCACACTTCACTTATAAAGTGATATATAGACTGAAAATAAAGGGATGGAAAAAGATATTCCATGCAAATGGAAACCAAAAAGAACAAGAGTACATCTACTTATACGAGACAAAATAGATTTCAAGACCCTATTATAAATAGAGACAAAGAAAGGCATTATGTAATGATAAAGGGGTCAGTTCAGCAAAAGGTTGTAATAATTTTAAATATGTATGCACCCAACACTGGAGATCCTGAATATATAAAGCAAATATTATTAGACATAGGCAGGGAGATGGACTCCATTACAGTAATAGCTGAAGACTCCAACACCCCACTTTCAGCAGTGGACAGATCATTCAGACAGAAAATAAACAATGAAATATTGGATTTAATCTGCCCTATAGAGCAAAAGGACCTAATAAATATTTAAAGAATATTTTATCCAAAGACTAGAGATGATAAATTCTTCTCCTCAGCACATGACTCATTCTCAAAGATTGACTATATGTTAGGACAAAAACAAGTCTTAAAAAAATCATAAAAATGAATTCATGTTAAGTATCTTCTTTCACCACAATGGAATGAAACTAGATATCAATAACAAGATGAACTTTAGAAACTCTAAAAGCAAATGGAAATTAAACAATATGCTTCTGAATGACTCAGGGTTTCAATGAAAAAAAATTGAGAAAGAAATTTTAAAATGTCTAGAAAAAAATGAAAATGAAAATACCAACATATCAAAACCTATGGGATAAAGCAAAAGCAGCACTGAAAGGAAATTTATATCAATAAGCACCTACATCAAAAATGCAGAAAAACTTTAAATAAACAACCTAATAATGCATCTTAAAGAAATAGAATGGCAAAAGCAAACAAAACACTAAATTTGTGAAATAAAAGTAATGACATAATCAGAGCAGGAATAAACAAAAATTTGTTTTTTGAAGAGATAAATGACAGACAATCATTTACTCAGACTAAGAAAGAGACAAGACCCAAGTAAATAAATTCACTATTAATTCAGAGCATTAATGAAGACTACATTCTCCATTAGTGTAGTCTTCATTAATTTTTCTTTCAACTCACAGTTAAAAAAGGAGACATTATAACTGATACTACAGAAATTCAAAAGATTATCAGAGACCACTATGAGCAACTATATGCCAATAAATTGGAAAACCTAGAAGAAATGAATAATTTCCTAGATACATACAGCATACCAAGACTGAACCATGAAAAAATCTAAAACCTGAATAGATCAGTAACAAGTGATTGCAATCTACAGATTCAATGCAATCCCTATCAAAATACCAATGACATTCTTCACATAAATAGCATAAATAATCCTAACATTCATATAGAGCCACAAAAGACCCAGAGTAGCCAAAGCCATCCTGAGCAAAAGATCAAAGCTGCAGGAATCACATTATCTGAGTTCAAATTATACTGCAGAGCTATAGTACACAAAACAGCATGGTGCTGACTTAAAAAGAGACAGATAGACCAATGAAACAGAATAGAGAACCCAGAAGTAAATCCATACATGTACAGTGAACTTAATTTCAACAAAGGTGCTGGTAATATACATTGGGGGAAGGTATCTTCAATAGATGGTGCTGGGATTACTGAATATCCATATGCGGAAGACATTTCCTATCTCTCACCATGTACAAAAATCAAATAAAAATCTATTAAAGATTTAAATCTAAGACCATAAACTGTGAACCTACTGAAAGGAAACATTGGGAAATCCCTCAAGGACATTGGTCTGGGCAAACATTTCTTGAGTAATACATCAAAAGCACAGGCAGCCAAAGCAAAAATGGATAAATGAGATCACATCAAGTTAAAAAATTTCTTTAACTTTGTTAGCAAAGGAAACAATCAATAAAGTGAAGAGACAACCCACAGAATGGGAGAAAATATTTGCAAACTATCCATCTGACAAGGGATTAATAACCAGAATATGTAAGGCAGTGAAACAACTCAATAGGAAAAAAATCTAATAATCCTACTAAAGTATGGGCAAAAGATCTGAATAGATATTTTTCAAAAGAAATATACAAATAACAAACAGGTATATGAAAAGGTGCTAAACATCATTTATCATCAGAGAACTGCAAATCAAATCAGTACTACAATCAAATCAGTAGTTTCACAATGTGGTTTTGAACCATTCTTCAGGGAAGCTGACTGATGTGGTATTTGAAACTTTTATAGGAATAAAGATTACTTTGAGTATACTCCATTAGGAAATAAAGCTCACTTCTCTTTTTGCATCACTCTCAGCACAATTTTTGCAAAGAAAAATATTCGAAAAATACTTACCAGCTAAATAAATGGTAATATTAATTCCTCATACACCACAATAGACTTGAGGAAGGGGATAGAGTGGTGCATTCTTCACTACTGTAGATAATGCAAGTGTCATTTTCATTTGTCTTGAGGTTATTGATCTTATTAATAGATCACCATTTACATATGAATTAATCTAAATTTTGAAGCAGTTTGGCATTGTCTTTATGAAGAATTGATTATCCACCAACTGGTAGCAACACCTTGCAAAACTCCATTAACATCCTCCAACATATCAGCAAATATGGGGCCCTTTAATCCTGTAGGTAGGATTCACAGGTCAGGGAATCAAGGGATTGAAAGAAGAATAATTCCTCTCACTCTTATCCCTATTGATATACTTGCAAAATTTTTACTTCCTTGTTGAGCAACTTTAGGGTCTGCATTTTTAAGGGATGAATGCTTTTAGCAGGAGAAACATCAATGGATTCGCTAAACTGAAGTTTAAGACTGCCGCTGGGCTACTTTGGATTCTTTAGGCCAGTAAATAAGGAAGCAGAAAAGGGGGTTGCTGTACTGATGGTGGTGACTGATCTTGACTATCACAGTGAGAATTTGATGGTTCTATACACTAATGATGAGAAGAAATATAACTGTAATGCAAAAGGTCCCCTAGGCTGTTTCTTAGTACTTTGATGTGCATAATTAAAATAAAGGGAGAACTACAGTTACCAAATACAGGTAGGTACCACGATGATCCATACATTTCAGGAAGGAAGCACAGAAAAAAATGCTATATGATCTCACTTTTGCATGGGATCTAAAAAAAGTTGATTTCGTAGAAACAGAGTGTAGAAATGTGGCTAGCAGAGGCTATTGTCTTTATTTGAATGTTCAGTATTGATAAAATAAATGTATATGGATTCAAGTTGACAAAAGATGGGCTGTGGTAGGTTTGTATTGGGTAAACTTAGATAAGGTGGCACTCTGCTTCCTAGAATTCCCTTCTCCACATTGCTCACTGTTGGTATGGGCCACAGGAGACATGGCACACAAGATGAGGAAGGTAGGGGAATGGCGGCAGCCATCTTGTTACATGTACACAAGTAGTTGTTGAAGCCTGTGCAATATGGTCATTAACTTGTTTCTTTTGATGTGGGATAGCAGCTTCTCCAGCAGCAACATCAGATCATAGCAGATTTTCCCCGTTCAGTTCTACAATTTTTGGCTGAGGTTTGTGTTCAGCTATTTGAGGAAGGGTGCCAGTATTTCCTGTTAAACACTGACATTTCCAAAGTGGGAAGATAGGAGGTGGTAAAACACGTTGTAATTTGTCTTCATAGATTCCAGTCTATCTTTTGGTTTCTTGCCCATTTTCACAGGTTGCAACTGGTTCTTGTCTGCCTCACTTCACGTCCACCTTACCTTTCTGACTGACTGCCTTGCTATCTTCAGAATCTAACACCAGGTACAGAAGCAAAAGCCTCACACAAACTGGTTAACCAGATCCTACAATCCTGCAAACCCAAATCCCCGTAACAACCATTTTATTGTAGGGATGTGTATATATTTGAGTCAGTGCATGTACCCTGGTGACTCTGCTTTTCCAAATGAACTCTGACTGATATGTATTGCTATCTTATTGGAGGTGACAAGGGAACACTTTGCTGTTATCATGAAATCTGAGTATAGTAAACAAATGCATAATGAATGCAAAGGATTTAATGTAGATGTGTGCTTAGTGTTTTGGAAGTGCGAGGAAGCTAAAGTGGCTGTCACAGAGTAGATCAAGGAGCAGTAGATGAGGTCAAAATGTAGCCAGGGAAAATTTGATGTATTTGCTTTTTGGATGTGCTCGGTAGTTTGGTTTTACCCTGAGTGAAACTGAAAGTCACTCAAGGATGCTGAGCAAAAGAATGGCCTTATCACATGCATTTTAAAAGGCTTCATGAAGAAGACTTTCACTTCTTAAGATAGAAATCCTTGTAGGAGACAAGACTTATATCATGAAAAACTAGAAAAATCAGTTACAAACAACAACAACAAACTATGATCTCAGAGAGAAAAAAAACTTCATAGAGTGAAAATGACCTTCTGCCATTTTCACTGAAGATATTTGACAGATTCTTCAGCTGCAGGGCATGAGGATAAAATGCAAGGCACCACTAAAAAGCAGAATAGATATATGACTGTCTTATGATAATGAAGTAGGTCCTGCACCTCGCCCCCATAAAAGGGCACTATTAAACATTGCAAGCTCTCTGCTGGAATTTCTAGAGTTCCGTGAATCAGATGGAAACAAACTTTGCAAAGTTCTTACTAGACGACGAGGTGAACTATTCCTGCCATAACATAAA
Source organism: Homo sapiens (assembly GCF_000001405.40). Taxonomy (NCBI): domain Eukaryota; kingdom Metazoa; phylum Chordata; class Mammalia; order Primates; family Hominidae; genus Homo; species Homo sapiens. The sequence continues at coordinate 43,867,645 of NC_000004.12, read as the reverse complement.
ATCATGTAGATTCTCAAAAATTTTCATAAACAATGCTCAGTGTTTAATCAAGAATTGTGGTGAGGCACAGTGGCTCACACCTGTAATCCCAGCACTTTGGGAGGTCAAGGCAGTCTGATCAACTGAGGTCAGGAGTTCGAGACCAGCCTCGCCAACATGGTGAAACCCCGTCTCTACTAAATAATACAAAAATTAGCCGGGTGTGGTGGTACGTGCATGTAGTCCCAGCTACTCAGGAGTCTGAGGCAGAAGAATCACTTGAACCCGGGAGGCTGAGGTTGCAGTGAGCCGAGATGGCGCCACTGCACTCCAGCCTGGGCAACAGAGCGAGACTCCATCTCAAAAATAAATAAGTAAACAAACAAACAATTGTAAGGCGTATCTAGAAATAGAAGCCAAGAAATAAAAAGCAGACAAAAGAATCAGATTCCTACAGGACCCAGTTGTTAGACTTACAGTGTACGAATTTAAAAATAATTGTGAAATTTTATGTTCAAAAAAATAGATTGTAAGTGGAAGAATTACACAATTTTAAAAAAACTATTATTTTTTAAAAATTAAATTTTTACAACAGAAAAAAATGTTACAGTTAAAATTAAAATTAAGATCCTGATAAAGGATTTACCAGAAGATTAAGCACAGGAAGAGAGGGTTACTCAACATGATCGTAAGACAAGTTGAAATGTTCAGGTGGAAGTCTGAAGAATTAAGAAGATAGAAAATACTGAAACGAGTATAAGAGACCTTACAGACATGATGAAAACTTCTAACATTTGCATATTTTGGAGTCACAAATTATTGAGTAGAAGCAGTGTTTGAAAGATAAGGGCTCTGGGAGAATTTTTTCCAAGCTGATTCAACCATCAAGCCACAGATTAAAAGGATCCCTCTCACAGTCATGTGTGGGACCGATATGACAGAAAGGAGACCAGTTATTGCCCACCTCAAAGTTCTAGGTAAAAAAATTATGTGACTAGGTCAGTTGTAATGGTGTGGAGGTAGTGAAAAGCAGGCAGATTCTGGATATATTTCAAAGCAGAGCAGGAAGGATTTGCTGACAGATTAGGGTATTAGGTGTGGAGAAAAGGATGACACCAGCTTGAGCATGAAAAAATTGAATTACCTTCACTGAGATGGGGACAATTACAGGATGATCAAACAGGGGTTGGGAAGGTTGGGAAGAAAAATAAGTCACAGATAAACGGTAGGAATTCTATTAAGAAGAGGCAGCATTGTTCAAAATCACTAGCCGCACAATACAATGATATACAATAGTTTCAGTCATTTTAAGCACCTGTGGTCATAAAATAATCAGGGAGACAGAGAGTTCAATACTTTTCTAAAGTAATGAATTAGAGGAGAAAAAAACACAATCTAGAAATCTATAGGTAAGTTTTGAATTGTGTTTGTTCTTATTAAAAAGTCATTAATTTTTTTCTCACTCTTAGCTGCTTATAGAATTTACCTACTAAAACTTATCTGGTAATAGAATATGGATTGAAAATTCTTTACCCTACAAAGATGATGATATTATTTTTTCTGACATTTACAGAATTCTGCTACTTATCTAATTGACATTTCTTGGGAATCTGTTTTCTACTTTATTATTTTTATATTCAATGCAATGTCATTTTATTAAAATGTTCCCATTTAGGATACAATTTATTTTTTTGCTTTAGGGTTGGAATAATCCTCATGGTGTTTTTGTTCTTTATATGATTTTAATGTTTAATTGTGATCTCATTTTTTCTCTCTCTCTGTGTGTGTGTGTGTGTATGTGTGTGTGTATGCCTGTATGTGTTTTAATTAGTAGGAATACTGGGAGCCTAAGTTTAATAAGAACTTATAAAGATTGCGTTGCAATCACAGGATTAAAAGAAAAACTGATGATGAAGGTTAGAAAAGGGTGAGAATTAAATATTTATCTTTTCATGGTCCTGAGGAATTAATTCTGTAATTCTGTCCAACACTTTTGCCATTGTATCTTTCCACCTTTGACCCAAATCCCAGGAGTCACATGGTCACCCTTAAGCCAGAGGAGTATAAAGTCTTAATTGATATTCCCAGCAAGACTACATGAGACCAGAGAGGGGGAATACAGTAGCAAAACAAACAAACACAAAGGGAACTTCATGTTGCTTATTAAACATGGTTTAAGTAATCATAAACATAGTTTAACAATGACAAGGGAAAGAAAAATCCTGTTTACCTCCTTTTAGTTCATATTAGGCAAGAGGATAATTAATATACCTTAAAGTATATAATTTAGGCAGACAGAGCTTCTACTCTTAAACTTCCAAGAAAATGTAATACTTCAGAAATCCAAGCAGAGGTGATGATGTTCTGAATAATAAAGAGTTGATCACTGAAATATGACAAATATCAAAAGTTTGCACTAAGTATATGGTTGAGGAAAACATAATTGGGGAATGGTGTATAATTTGATATAGTGTCTGAGAAACAGAAACTAATGAAGCTGGTTGAGAAACAGGGAATGATTGAAGTTGTCTGAGGTATCAAACCTGGATGATAACAAGGATGGAGGAATAACTATTTAAGGAGTAATACTGAAAAGAAAAAAACCAGTTTTGTCGTCATTCCTGTGCATGTTTCTGTAAAAGTGAAAGAGACAGGGAGGGACAGAGAGAAAGCAGTAAATGTGTGTATAGTTTTTGATGGTGAGAGAAGAGTGGGTGCATTGGCAGAGATGAATATTTAGATTCGGATATATTAAAATTGAGAGTTTTCTGTGGTAGCCATAAGAAATTTAACAGTCACTTCAGAATTAAACCTTTATGACTGTATTGTCTAATACTGTACCCACTAGCCACGTGTGGCCATTTAAATTTAAAATTTGGTTTCTTAGCTGCACTAACCACATAGTACGTGCTCAAAAGCCACATATACTTAGTGGATACTCTGAACAGTGTGGATAGAAACAATTTCTAACATTATAGAAAGTTCTATTAACCAGCGCTACTGTAGAATTAAGGATGAGTTCAAAAGAAGAGATTTAGTAGAGCATATCATTGACAGAGATGCACTTGAAACATTAAAAAACAAAAAATCTGAAAGTATTCTCAAACAAGAGAGCCAATGAAAAATGTTTTTGAATTTCATATATCAGTAAAAGTACTTTGTAAAAATGCTAAAAAGCTATATATACGTAAACTGTATATATATAAATTATTACTCTCACTTATGCTTAAAGGGTGTTAGAGAAAGAGGAGTCAAGAAGAAGGAGAAAAAATACCTTTTTCAAGTTAAATCTAATTAAAATAGACATAAGATGATGCAAGATCTAATCAAATTAAATGATATTTTTAGAGGTCTTATTTTGTAGAAGTTTAAATTTGTACTATTACTCAGAAAATTCAGAATGGACTTGAAACTCTTGATTGAAAATAAAATTACATATTTTAACACAGAAGAAGGCCCTGCCTGTGCTTTCATAGTCCTTTTTTTTGAGTATATTTTTTCAGTGTCAATAAAGATTTGAGACATTTTCTCTAGATTTTGGTAATCTATAAATTAAGAAATTGTCTCAGAGATTACAATGAGTACAATAAGGCACCCAAGTTGATTTTCATTTTTCAGTGAGCTACTTCTTAGATTCTGAAACTACTTTTTATACTGGGCTCATGTTAAAAACCAAGTGTAGATGGACTAATCTAATTCAAAGACTAAAATTTTCATATTTTGCTAATAAATTAAAAAATATAACTTATCTAATAACAGCTTTTGCTTTTTTAAAGCATGTAAATATGACCCAAATTGTTTGTGAGGGTGTATGTGTTTGTGTGTTGTGTTAATTAGGAAATAACTTTGCATTCAAAAATATTTTTAAGTGAAAGTTCAAAAATTGAGAATTATAAGTAATGTAAATTAAAATAGTTCTTTTTTCTGATGTCAAGATAAGCAATGGATATTTTCTCAATGGTGTTTTTGTTTTTTCTTCTCTGCCCATCAATGTTAAACATACACCATGATTTCTACTTTATATTTTCTTTTTTGGTTGTCAAATTGTCACATTTAAATCTCTTTTTTGCATTGGATTTTTCTTTTTTTTTAAAAAAATATTTTATTTGTATTTTTAAGGAATGAGATCTTGCTGTGCTTCGCGGATTTGAGTGCAGTTGCTACCCACAAGCATGATCCCACTACTGATCAGTATCAGAGTTTTGTTCTGCTCCAGTTCCAACCTGGACCACTTCATGCCTCCTGCGGCAACCTGGTGGTCCTCCAGCTCCCCACAGGGTCACCATGTTAATGCTGAATTTAGTGTGGACATCTGATCAGCATAGTGCTCTACAGCCCAGAACTCCTGGGACTATAGGCATCTTCCATTGCATCTGCTGAACTCCCCTTTGATGTTAGTTATTTTTATTTGATTCCAGCTTTTTTTTTTTGAAGAGAATATATCCAGATCTCCCAAACCTCCTTTGCCTCCCTACATCAATTCAATACCAAGTCTTTGCATTTGGTAGTTGACGTTGCATAAATCCTGTGCCAGATGTAGTAGTTATTGCTGTAAGCCCCATCTATATATAGATTAATTTAAATGTTAATGCTCTATACAGTGTCGTATTCTCTTAAGATAGACTGTCTCAAAGTGTAAATTTATGTTTTATATGTGACCTAATAATCCAGTTATCTTGACTGCTCATTAGTGTTAGCTAAAATAAAGAGAATATAAAATACTTTCCCACTACTCATTTTTATATGGAGTCAGAACCCTATTTGAAATGAACAAAATGTACATTATATAGTCTACATAAATTGAACAAAAATTAAAACATAAAACATCTTAATAATTTTTAAAACAGATCTTCATATTTTCTCATTCTGATTGTTTTTGTGTGTGTGTAGTTAAATGCATCCACATTTGTTTTTGCTTGTTAGTGATAACTCATGTGTCTAGCCTTTAACTTCTGGTGTGAGAGAGATTTAGGCTTCTCTCTATGGTAACAGTATTAGTTCCTGCTGCTGCTACAGATGTAAGAGACCACAGCTGTGTAGTGCAATGAATTTCCCTGAATGAATTTCCAATTAAAGGACAACTCTTGACTACTTCTCCTAAATTTAGTTTGTTGACTCTTGAAGCTAGACTTAATATTATTTCTAATTTTGTTTCAATAGTTAAGTTTCTTAATGCATCTCTACAACAATTTTTATAGTCAGTATTTGATATAGCCAGCACTTTTTAAAATAAACCATGGCTCTATTTACAGACATTAGCTTTTAAATTTATTTTAACTAAACTTATGTACTTTAAATGGAAATAATGTTAATTTCCACAATGTTCAATGTGCATAGTAGAGTGATAGGTACTACACTGTAAGTATTTGGGAAATGAACATTCTTTGCTGGGAGAAGTGTAGATACTTTCCCAAATCTTAGGTAAAAACTTGTAAAGGATTTATACTTCTTTTAAAAACTGTTTTGGAAAATATTACTTCCTAACCAATAAACATAATATGCCTCATCCTCTCTCCCTAAATATCTTTATATACCTTTCATTGAAATAATTTAGATTTCTGGGTTTTCCAACCGGTGGGGTACAATTTATTAACTAGGTAATCTTAAACAATTCTTGTCAGGAGCATGGAGATAATAATAGGTACCCTGCAGAACTACAATTGAAAAGATTTAAAAAAAAACAATTCATAAGCCATCTAACAAAATCCTTGAGGATAATGCATAGTAAATGTCATTTCCCTTCCCTTACCCCTAACACTGTCATTTCAGGGAAGATATAAAATTGTGCATAAACTTAATAGGAAACATGAAAAGGCAGCTTCCCCAAAGACCAGCATTCATGTCAACGCACTGACGTTTGAAATCATCTTTTGGTCATCTACTAGATTATAGGTTCTGTGGAGGCAGATTTAGCGGGTTACTCTTTCTGTAGTCAGGAACCACTCCCTAGCACAGATCCTTACCCATGTAAGAACAATAAAATGTGTTCCCAGAAGTAATCAAACTCTCATGCCCAGAATGCTTGTGGATATTAATTTATATGTTTAAAGTTGTAATAACTAGCAAGGCTATAAACAAACATGTGAATTAAAGGTAACTCTTCCTCCAGAATTGTTGTCTTAAATTTCTATTCCTAGCTCAGTTGTCTTCCTGATAGCACCAGAAGTGTCCTCTGAGACACATCTACATTGCAAAACTTTAAAACTGGAAATGTAAGTATGGCATAAGTGCCTCCACCACTCCGCAACAGCACTCCTTTACCTACACCTGTTGAAATTTCATAATCTTTCTTGCCTCAGCACTTCAACCACAAACAATGTTTATATTTGTCTTATATTCTAAAAGATCAAAAATGGAATTGCTACCTCTAAATGATTATTTCTCAGGGTTCTAGAAGCTGTATGATTAAATATCAAGAAAGGCATCATTATATACTTGTCTTAGTTCATTCATCCTGCTGTAACAAAATATGTTAGACTGGGTAATTTATAATGATAGAAATGTATTTCTCATACTTCTGGAGGATGGGAAGCCCAAGATCAAGGTACTGGCAGATTTGGTGTATGGTGAGGGCTTAGTCTCTGCTTCCAAGTTGGTGTCTTGTTGCTGCATCTACAGAGGGGACACCCACTGTATCATTACATGGCAGAAGGGTGGAAGGAAAAAAGGGCAAAAGAGGCCTAGCTAGTTCCCACCAGCCCTTTTATAAGGTTGCTAACCCCATCTATTTAGGTCTCTGCTTAATTACCTCCAAAAGGTTCACTTCTTAATACTGCTACATTGAAGATTAAATATCAACATGAATTTTGGAAGGAATGCAAACATTCAAATATTATCAATATTAAAAAATCAAGCTGCTCTGGTATCGAAAGGCCTCCATTTCTGCCCTAATTTTATCATTTGTAAGGTGAAATGTTTTCCAATATGAATTAGTTCCACTGTAGTTATAATATTTTATGATTCCTTGACTGAATCCGTGAAACACATCTTCAGCCTGGCTGCTTGTTTAATTTGGAATACACCTTTTCACCCATATCAATGCCTCTGTAAGGCATTGACCATGAGCTAGGAACAACTGGAGCCATTTTGGTGTTAAATTTTATCTTAGGCCAGATGCGGTGGCTCAGGCCTGTAATCTTAGCACTTTGGGAGGCCAAGGCGGGCAGATCTCTTGAGGGCAGGAGTTCGAGACCAGCCTAGCCAACATGGTGAAACCCCATCTCTACTAAAAATACAAAAATTATCTGGGGGTGGTGGCACATGCCTGTAATCCCAGCTACTCAGGAGGCTGAGGCAGGAGAATTACTGGAACCTGGGAGGCAGAGGCTGCAGTGAGCCGAGATCACATCACTGAACTCCACTCTGGGAGACAGAGCGAGACTCCATCAAACAACAACAACAACAACAACAACAACAAAATTTAGCTTAATGACACAGTTGGTATCTTAAAGTGTTATTAAGAGTTCAGGCCAACATAACAAACTGTCTCTCAGACCACAGTGCAATCAAATTAGAACTCAGGATTAATAAACTCACTCAAAACCATACAACTGCATGGAAACTGAACAACCTGCTCCTGAATGACTACTGGGTAAATAACAAAATGAAGGCAGAAATAAAGATGTTCTTTGAAACCAATGAGAACAAAGACACAACGTACCAGAATCTCTGGGACACATTTAAAGCAGTGTGTGGAGGGAAATTGATAGCACTAAATGCCAACAAGGGAAAGCAGTAAAGATCTAAAATCGACACCCTAACATCACAATTAAAAGTACTAGAGAAGCAAGAGCAAACAAATTCAAAGCTAGCAGAAGGCAAGAAATAACTAAGATCAGAGCAGAACTGAAGGAGATAGAGACATGAAAAACCCTTCAAAACAGTTAATGAATCCAGGAACTGGTTTTTTGAAAAGATAAACAAAATAGATAGACAGCTAGCAGGACTAATAAAGAGAAGAGAGAATAATCAAATAAACACAATAAAAAATGATAAAGGGGATATCACCACTGATCCCACAGAAATACAAACTACCATCAGAGAATACTATAAACACCTCTATGCAAATAAACTAGAAAATCTAGAAGAAATGGATAAATTCCTGGACACCTACACCCTCCCAAGACTAAACCGGAAGACGTTGAATATCTGAATAGACCAATAACAGGTTCTGAAATTGAGGCAATAATTAACAGCATACCAACCAAAAAAGTCCAGGACCAGAAGGATTCATAGTCGAATTCTACCAGAGGTACAAAGAGGAGCTGGAACCATTCCTTCTAAAACTATTTCAATCAATAGAAAAAGAGGGAAGCCTCCCTAACTCATTTTATGAGGCTAGCATCATCCTGATACCAAAGCCTGGTAGAGATACAACAAAAAAAGAGAATTTTAGACCAATATCCCTGATAAACATCAATGTGAAAATCCTCAATAAAATACTGGCAAACCGAATCCAGCATCCTATCAAAAAGCTTATCCACCATGATCAAGTTGGCTTCATCCCTGGGATACAAGACTGATTCAACTTCTGCAAATCAATAAATGTAATCCATCACATAAACAGAACAAACAACAAAAACCACATGATTATCTTCATAGATGCAGAAAAGGCCTTCGACAAAATTCAACAGCCCTTCATGCTAAAAACTCTCAATAAACAATAAACTAGGTATTGATGGAACGTATCTCAAAATAGTAAGAGCTATTTATGACAAACCCACAGCCAATATCATACTGAATGGGCAAACCTGGAAGCATTCCCTTTGAAAACCGGGGCAAAACAAGGATGCCCTCTCTCACCACTCCTATTCAACATCATGTTGGAAGTTCTGGCCAGGGCAATCAGGCAGGAGAAAGAAATAAAGGGTATTCAATTAGGAAAACAGGTAGTCAAATTGTCTCTGTTTGCAGATGACATGATTGTATAATTAGAAAACCCCACTGTCTCAGCCCAAAATCTCCTTAAGCTGATAATTAACTTCAAAAAAATCTCAGGATACAAAATCAATGTGCAAAAATCACAAGCATTCCTATACACCAATAATAGACAAACAGAGAGCCAAATCATGAGTGAACTCCCATTCACAATTACTACAAAGCAAATAAAATACCTAGGAATCCAACTTACAAGGGATGTGAAGGACCTCTTAAAGGAGAACTACTAACCACTGCTCAGCGAAACAAAAGAGGACACAAACAAATGGAAGAACATTCCATGCTCATGGATAGGAAGAATCAATATCGTGAAAATGGCCATACTGCCCAAGGTAATTTAGATTCAGTGCTATCCCTATTGAGCTACCACTGACTTTCTTCACAGAATTGGAAAAAGCTACTTTAAAGTTTACATGGAATCAAAAAAGAGCCCACATAGCCAAGTCAATCCTAAGCCAAAAGGAACAAAGCTGGAGGCATCATGCTACCTGACTTCAAACTATCCTACAAGGCTACAGTAACCAAAACAGCATGGTTCTGGTACCAAAACGGAGATGTAGACCAATGGAACAGAACAGACCCCTCAGAAATAATATCACACATCTACAACTATCTGATCTTTGACAAACCTGACAAAAACAAGAAATGGGGAAAGGATTCCCTATTTAATAAATGGTGCTGGGAAAACTGGCTAGCCCTATATAGAAAGCTGAAACTGGATCCCTTCCTTACACCGTATACAAAAATTAACTCAAGATGGATTAAAGACTTAAATGTGAGACCTAACACCCTAAAAACCCTAGAAGAAAACCTAGGCAATACCATTCAGGACACAGGCATGGGCAAAGACTTCATGACTAAAACACCAAAAGCAATGGCAACAAAAGCCAAAATAGACAAATGAGATCTAATTAAACTAAAGAGCTTCTGCACAGAAAAAGAAACTATCATCAGAGTGAACAGGCAACCTACAGAATGGGAGAAAACCTTTGCAATCTACCCATCTGACAAACAGCTAATATACAGAATCTACAAAGAAACTAAACAAATTTACAAGAAAAAAAAAACTCCTTCAAAAAGTGGGCAAAGGATATGAAAAGAAGCTTCTCAAAAGAAGACATTTATGCAGCCAAAAGACATATGAAAAAATGCTCATCATCACTGGCCATCAGAGAAATGCAAATCAAAACCAAAATGAGATACCATCTCATGCCAGTTAGAATGGTGATCATTAAAAAGTCAGGAAACAAGAGATGCTGGAGAGGATGTGGAGATATAGGAACGCTTTTACACTGTTCATGGGAGTGTAAATTAGTTCAACCATTGTGGAAGACAGTGTGGCGATTCCTCAAGGATCTAGAACTAGAAATACCATTTGACCCAGCCATCACATTACTGGGTATATATGCAAAGGATTATAAATCATGCTACTCTAAAGACATATGCACACGTATGTTTATTGTGGCAGTATTCACAATAGCAAGCAAAGACTTGGCACCAACCCAAATGTCTATCAGTGACAGACTGGATAAAGAAAATGTGGCACATATACACCATGGAATACTATGCAGCCATTAAAAATGATGAGTTCATGTCCTTTGCAGGGACATGGATGAAGCTGGAAACCATCATTCTGAGCTAACTATCACAAGGACAGAAAACCAAACACCACATGTTCTAACTCATAGGTGGGAATTGAACAATGAGAACACTTGGACATAGGAAGGGGAACATCACACACTGGGGCCTGTCGGGGGGTGCGGACTGGGGGAGGGATAGCATTAGGAGAAATACCTAATGTAAATGAAGAGTTGATAGGTGCAGCACACCAACATGGTGCATGTATACCTATGTAACAAATGTTGTGCACATGTACCCTAGAACTTAAAGTATTTTAAAAAAAAGAGTTCAGGCTGGGCACAGTGGCTCACACTTGTAATCTCAGCACTTCCGTAGGCCCAGGCTGGTGGATCACCTGAGGTCAAGAGTTCGAGACCAGCCTGGCCAACATGGTGAAACCCCATCTCTACTAAAATTAAAAAAAAAAATTAGCTGGGCATGGTGGCAGGTGCCTGTAATCCCAACTACTCAGGAGGCTGAGACAGGAGAATCCCTTGAACCTGGGAGGTGGAGGTTGCAGTGAGCTGAGATTGCCCCATTGTACTCCAGCCTGGAGGACAAGAGTGAAACTCCATCTCAAAAAAAAAAAAAAAAAAGAAAGAAAAAAGTCCAAATCCCTGAATATTGAAGCATTTTTTTTCCTGATAGCTCCATTTATGAATACAAAAGCAAGTTGGTAATTGGCCCAGACCACTTAATATGTTTTCTCAGTTATTCTCTAACAAGGAATTAAATATTCTAGTACATAGTCCATGGTCCCTTAATACTTTTAGAAATTCTGTAAGCTGCACATTTGGCACAAGATACTTTTCTCACTCACATAGAGAAGAGATTCTTTTAATGAGAAGGTGAATCATTTGTACATGACATATTTAATGAAAAGATCTAGAACAAGAGATAATGCATCTCTATATCCCCGTATTCTGATTATTCTACCTAATTAAATCAGAGAGAGGATTACGTAAGTCACTCCTACTTTAAAAGTATCATAGGATCTAAAATATCAGACAAAATGTCTTATTTTATTGAACTCATTTCTGAGATTGGTGGTAATAACTATTTTGTGTATAATTATATATAAAATATTATCAGTCTTATCCACTTGGGAATGAAAAAACATCATCTGCTGATAATTATTTCATAGGAATTGACTTTTTTATTGCTGATAGCCATGTCTTCAGAAGTTAGTGAGAAGGCAAAAGTAGGGTAGTGCCACATGAAGAGATTCCAGAAATACATTTAGTTAAGGGGGCCAATTTTCTGCCATTCTTTCACATCATTAGGTGGTCTCATAGTATGTGTCTAAGTGTTCTTCTGTCACATTTATATTCTGCAGATAAAAACGATTGTCAATTCCCTTGTAATTTGTCATCATTGTTTTCTTGAGAATTCAACTGTTGAAATTCTCCTAAATTTCACATTTAAAAAACAGTAGGAAATTTTTTCCTGTCTTTTTGTCACCTGTACTGATTTTTCGCATATGATTGGCAAAATGAAAATGAGCTTCCTTCAACTACTCACATGACCTGTGAGTCTGCTAATTCACATACAAGTTAACTCTGCAAATAAGACTCCCTGCTACTATGACAACAGTGGAATACTTCTTAACCTCCTCAACAAACAGCCATCTGTTCCAATTTTAAACCATTTGTTTCATTTCTCAATCACACCTTGACTATCTTCACAGTGCCAGGCACTGAAGTAGAAAATGAAACCACATAGTTGAATAAGGCATGTTAGGGTCCCATATTCAAGGAGTTTGCATTTTATCCAGTGGGCTATGAGGAATTGAAGGGGCCCTTAAAGCAATTTTAAACGAAGTTGAGTTAACATAGATGGAAGTATGAGTACTAAGCTGGAGATTGGGATGGGAGCAGGACAAAAGGCTGGATGTCAAGGCAAAAGACTGGTGAACATTGTGGGGGAAAAAAAAAAAAACTAGTCCTCAACAGAGGCAGTAGGCTTGAGTATGAAAAAGAGTTAATAGATTTAAGACATATTTTAGAATTGAATCAACAGAATTTTGGTGATTTCTTGAATGTAATGGACACTAATAATAAGTTTATAAAAGTATTCCTGGGTTTTCAAGAATAGGCAAATATGATATATTCAAGGATAATAGACCAATTGATTTTCGGTAATTTGGAAATAAATTTAGCCTTCTGTTGCAGTTGGTGATAGCAGTGTGCAGGGCTTTCATATAAGTTTTGTCTCCAAGAACCTGCTAACATTGAAATAACTACTATTCTTACCATCCTCTAAAAATATTAAAGAGGTATTTTATATAATACTGTAAATTCTTTGATTGACTGGGAGGCATAAGGTGCAGAGATGAGAGTATCTAAAATCATTACCGCTAACCATGGACAAAAAAATGGGTTCAAACCGGAAGGATGAAATCCAGAATCTGAAGTATACTACAGAAAGTTTAATGCAGGAGAAAAGTCAGAGGGTTGGAAATGACAGATATCATCACACTAGATGAAGCTAAAATTTTAATAGAATTATTCTGAATATAGCTACATTTTTAAGAAGTTAATATTCTAATAAGATGTGAACTTTGACAGAAAATAAGGTACATTTTTTTAAATGAATCAAATTTTCCATTTATTTTGATCATACATATTTTTAAAACCTAGTGTGTGGGCTTTTTCTATGGCGGGGTTTATTCTCTATGCTCTATATATGTTTATCTTTATTTACAGAGATAATGTTAATAAAAACAACATGTCAAGTGATGGCTTTACCAGATGGTTTTACTGACATGGATTTAAAAAGGGATTGATTTTGTGGGATAGACTGGATAAATACTTTTCATTTCTCCCCCTCTCCCACATCTTAATGTGTTCTCAGATCAACTACAAAAAGGAAATATGAGCTCCTTCACGAGAATTTTAACTTGGATAAATAAGAGTGGTTAATAAATCAAAACAACCTGACATTTATACAAAATTCCACTCAATTTATGTTTTTTGGCTTTAGTTCAAAAAGCACACGACTCTGCTGGGAGGATACTGTCTCCTCTAAACTGCAGCTCTTATCTTTTTTTACCTGGTGTAGGAGGAATCATCTGTGCTTCAATTCATTGCAAAATGTGCATCTCTCTCCCATTAACATCTGTTTCAGTCGGTTCTTGCCCTGCTGCTTATCGGGGCTGCCTGGTGTATTTCCAAAATGAAGAGTTGTGGTTTCCTCTTGCTATTTACTACCGGCAGTGAATTTAGGTAACAACACCTCTAACATGCCAAGAATCTTAGAAATTTTGCCTTAAAGAAATTTTAAATGTTGGCTATAGCAGAATATGATTGCTGTAGACTGAATGTGTGGGCTCTTCCGAAAATTGTATGTTGAAATCCTAACCCTCAATGTGAAGGCAGTAGGAGGTGAGGCCTTTGGTGGGTGATTAAGTTATGATGGCAGAGCCTTCATGAATGGGAGTAGCGCCTTTATTAAAGGGGCACTACAGAACTTCCTTGTCCTTTCCACCATGTGAGGACAAAGTGAGAAGCTGGCATCTATCAATCAGGAAGTGGGCCCTTGCCTAACACTGGATCTGCTGGCACCATTATCTTGGTGCTCCCAGTCTCCAGACCTATGAGAAGTAAATTTCTGTTGCTTATAAGCCGTCTATGGAATTTTTGTTATAGCACACCAAATAGACTAAGACAATGTTATACAGCAGGACTTCTCAAGGAGGAAAATAATCATGTATAGATCTGATCTCTGGTTATGTATTATGAGGCTTATGTTAATTTTTGTACTTTCCTACATGGCCACTGTGGTAGATTGATTACTTAATGGTTCTAATTTATAGCCTCCCTGCATCCAACATTTCCCCTGCAACTTTTAATTGCCTCCCATTTAGAATTCAGGATAGATTTTACTGTGACCACCAGAATGAAGCACAAGTGTTGAAATTCCATTTCTGAGCCAGGGCCTCAAAAGAGCCCACACACTTCTATTGTCTCTGTTCAGCCCCTGCCTGTGACATTATGAAAAAACCTGGGCTAACTTAGAGAATGTGAGACTGTATAGATCACAAATGAGAAAGTGAGGCCAAGATCATCCTAAATTAGCAAACCCTCAATTGATCTGCAAGCTGCCCACAGACAAATGAACAAGCTTAGCCACAATAAACTAAATGGAGCAGATCAGTAGCACCACTCAGCTAACCCAGACTCATAAACGAAAAGAAATGTTTATTGTCATATGCCATTGGAGTGTTTTGTTAGGTTGTTACACAGTATTGCTGTGGGAAAAAATAGGTCATGAAGCGACTTAGTAATGAATCCTGAATATTACTTGAGGTTTGTGATGGTGTGGGCCTGAAGAGGGACGACTTTGCATTTCATTTTAAGTATCATATATTAATAACACTATTGCTAAGAGTTAAACTTTGTCTTCCCTCTATTTTGTGTATCTCTAAAAGTCTCAGTACAAAATGAGACTGGGACTATGGAAAGCCCAAAATCTAAGATCTCTTGCATCAGGCAAATGTCCAGATCTTTGTTGAAGCCATTTGCCTCCTGATCTCCAGGGTTTTAATATTACTGCTAATATCTTGCTTTTCCAATTTCCCTTCAGTTTATTTATTTTGATGGATTATCTTATAGCCATGGGCTTTTGGACAAATTGCTACCAGCTGAAGTTAGCCCAGAGAAGTACAGGGACACTTTCTAAACTTTCTTGTTTATTCTACATAAATTTTATCTAAAAAGTACCAAAAATTATTAGGTATCAGCAAAAGTAAATATAGTTGACCCTTGAACAGCACAGGCTTAAAATGCATAGGTTCAGAAAATATGTAAATTTTCTTCCATCTCTACCACCCTGAGACAGTAAGACCAACCCTGCCTCTTCCTCCTCCTCAGCCTACTCAATATGAAGACGATGAAGATGAAAACCTTTATGACGACCCATTCCACTTAATGAATAGTACATTTATTTTCTCTTTCTTATGACTTTGTAAATAACATTCTCCTTTCTTCAATTTGCTTTATTGTAAAAATACAGTATGTAATACATATAACATACAAACTCTTTGTTAATTGAATGTTTACGTAATCCATAAGACTGTCAGTTAATAGTAGGTTATTAGTAGTTAAGTGTTTTGGGGAGTCAAACTTTATAAGTGTATTTTCAACTGATGTGGAGTTGTGACCCTAACCCCTGCATTACTCAAGGAACAACTGTGGTACATACATTTGAAAATCCAGATTTAAATGATCTTCATCATATTTTTAAACCAATGTAATTGAGATATATGCCATTATATTTTTAAGTAAATAACATTTTACTGTAGAATTATGTGTAAGATAGCACATAAAAAAAAGTAAATGCAGGTGTATGCCTCTTGTAGACTAATGAAATCTAATGCTCTCAAAAGTTGTGGCCTAACTTTTTTTCAGATACTGTATTTCTTATCATATATTTATCCTTAAATGTTCCACAAGTGGAAAAATCATATTAATATATAGCATGATAGAATTTCTGCTCCTTCTATTCTTTAGCAATGAATATTCTTAGACCTGGGTTACCATACACTCCGTCTATGCTCAATAAATACTTGAATGGATGATTTCATGTTGTGTCCTATTAGGCTAGGCATCATTATTCAGTTTGACTTTGGTGATAGCAATACCATTTAATACTGCAATCTTGGTAGTAGAATCACCTCTCTTTGTACCACAGAGGAGGGGAAGGTTAGTGGGACAGGTGTTATCATGTTTCCAGCTGGCTTTCCATCAATCTTGTAAGAAAGAGTCATCAATGTGGCAGAGCCTTTGGTGGCAGATGCCAAGTTCTTATCATGAATGACTGCAAGATGATGTCAGTTAAGGCAGCTATTTTGAGTTTCTTAAAGCCTGGTCTTTTATATACACAGGATCCTCTGGTGAGAACTGATAGTGAAAGGGTGTGCTTCTTTGTGTCCTTACCTGGTTGGGCAGAGTCTTTATGTTTTTATTTGTTTATTAAACAAAACATCTTATCCTTGTTGGCAAAGTGCCCTATGAGATGTAAAATCGAGTTTTTTTTCTAAGACGCTGTTAATTACCTCAGGGCTGCTGTATACAATCATCTCATCCTCACCTACAACTAAAAACTGAGCAGAAGATGAGATTGTTGGTGTATTGCATGTCTCAGTTTGCTGTATAGACAAGACACTAGAATAAACAAAAAGATGCCACATTGTGATTCGAAGCACAGGGATTGTGTTTTTTATAGGGGAGAAAAATGAGGCAGCTGAAAGTGAGAAGTTATAAAAAGTACATTACATGAAGTTATAAAAAGTACATTAAATAAGACTTTTGATAATTACCCAAAACCACATGGACATCTGCATTGTAAAGCATGGGAACTGGACAAGGAGGATATGAGGAAAGAAGGAAGGAGGTAAGCAGTAGGCTTACAATACATTTTTCTTTCTTTCTTTTTTTTTTTTTTTTTTGATGGAGTCTTGCTCTGTCGCCCAGGCTGGAGTGCAGTGGCATGATCTCTGCTCACTGCAATCTCCGCCTCCTGGGTTCAAGCGATTCTCTTGCCTCAGCCTCCAGAGTAGCTGGGATTACAGGTGCCCACCACCATGCCCGGCTAGTTTTTACATTTTTAGTAGAGACAGGGTTTTACCAAGTTGGCCAGGCTGTTCTTGAACTCCTGACCTCAGGTGATCTGCCCACCTCGGCCTCCCAAAGTGTTGGGATTACAGGCGTGAGCCGCCGTGCCCAGCCACAATACATTTTTCTATTATTACTAGACCAGTGCTCATGAAAAACAAACAAAAAGAAAAGAAATCAGGCAACTCAATCTAATCTCCTTGTAAACATGCTGAAAATTGACTTCATTGAACAGACTAATGCTATTTACAAGAAAGAAAGCCCTTGTCTATGAAATGCTTTTAGCAGGATGTTCTCAGTTTATGATTGCTTATGGTAAACATGAAGAATAAAAACCTACATGTAAGCTGCACACCATCTGGTATAAAAGTGAATGGAGATGTTTCATAACCTAAATGTACCCCGAAGCAAAAGTGTGAGTCCAATATAGTAAGGAAAAAACTGAAGAGATGCATTCATTGTGTCTAACCTCTCCCTGTGTACTCTGTGCCTTTCAATTGCTTGTATCTTAAAAATTATTGGTAAAGCTTGATCCTGGGTAAGATCTACAATTCGAGTGACTCTAGTTTAAAAATCTGATATCTTGTGCAGGAAGAGAAATAAGTTGTTGATTGCCTGTTCTGTTCACTAGTAGGCAGGTTTTCACTGCTAATATCTTCAGAAGGTAAGAACATTCTCTTGATTCCTAACTACCCCCACTCTTTCTGTCACTCCTCAATACTCTCCCTTTCAAGCACCACATTTTTCTCCCCTATAGAAAACACAATCCCTGTGCTTAGAATCACAATGTGGTGTCCTTTTGTTTATTCTAGTGTCTTGTCTATACAGCACCCTGAGACATGCAATACACCAATAATCTCATCTTCTGCTCAGTTTTTAGTCAAAGGTAAGGATGAGTGACTTCTGGACTGTGGTTCTGCTGGTTCTAAGTTGGGTGGCAGGGAAGGGGGAGAAAGAACTCTGAGTGTGTGTGTACTCACAAGTATACATCAGGAACAAGAAGCTTTTATTATTATTATTATTATTATTATTATTATTTTTAAAGTGGCTTTTATCATTATATAGGTATGGCAAGGCCAACAGATTAGAAGTTGACTGCCATCGAAAGGAAAGTTTGTTATATTTACAGATTCCAAGAGGAGAGGGCATGGCAAGCCAAAGGGTGAAGGGTTGGGGTAGGGGGAATATGGGGAAGCACCAGCATCGATTAGGAGCCAGAGACTTTATTTTCGTTTCCACAGGAAGGAAAGGGCAAGACAGGACAAGTCAAATAAGGATTGGTTGATTTGAATAATTTTAGAGAGGTCTGGGGGATAAGGGCAGCCCCTAGTTTTCTGGCCCTTGCCCTTAGAATGTTTAGGGCAGGTGGATAGTGGCCCATAATATGAGATCCTGATAAAGGAGTTGCTTATGAGGATAAACTCTAGATTGCTTGGTTTGCAATTGAAAGGTGCATTACTGGGCTATTTAAGAATCTCTAGAAATTAGGGCAGTTGCTCCAGGGTGACCAAGATTCTAAATGTCAAAGCATCAGAATACAGAAAATAAAAGTCATGGTTAATATGACTCAAGGCATTTAAACTCAAACACAGATTGTCATCAAAAGGATTGATTTCTATCTAAAGATCTTATTTAATCTAATTGAGAAATTTATTTTACTTATAGCATAACTTCAAAAACTTATTTTCTTGAAAAGCTTCCACAACAATTATTTTGAAAAAAATAATATACCTGGATTTATTTTTTCTAAGAGGACACACATATCTGTTCTTTACCTAAACTAGAATAAAAAATCATGACATCCAAAGTACTTTTCTTCAATCTGGAGATTCTCATCCTGCACATGAGAGAAGGAGAAGGCTAGAGAAATTTAAGCTGTCCTTGTTCTACCTTTGGTGTGTCAGTTAATCTTCCCAGGCTCAGCTTCCTAATCTGCAATTGCGATGAAGAATCCCTGCCCTGCCTGCCTCATAGAGCTTTGTGAAGAACAAGCAAGATAATGTAAGAAAAGTTTTTGAAAATTATAGAGTACTTTAAGAATGCAAAGGTTATGGGTATCTCCATAAATTCAACATCAACTGAGGTATGTTATACCCCTTTATATCCAGACATAATTAGTTCAAATTCCTGTAAGATATTGCATGGAAATCTAAGGAAGTTCCAAGGACTTCTTCCAGTACCTGAGAGATGGCTACCTACTTGATTATTCCTCTGTAAAACCATTAGCAGTGCATTTTGTGTATATCACAACATTTGAGCCATTTCTCATTTTTCACAAAACAAAATAGGAAACTACGTTATACAAAGCATTCATGAGCGATATGGCTTGGCTCTCCGTTCCCACCCAAATCTCATCTTATAGTGCCCATAATTCCCACGTGTTGTGGGAGGGACCCAGTGGGAGACGGTTGAATTATGGGGGCAGTTCTTTCGTGTGCTGTTCTCCTAATAGCGAATGGGTCTTACAAGATCTGATGGTTTTAAAAATCGGAATTGCTCTTCACAAGCTCTCTTTACCTGCTGCCATCCCCGTAAGATGTGACTTGCTCCTCCTTGCCTTCTGCCATGATTATGAGGCTTCCCCAGCCACATGGAACTGTATGTCCAGTTAAATCTCTTTCTTTTGTAAATTGCCCATCTTGGGTATGTCTCTATCAGCAGTATGAAAACAGACTAATACAATTAGTGTAGTAGACTTTAGTGAAATTTTGCTGGGATTATCTCCTGGATAAAGATTTACACCACAGCAATTGAATCACTTCAAATTTAGCACCATTCATTCCTTGTCCTAAAGGGTTCTGAATACATGCTCCAAAGGAAACTCTCCTGATTATTTCTTTTGTAGTTTTATACCTCACATCTTCTTTGGCTCTTTTCTTTATCCCTCTCTTGGATAGTTTGTTTTTCTCTTCTCTGGCATTTCAGAGCAGAACAAATTCACTTCCCAGTTTTATAAAAAGTACCTTGTCAATATTTCACAAAAGTTTTATCAATGTATTTTTCACACAAATGCATTTTCTTCCTGAAAATAATTATTACAAGAGCTATTCATAAAATATTTATTGAATTTATATATCCAGTGATATTGTGTCTGGAATTGGTGGGTTCTTGGTCTCACTGACTTCAAGAATGAAGCCGCGGACCCTCGCGGTGAGTGTTACAGTTCTTAAAGATGGTGTGTCTGGAGTTTGTTCCTTCTGATGTTCAGACCTGTTAGGAGTTTCTTCCTTCTGGTGGGTTCGTGGTCTCGCTGGCTTCAGGAGTGAAGCTGCAGACCCTCATGGTGAGTGTTACAGCTCTTAAGGCGGCACATCTGGAGTTGTTCATTCTTCCCGTCCAGAGTTGTTCATTCCTCCCGGTGGGTTCGTGGTCTTGCTGGCCTCAGGAGTGAAGTTGCAGACCTTTGCAGTGAGTGTTACAGCTCATAAAGTCAGTGCGGACCCAAAGAGTGAGCAGCAGCAAGATTTATTGCAAAAAGCAAAAGAACAAAGCTTCCACAGTGTGGAAGGGGACCAGAGCGGGTTTCCACTGCTGGCTCCTGCAGCGTGCTTTCATTCCCTTATCTGGTCCCACCCACATCCTGCTGATTGGTCCATTTTACAGAGAGCTGATTGGTCCATTTTGACAGGGTGCTGACTGGTGCATTTACAATCCCTGAGCTAGACATAGAGTGCTGATTGGTGCATTTACAATCCTGTAGCTAGGCACAAAAGTTCACCAAGTCTCCACTAGATTAGCTAGACACAGAGCACTGATTGGTGCATTTACAAACCTTGAGCTAGACACAGGGTGCTAATTGGTGCGTTTACAATCCTCTAGCTAGACACAAAAGTTCTCCAAGTCCCCACCTGACTCATGAGTCCAGCTGGCTTCACCTAGTGGATCCCGTGCTGGGGCCATTGGCTGAGCTGCCCGCCAGTCCCGTGCCGTGCCTGCACTCCTCAGCCCTTGGGCAGTCGATGGGACTGGGTGCCTCGGAGCAGGAGGTGGCACCCATCCGGGAGGCTTGGGCCGCGCGGGAGCCCATGGTAGGGTGGGGTCGGTGGGGGGGCTTGGGCATAGCAGGCTGCAGGTCCTGAGCCCTGCCCTGTGGGAAGGTGGCTGAGGCCTGGTGCGAATTCAAGCATGGCACAGGTGGGCCGGCAGTGCTGGGGGACCCGGCGCACCCCCCGCAGCTGCTGGCCCAGGTGCTAAGCCCCTCACTGCAGGGGCCAGCAGCACCAGCCGGCTGCTCCAAGTGCGGGGCCCGCTGAGCCTGTGCCCACTGAGAACTCCCACTGGCCTGGGAGCACCACGCACAGCCCCCATTCCCGCCTGTGCCTCTCCCTCCACACCTCCCCTCAAGCAGAGGGAGCCGGCTCCGGTCTTGGCCAGCTCAGAGAGGGGCTCCCACAGTGCAGCGGTGGGCTGAAGGGCTCCTCAAGTGCAGCCAGAGTGGACACCGTGGCCTGAGGAGGTGCCAAGAGTGAGCTAGGGCTACTAGCAAGTTGTCACCTCTCAACATGAATTGAAAATTACAGTGTTTCTGGAATATTGTCTAATTCTCACAACAGCTGTGTTAGCTAAATATTATTATTCTCATTTTTTTTTCGAGGACACTGAGTCACAAAGAAATTAAATCATTTCCCATACATCAGACAATGTGTAACTGGGAGAGAACATTTTAAACAAAGAAATCTGATTCCAGGTTCTTTGCTTTTAATAACACTAAATATTTGTTTGTAATTTATTAAACTTTTAAGGAATTTTATAATGAAAATAAAACTTTTGACCAAAAGGATGAATAAAATATTATATTCATGAAGCAGAATACAATGCATTTTGTCCATCTCAGAAGTAGGAGATGCTAACTGCACACTTGAAACATTTCTTAGTGACTCTCTAGACAAAGAAATTTATTTATTTATTTATTTTGGTGGAAAACCCAGACAAGGGAGTTAGCACTTTTGCTTTATTATAATTAGCTACATAGAGTTCTTCATCAATCCTATCCATTGTTTACCTCTAAGAAAAGATTGTCCAGTTTATTGGTTTATAAAGATTTGAAAGATTTTATTTTTACAATTGTCTTAAATTCATTAACAGTTTAAAACATAATAATTACAACAATTTTCTCTTTTGTTTTATTTAGAGAAAATTAAATTATCCTAATGAATAGCAAATATATGTAATACTGTTTATTATGGCTTTTATGGTTTAAAAATGCTTAGCAGCTAAACTTCCCCATTATGTTATACATATGATAAGAGTTTACATAAAACTTAAGATTTTTAAAAAATTATTTTGAAAACATAATGGTTATACTACATAAAAGTTTAAAGGCCAAAATAACTAAAGATATAACTGTAGAGTAAGGCCTACAGTTTCATAATTGCTTTGAGGTTTAATTTGTTCCACAGTGTTTTTTTTAATTGATCAAAGCTACATACTCAACTAAAATAAGCACAAAAACTTCCCTCATAGATATGTGTACTAGATTCAATGATAAACTGAAGAACAAGAAAATATATAGCCTGTTTCATTTACTTTATCTGAGAATAAAAAGACAAAGTGTTTTTTAAACTTATGTTTGCTTTCTTTAGTCTAGAAAGTTTATAGAAGTTGTACAGCTTTACTCTGAGTTCATCTGAATTAAAAGATTACAGAAGAAAGGATGCTTCAACAGAAAAACCCACCATAAAGGTAGACTTTTCAACCACCAGTCCTACATTAAATTGGACTCTAAATAATATCACTGATATGGAGAGGCTTGATAGTACATACGATCAATGTCAAATGATCAATGACAGACGGGTGCTTAAAAATGAGTAAAGGATTACTAATAAAGCTGACTAATAAGTTTCAAAGCAGTAAAAATCAATGATAAATAAGATAAGGGCACACATTACAATTGGAACCTAGAGGAGTTGTGTGTGTGTGTTTATGTCTGTGTGGTGTGTATATGTGTGTGTTGGCTCATAAAACTCGTTTCAGGTATTAACAAATTTTGAGTTGCCTTGAATGTTTTCATCCAAACAACATTTGTGATCACAAATTATTTCTTAAAACAAAAAGCTTTCTTTATATAATAAAGGAGTAGCTAATAGAAAGAAGAAGCCAGTGCTAAATCTAATGAAATCAACAAATTATAGTACTATTAAGGAGACTATTTTCTACTGTGGGAATTATTTATCTCATTAACATTTCCAGGCAACTTGTTTGTTTTATAATCAAAAGACTTTAAATTAACCCAAATAATTGAAAGGGGAAGATTAATCATGTGTGTGTGCGTGTGTGTTTATAACGCAGTTTATATGCAGTGCTTAAAATAATGCCTGATATTAGTAAGTATTAATTATTGAAATTTAAAATTGTAGTCAAATTTTCTGTTAAAATCATGCCATAAATATTTATTGATATAAAATTGTAATGTACTATGTTTAAAGAGTAGTTTTTAAAACAATTATACTGTTAAAAATATACTGTTTTAAAAGCTACTCATTAAACAGAGTAGCTATGTTTGAAAATACTTTAAAAATAGATTATGACCCTATTTTTTAAAAAATATAATACATATATCCATTATATATGCACAAGGAAAGTCTAAAATTATATCATCTAGATGTTATAATGATTTATATAGGTGGGTAGAATGCTTTTTTGTGTGCAGTATATTTTTGATATAAAGGTATGATTTTCTGTTTTTCATTTCAAGAACAGATTAATGGATACAATTTTAAGTGGATTTTCCAAAGGAATTACAAATATGTGAACTGTTTATTCAAGGCCTCCCACTGGCAACCACAGGAGGCATCAGGAGCTATAGTTGAAAGCAGTTCCAACAAATGTTAAAATACTCCAGCAATAGCTTTGCCTGTGTAGTATATGTTGAATCTCCAGTATCAGGTCAGAGTGATTTATTATCTGTTCAAAGGGCAACCAGTTTTGTTTGCTGTAAAAATACTTCATGACTTCTCAATTTTCGTTAGGTTTAAAAATTTATTTTGGGTCTTGAGACTGTGAATTTGTATAATATGCTAATATCTCAAGTGACAAATCAGTAATAGGAAATTACAATACACTAAGGTTTTTTTTTGTGTATTTGTTTCTGCTATTGGAATCTTTCTCTGGGGCTTTATCTGAGATGCACTGGATGATTGCAGGCATATATTTCTGCTCAGCTGAACCCCAGATATAAACATTTCTGCTAGTTCTTTGTATTTGGTGGCCCTTTTAAACTGAGGAAGCCCATGTTTCTCCACTGTCAAAAGCTGAGCTAAGTTAGAGAAATGTCACACCTTCAGAAAAGGGGAAACTTAGATACCCCTAACAAGTGACCACTTCTCAGGTGCCTACAGATTATAATGCTTCCTGTCTTTACCGTAGCGTAGTGCCACTATACATTTTTTCAAGTAGAACAGCAACTATTTTACATAACAAATTCTATTCTCTGGATTACTCATTTTTGAGACCAGCCAAATAAAGTTAATTTAATTATTGAGTGCTGCTGCTTCAACCAAACATGAATTTTGAAATCTAACATGACTACAGAGCAAAACGTTGACTTCAGGTTGAAGATAATTTACAAATGTACTTAATTTCAACATACATTTTTCTGAGATTTTTTTTCCACCAAACCTTTCATTTTATTTTTGCCTTTTAGTCAACATAGTGCAATGCATTGACAATCACTGCAAAACTAGCCATGGGAGCATGATGTTTTCTCTATCTATTTGTCTACCTATGAATCATTGTCTGTAAACTCTTGCTCTTCTATATGTTATTAGTAGACTAACCCTGAGAATTAGGTAAGAACTTAATGGATGCCAGAGAGTACACCCAAATATTATGCACATCTTATTCTTAATTTATTAGTATATAAATTATTGTGAATATATAATTTATTAAAACATAAATTTATAAATAATTTATAAAAAGAATAATTTATTCCCGTGTAATTGCTCTCTTTTTCTCTCCTGAGAAAGATTAATTACCAGTGAAAGTTAGGCCTTGTGTTGACATTGAGAAAGATGAAAAAGAATCAGATGTCTTAATTGAAAGAGTTCAAAATTTTGGTGGAAAATCAAGAACTTACAAGTTATTTATATTAAAATTTGATAAAAGCTAGAGTAGAGATGTTAATAGAATATGATGTAAGCTCATGTAAGAGAGCAAATAACTCTACTTGGAGAGATAAAGAGGGAGTGTTTTTTATAAAAGGTAACATTCAAATTCCAAATGTTATTGACTCTGGAATATACTATTTTTTACCTTCTACATTGATATTTTCATCATTCTAGAGATCATCAAATGTTGACTGGCATGGTTTGGCTGTATCCCCACCCAAATCTCACCTTGAATTGTAGCTTCCATAATTTGTATATAACATGGGAGGGACCCAGGGAGATAATTGAATCATGGGGCAAATCTTTCCCATGCTGTTCTTGTGTTAGTGAATAAGTCTCAGGAGACCTGATGGTTTATAAATGGGAGCTCCCCCTACACAAGCTCTGTGGCCTGCTGCCATGTAAGAGGTAACTGCTTCTCATTTGCCTTCTGCCGTAATTGTGAGGCCTCCCCAGCCATGCTGAACTGTGAGTCAATTAAACCTCTTTCCTTAATAAATTAGTCAGTCTTGGGTATGTCTTTGTTAGCAGCCTGAGGACAGACTGACACATTGTCTATGCTCTCATAATAGCCTCTCAACTGGTTTCTTGCCTCATTATTGCCCCTGGAGTCTTTCTCATACAATAAAATGACCCTCAAAAAATAAGCCAACTTTCAGTTTTTAGTCTTGCAATAATAATCTTGGAAATCACCATTCAATCTCAACAGCAAGTAAAAGCTGAACAATCAGAAAAATCAATAACCTCTCTTAGATCGCTAAGAAAAGTGAGGCCACAGGGCAAAGAGCTGCCTCTAAACCAGAAAAGACAGACAGTTGGATACAAAGAATTATAAGTTACTGGTGCAGAAACCCACCAGTGGAAACCTTCATTGGATCCAGTGCCCAGTAGGAAAACTTAAACTGAAATTGATGAATTGCTGATGACTCAGTGTGGGCGAATCTGAGTTCAAAACTGCAGGGGACCCAGTAATGGGAAGGGGGCTGTCACAATTTTGTGAGTTTTACCTCCAGGATTTGACCAGTTTCTTACAGTAAATGTTGGAGAAAAATGTCCTCCTGTTTCCAGCATGGGGAGGGGAATAGAAACCATTTTGAAATATGACAGAGAATTCTGTTCTTAACAAGTCTCACTCAGGAGAAATTATTATTTAACTGCAGCCTAACTTACTGGAGTTTTATCAGAGTCTAACTGGCTTAGAGGAAGGGGAAGGGAAACACCCAACTCCAAACCACTCTTACTATCCTGTCCCACATAAGGCAGACAGAGAAGAGTAAAATTCAACAAAAAACTGAGAAACATTCATGTAGCTCACAGTCCAGAGACACTAGCTCACTCAAAAGACTAAGACATAATCATATGATTGTTAAGATTCTTCTTATCCCCTGCAACATATCACCACATTATTAAAGGCCTATTCACAGCAGTTACTTTACCCATTACACGTTGTCATGCTACCAAGAGAAAATCTCAAGACATACTAAAAGGCAAATAATATCTCTGCCACATCTGAATCTGGTTTTGATGCTTGCTTTGTTTCTTCTAGAAATTACTAGGCCAGGAATTAAAAAAAAAAAACTGTGGTGAATATGTTAAGATCTCTAATGGATAAGTAAATAACAATATAAAATGGGCAATGTAAGCAATAAACACTATAACAGAAGTGGAGAACACCTTTGATGGGCTTTACAGAAACAAATAGAAAACAGTTACAAACATGATAGATGTGAATCCTACTATATCAATAACCACTTTAAATGTCAATGATCTAAACACACCAATTAAAAGAGAGAAATTGTCAGACTGCACAAAAGGAAGTTCCAGCTGTAGGTTGTCTATAAGAAATTGACTTTAAATATAAAGCTATATATAGATTAAAGGTAAATGGATAGATAAAGAAGCACTATGCTGAACTAATCAGAAGAAAGTGGAAATGGCTATATTAATTTCAGAGACAGTAGACTTCAGAGCAAGAAGGCTCTGAAGGGATAAAATGGAACATTTTTCATAGTGATGAAGGTGTCAATTCTCCAAAATGACATAGCAGTCTTTAATATATATGCACCTAAAACAAGGTCAAAATATGTGATGCTAAACTGATAGAACTGTAAAGAGAAATAGATGAATCTACTCTGTAGTTAGAAACTTCACCACCCCTCTATTAGACATAAACAGATCTAGCAGGCAGAAAGTTAAGGACAGTTGAACTCAACAGCACCATCAATCAACAAGATATAATAGATAACCATAGACTACTTCATCCGAATATAACAGATTACATATTTTTCTCAACTCACATGGAACGTCCACTAAGATAGACCTCAACTGAGCCATAAAACACACTTTGATGAATTTAAAAGAATTGAAATAATACAAAATCTGCTGTCAGGCTGCAATGGAATTTGAGCTAGGGGTTAATAATTCCAATATAGCTGGATAATTTCAAAATACTTGGAGATTAAACAACACATTTTTAAATAATACACGGGTCAACAAAGGACTGTCCAAAGAATTTTAAAAATATTTTGCAATAAATGAAAATGAAAATGAAACATGGCTTATCCAAATTTGTAAAATGCAACAAAAACGGTGCCTAGAGGGAAATTTCTAGCATTAAGGGCATATATTAGAGAAGAAGAAAGACCCAGAATCCATAATATAAATTTCACCTTATAAAACTAGAAGAAGAGAAAATTAAATTCAAAATAAAAAGAAGAAAATAAATCATAAATATTAGAGAAGAAATCAATGAATTGAAACACAAAAGTAATAGATAAGTGACTAAATCAAAAGCTGGTTCTTTGAGAAAAATTAGTAACATTGACAAGTCTCTAAACTGGCTGACTATGAAAAAAAGAGAGGACACAAATTATTGGCAGCAGAAGTGAAAGAAAGGGCATCATTATTGATAACATGGATATTAATTAGATAATAAGGAAATACTATGAGCAACTCTATGCCAGGTAATTTGACAACCTAGATGAAATCAATGCCCTGAAAGACACAATCTGTAAAAATTTACACAAGACGAAATAGAAAATGAGAATAAGCCAATATTTATTAAAGAAGCAGTAACTAATAATTTTCCAAAAGGAAAGAACCAGGTCTGGATGTTTTCACTGGTGAATTCTACTAAACATTTAAGAAACAAAGTGTACCAGTTCTCTACACTCTCTTTCAGAAAATAGAAGCAGAGGAAATACTTTCTACTTAATTGTATGAACCCCAAATTACCTTAACATCACCACCAGACAAAGACATTAATTACATAGATGCTGAAATAAACATAGGGGTGCAGGTATCTTTTTCGTATAATAAGTAGTTTCCTTTGGATACTCAGTAGTGGGATTGCTGGAACCTATGGTAGTTCTATTATTGGTTCTTTGATAAATCTCCATGTTGTTTTCCATAATGGCTGTACTAATTTAGATTCTCACCAACAGTATATATGGTGCCTTTTCTTCACATTCTCCCCAGAATCTATTATGTTTCCTCTATTTTTTTGGGACAGGGTCTCACTCTGTCACCCAGACTGGAGTGCAGTGGTGTGATCTTGGCTCACCGCAGCCTCTGCCTCCCAGGCTTAAGTGATTATCCTACCTCAGCCTCCCAAGTAGCTGGGATTACAGGCACCTGCCACCACGCCCTGCTAATTTTTGTATTTTTAGTAGAGATGGGGTTTCACCACGTTGGCCAGGATGGTCTCGAACTCCTGATCTCAAACGATCCACCCACCTTGGCATGTTTTGTCTTTTTAGCCATTCCAACTTGTGTAAGATGATACCTTGCAGTTTTGATTTGCATTTCCCTGGTGATTGCTGATATTGAGCATTTTTTTTTCATATGCCTGGGGGCCATTTGTAGATCTTGTTTTGATAAATGTCTATTCACATCCTCTGCCCACTTTTTAATCGGATTATTTTTGCTGTTGAGTTGTTAGAGTTCATTGTATATTGTAGATATGAGTCCCTTTTCAGATGAATAGTTTACAAATATTTTCTCCCATACAGCAAGCTATCTCTTTACTCTGTTGATTATTTCTTCTTCTGTGCAGAAGCTTTTTAGTTTAATATAGTCTTATTTGTCTATTTTTGTTTTTGTTCCCTGTGTATAAGCTGTATTATTAGTTGCCCAAACTTTTGAAAGCCACTAAGATGTTCTTTAACAGATGAATGGCTGTATAAACTACAGAATATCTAAACAATGAAATACTATTCAGTGTTAAGAAGAAATGAGCTATCAACCCATGAAAAGACATGGAAGAAACTTGTATGCATATCACTGAGTGAGGGAAGCCAATCTGAAAAGAGCTAACATTATATAATTCCAGCTATATGACATTCTAGAAAAGTCAAACTTTGAAGAAAGGAAAACATTCAGTGGTTGCCAGAGGTCAGTGGAGAGGGAGAAATAAATAGGCAGAGCATAGAGGATTTTTAAAGCAATGAAACTATTCTGCATGATACTATAATGGTAGATACATGCCATTACACATTTCCAGACCCATCAAAGGTACAACACCAAGAACTATCCCTAAAATAACCATGGACTTTGGCTGATGTGTCAATGTAGGTCCATCAATTGTAACCAATATCCTAGTGTGGTGAGAAATGTTGATATTGGGGGAGGGTATGGCTGTGTGGAGGCAGAGAGTACATGAGAAACCTTCTGCTCAGGTTTGTTGTGAACCTAAAACTGCTGGAAAAAAATGAGGTCTATTTTTAATAAAATTTTTTAAATAAGCAATGTACAAGCCTCCTCAAAGCATGAAATATTGAATCTTTCATTTTAGGTGCTTAATATTTGTTGAATGAGTGAATGAGTGGGAATTTGCCACTGAGCCAGATGGGGGAATGACATACAAAGCTAAAGGAAAACATGTGCCAGAGATCATACTTATAAAACTGAAGATAAAGGTGAAAACATTTATCATTTATGACATGACATTATGACATGAACACTGACTGATCTGAATGAACTTCTGACTAATCAGATTGGACACTGACCAAATCACTATAGCAGGGCATACTAGCTGAATATCAACCTAGTGGAAAGGAATGCTGTCCTGTGATGAACACAGATTATTTTGTCTGGGGATGAGATATGCAATGGAATGAAAGAAAATACACATTTATTGAGCCTCACAGTTGGAAAGCTTTGTGGAAGATTCTAAGAGATGTGATTAGTAATTATTATTTTCTTATCTAGAATGCTAGTAAATTGTAGCAGTTTTTTAAAAAGCTTACTCTGTATTTTCACGTATTCACTATGGTCCTATCAGAAACAAAAATTGGGAAATCCTTCAAAGTTATGAAGGTATTAATGGCTTAAAAAGCCATATTTTTCTGCGATTACATTTCAAAACTTTTGGATTGACAGTAATTCAGACACAAGTAAAACTCACTTAAGCAAAAAGTATTTTTTTTTTCATATGTTACAAGGGTGCTTCATATAACTGAAGGACAGAGATACAGCTGGGTCTCAGAAACAATTTGGAATAAGTCATCAAGTCTCTCTATCTTTTATATTTGTTTCTCACTACTGGTCCACTTCATTTTTTATCTGCAGAAAATCTGTTTCCCATAATAATAGCAGAAAAATAGCAGCACCAAGGTCTCTTGAGTATATGTCATCACTTCAAGGAAAGAGCCAGAACCCTTAACTCCAAATTTACATTTCTACAGAATACCACTCATCAGCCCAGGTGGATTAGCTTCATGATGCTGAGCCAATTAGATAGAGCCAGGGGGAAGCAACTTGCAAGGTGGATTGGGGCAGATGTTCTACCTGGCATGAATATTTAGTATTTCTTAGAAGCAGGGTCACGTGTTCTGAGCCTCTAAGGTAGATGTCAATCAAAACTTCTCAGAAATGAATTGACATACATACCTACTATAATTGGACCTTAAACCTCTAGGCTTTATCATCAACATTTAGTAAAGTGTCTTGTGTTTAGTAGACACTCAATCAATATTTACAGTTGGTCATAGAGGCTCACACTTGTAATCCCAGCACTTTCAGAGGCTGAGATAGGGGGATTGCTTAAGCCCAAGACCACACCTCCTCCCTCCAGCCTGGATGAAAAAGCAAGACTCCATCTCAAATAAATATGTCCTGCATTGATACATTTTATCTATACTCTTCCACTAACTGCAAATAGGGAGGCCACTGGTCAATATCTTGAATATAGTGGGTAGCAATTTAGTGTAATGCTTAAAAATAGAAGGCTTTTGTCAAGACTCTTCATGTGCAAACCCTGCATTTGCTTCTTAATAGATTTGTGGTCCTGAGCAAGTCTTAGTTTCCTTTTCTGTGAAGTGGTCATTATGCTATTAATACTTCAGAAGTGTGCCATGGGCATTACATTAAATGACTCAAGTGAAACACCTGGCAAGCTGAAAGTGTTTAATGAATGTTAACTGACATAATAAATAGCCACTGGATATTTTAGTGAATGCACTTACCTGTAGAAATAAAAACTCAATTGAGCTTTATTTTCACTTAAATTATATTGGATATTATAAAATCTTAATACTAATTTTGCTTTAATGAGCCAATTTAAATGAATACAGATAATGTTAACTGTAACAGATTGGATATTTTAGAAAGTCACTTTATGAATTGTGGAGTTAAATTTACTAATTATATTAAAACAAAACAAAACACTGACTGGGTGTTAAATCAAGTCTAGCCTAAAGCTGCTTTCTTATATATTTTAATTTCAGCCTAAAGGTTTCTCTGTACATAGTGAACTGTAACCTAAATGGAGGTATAAATAAACTGTATCCTACTTTTGTGCCAATCACCAAGTTTTGGACAATCAAAGGGGGCCAGCTGTTCAAACCATGTTCAAATAAGGCAAACACCAGCAGTCACCAATCCAGCTGATTCTGCACCTCACTTCCATTTTCTGTAGTCACTTTCCCTTTTCTGTCTCTAAATCTTCTTCCACCACATGGCTGAGCTGGAATCTCTTTGACTCTACTCTGGCTCGAGAAGCTGCCTGATTTGCAAATTAAAACTCTTGTTAAAATTAATCTGTCTAAGGTTTTACTTTTAACATTAGGAAAGCACAATTTGAACTTATAAGCGGTTAGTCTTGACATTAATCAGGTACTAATATTTTGGTGAGGAGAATAAGATAAGTGAACAACTTTTATTTTTAATGGTACTGGATTTTTTTTTGTTTTAGATCTTTAGTTGTGTTGTTTTGTTTCATTTCATTTTTACGCAAATATCTGTTTGGGGACAGTTTATGTTGGGGTGCAGTACATCTTTCCAGAACTCATTTTCTACTCAGCACTTCTTATTTGAAAATACTCAGAAAGATCAATAGGAGAAATTGTAACTTTTACAAGTACGGTGTTTTTATGATTCATATCTCCCTTTTCTTTTAGAAGATGCTATTCTAAAAAGCTATTTTGGGATTTCTATTCTCTGCACCACAATAAAGTAAACTTTAAGAAAGTTGCAAAAACGCCTATAGTCATTACTTTTGCGGGATCAATAATAACTCAAATGGTGCTTCAACTTTTCAGTGACAGAAGTTATACCTAGATACTCTAAAACTAATACATTGTTACCTTTATGCCCCATTCAGATTAGTTGATGATATCTATACTTAAATAACTCTGCATGAATTTTGTTAGAAATTGGATGCATTCAGGATCATAGTCATTTTGTCTACTGGACAGTGAAAAGGCATCTTTCTAATTGGTCTGTCCAATGCAATGTGTAACATATTGCTACACATGACCAGGCAATTAAAAACTGGGTCATATGGGACAGACAGCTTAAATGAGCACCATGCTTTCTGAATCCTAGGTTTTGAATGAGAGAAAACAGAGAAGGCAAATTTCAAAGAAGTATTTTATTTGAGGCTTCAATAGCTTCTGACATTAAAAGAAAACCTGGGAGTGAGATCAAATCCAGGCAATGTCTCTGATTTGAAAAAGTAATCTTACATAAGAAAGAAAACATACTTTGACAACTTTTGCTAACTGTCTCACTATGTGTATTTGGCAAGATTTAGTTAGATAAATAAGCAGCTCAAGATATTTCAAAAAGAAAGAAAGAAATTTAAAAATGAGTTTGGAAAATTATTGGAAAGATGGGAAAATTTGCATCTAGCTTTTAAATTTGGTGCTAGCTTTCAAGAAATCAGAAAACTATTTTTGAGACAACTGTACTCCCTGCATACTTGAGTAGGTTGATTTCCAGGAAAATGTTCAAAATAGCTGCAAAACCTCATGTCTGCTGGAGTTCATGAATGGCCTGATAGAATGATTTTTGCTGTTCTTTCTTCTTCCATATCTCACTGGAGTCCTCTCATGATCAAATAGGTATGTCTCTGGAAAGTGTCATTCAGAATACCACTAGGACAGCAAAATACTAGAATGGAGATCTGTATTAGTCTGCAAAGTGGAAAGAGACAGTCTCCAGTGGGTACTAAAAAGGTGTTCTTTCTATGAAAAGGAAAAGAGCAGGTTAGTTTTTATGCCTTACATGGTCTGTATTATACAATAGAGTCATACACAGGAAGCAGGTTTGGGAGAAAAGCCATACACATTTATGATCAGTGTTGAGTGCATGTGCAATGGATAAGCATATATGTTACATACATCCCATGTTCATTTTGGGGTGAGATTTTAGTATTAAAATGAGGTGAGATTTTATTCTTTACATCAAAAAGTGAACTGTAGGGCCGGGTGCTGTGGCTCACCCCTTTAGTCCCAGCACTTTGGAAGGCAGAGGCAGGCAGATTGCTTGAGATCAGGAGTTCGAGACTAGCTTGGCCAATATAACGAAAATCCATCTCCACTAAAAATACAAAAATTAGCTAGGCTTGATGGCGCTCACCTGTAATCCCAGCTACTCGGGAGGCTGAGGTGGGAGAATCACTTGAACCCGGATGGCAGCGGTTGCAATGAGCCAAGATCACCCTACTGCACTCTAGCACCCTGGGCAACAAGCAAGACTTCATCTCAAAAAACAAACAAAAAAAGTGAGCTGTAGGATACAAAGACAGTTTGTGCTTAGTCTTTATTAGCTGGGTGAAACTAGCTTGAGGTCTGCAGTTGCCTATCAGGAAAGAATGTTTCCAAGGCTAGCCCTCTGTCCAGTCAAATTTGTAATGGTCTGGGCTGTTAATCAGAGTTAGGAGGAGTCTGACAATTTGCATGATAGCTCCTTATAGTTAGGTTGTTAGAGAGTTTAGCAAGAGTGTTATAAGAGTATTGTTTTTGTTTTTGTTTTCTTGTGGTCATAGATATTTAGAAAGTTGACATGCCAGGCCAGCCCAGCCTTCAACTGACCTGTGGGTAACCTTATTTCCTAAACCTTGAGGACTATCTTACTTGAAAAAGGGGCATCGATTTTGATTTTTCAGATCTCAAAAAAAATGAATAAAAATGTAGTTTCTTTATATTCAGTCCCCATAATTCAGACATGTGCAGAGAATGTGGTAGGAATGAAATTGAGATTCCAACAGACATCTGAGCACAGGCATTTCAGTTCAAAACATTTTTTAATTTAATGAAAGATTGTTAAGAAAGTTGTCATGAACATTGAATGGACACTATATGTATGATAAATTACTATTCTCTTTATTTGTATTTCCCAAGAACAACTGATTTTTGTAATGTTGTTGGCTATTTGTGGCACTTTTGTGATGACAAAACTGTTGGTTTTAGGCTTATTACTGTCAACAAAAAGAGTTGAACTATGTAAAATATTTGAAGAGCTATATTCTGAGGCAATTATGAGTGACCATGGCTCGTGACACAGCCCTCAGGAGGTCCTGAGAACCTGTGCCCGAGGTGTCCGGGCATAGCTTGGTTTTATACATTTTAGAGAGGCATAAGACATCAATCAAATACTTGTCCCATGCACTAATTCATCTTTCTGTATATTTATATATTAATCTTTAAAATGGGGCAATAATATTAATCTCATAAGAATGTGGCAAGTATTAATTCTATCAATGCCTAGGAAATGCCTCAAATAGTAGATGGATAATTGGTCAATTGTTTTTGCAAATAACCTCATGTTATTTTCTTCAATTGTATGCTAGAAATGTGTAATGTAGAAATCCAGGACACAAGTGCAAGATTAAAGACTGGCATGTGTAGTATTATAATGTCTATTCTTTGAATGAGAAAAGAGTCAAAAGGCCAAACTGAAGAGTAGTGTTTAAAGTTAATAAAATGTAGACGAGGTTTCTTTTTTTTTTTTTTTTTGACAAAGTCTCACTCTGTCACGCAGGTTGAAATGCAGTGGCACAATCTCGGCTCACTGAAACCTCCTTCTCATGGGTTCAAGCAATTCTCCTGCCTCGGCCTCCTGAGTAGATGGGACTACAGATGGGCACCACCATACCTGGCTATTATTTGGTATTTTTAGTAGAGACAGGGTTTCACCATGTTGGCTAGGCTGGTCTCAAACTCCTGATTTCAAGTGATCCACCCACCTCAGCCTTCCAAAATTCTGGGATTACAGGTGTGAGCCACTGCACCTGGCCTAGATAAGGTAATTCAAACCACAAATAAAATACTTGGATTAAGCCCCGCCTCACTCTGCATTTTTTTTTCAGTAGACATGAATTCTATTCTTTACAATCACACCAGATGAACTATGTCATGATGACTGTTTGCTTAGAATAAAAGTTTTGCAAAAGGCAAAGCAGGGGTATAATATCATGCATAAGTAAATGTCTCTGTCCTTGTGCATTAAATGGCTACCAATGGAGGAGATTAAGAAGTTTCTGTAGAAGAGGCCATTTTGATTTAGTTGTAGCTCCATCACTAAACAAAGAAGGAATCAACGATTAACAACTCCCTCAGATTTGCTGGATGATACTTTAACTCTCTGTATGATAATGGATGATGTGAATACAACGTAAGATAGCAGTAGGAGGGGGGACCAGTGGCAAACTCATAGAGATCTGCAGCTAACTTGACCCTCACCTCCATAGAATAAAGAATTCAGCCAATGGGCAGAAGTAGGTTTAAGGTAGAGGGAAAGACTGAGGCAAGTTTTAGTACAGGAGTGAGAGTTTATTAAAAAGCTTTACAGCTGGAGAAAAAGGAAGAAAAGTACACTTGGAAGAAGACCAAGCAGATGACTTGAAAGATCCAAGTGCCCTTTTCAGCACTGGATTTGAGGTTTTGTACATTGGCATGGTTCCAGGGTTTGCATTTCTCCTCCTCTGATTTTTCCTTTGGGGTGGGCAGTTGCTCAACTGCTGCATGTGCAGCGTCAGTCAGTACTTGGGAGAGTGATCACATGTGTAGTGCATTTACTGAGGTTGTGTGCACGCTTTCTAGGGTCTATTTTCATTTACTGGTTGAACATCCCAAGAGGAAGGTCATACATCTGCTATTTTACCTCTTGGTGCCCATGCTTGAGCTCGCTCGCCCAACTCCTGAAATCTTATCGGGAAATTACTTATCACCATCTCCAGGCATTTTCTATCTATTGGGAGACTGTCTTACCCTGACACTGGCTGTGACCAATTATCACTTCAGAGAGCCAGTTTAACAACTGCCTGACCATCACCTGATGGTCACCTGTCATTTCTTGGAGAGGCCCTCTCCTGCCCTGCTTATGTCTGCCTAACTACCTACTCTAACAGAAGTAAACATTACAATGCAAACAGCATTGTAAAATATTTTTGGCACATAAACAGGCAGACAGATTTGAGGTATGTTTATACACTTGAGAATTACTGTACATATTTGGGAAACAGATTATTAGAATCAGATAATTGCCTCTGGAAGAATAATAGATTAAGCATATGAATGAGTCTTTTGACCATTATTGTTATCCCTCATCATCATCAGTTTGTTTTATGACTAGTGTAAGCCTAACATATTAGTCTTTCTTAATCTGAGTTCTAAGTTGAACTGTGAAATTGTCATACTGTTCATTTGTTCTTGTTTATAATAGCATTTTCTTTTTTATGTAATATAAACAGTGATGTGTGCCTATCTAAATGTCTAATTAAACTGATATGGGTTTTTTGTTTTGTTTTGTTTTGTTTTGTTTAATAAGATAAAGGGGTACATGTTTAAGGTCTTTATTCAACACATTTGGCATTCTTTAAACTAAGCTAGAAGACAAAATAATTCAATTACTAAGAATATATTCAACAAGTGTTTGTATAGCAATTGCAGTAAGTATCTCTGAAAAGTATAAGGATTAGAGGATCTGAAATTCCCTTTTAAGGTGTACATATATGCTAGGGTTCTCAAAAATGGAAAGTTCTAATATCAGTGCTTTCTTTTCTTTTTTTTTGGGGGGGGGGGTCGGGTGCACGCCGTTGCCAGGCTGGAGTGCAGTGGCACGATCTCGGCTCACAGCAACCTCCGCCTCCCAGGTTCAAGCAATTCTCCTGCCACAGCTTCCTGTGTAGCTGGGATTACAGGTTCCCACCACCTCCCACCACCATGCCTGGCTAATTTTTGTATTTTTAGTAGAGACTAGGTTTCACCATGTTGGCCAGGATGGTCTCAATCTCCTGACCTCGTGATCTGCCTACCTCAGCCTCGCAAAGTGCTGGGATTATTGGCGTGAGCCACTGCGACTGGTGGTGGGCTGATTAATTAATTCAGCTTTTCAAATGAGTTTCTAAATAATAAACTTGGCAGAATCACAATTTTTTATAAGACATAACAGAGTGGGGTTTAAAATATAATTGACTCTCATCTTTTATTTAATTAATATTTCAACAAATGTTTACAATGTATATTAGTCCTCTCCTTTTCATACTCTAGAACCACCAAGAATTTGTCAATTTCCCCATACTTAAAAAAAATTCTTCAACTTCAACTTTTACCTTGGGTAAGTCATTTTTTAACTGCATCACTACATTCCTTCACAACGAATGTATTTTAGAGTCTGCTACCTTGTTGTTTATTAACCTATTCTAATAATCAACAAATATACATGTACTAAGTTTATCTTTTAAGAAGCAGTAATATAATGACTAAGAACTAGTGTGATGATGAAAACACTGGGGCCAGAGAACGTTTTGTCTTAGATTCATCATCTGGGGGATCTTGGACAAAATACTCATCTCTTTCCCTACCTATACAATGAAGAAACTAATAGCATCTATCTTAGAGGCTTACTACTAAGGATTAAGTGAAAAAAAAAAAAGAATGCAAAATATTTATAATAGTGTCTGCCAAGGTAAATGCTCAACAAAGGTAGTTTTATTATTATAACATTACAGTCTATAATGTAATATTATCATACATGCTGAACCTCCAAAATTGAGACAGGTCTCAGTCAATTTAGAAAGCTTATTTTGCCAGTGTTAAGGATGCACCTGTGACACCGCTCAGGAGGTCCTGACCACATGTGCCAAGGTGGTCAGAGCACAGCTTTGTTTTATACATTTTAGAGAGATATGAGATATCAGTCAACATATGTAAGATGAACATCAGTTTGGTCCGGAAAGGCAGGAAAACTTGAAGCAAAGGTGAGACAACTGGAAGTGGAGAGGGAGCTTCCAGGTCATAGGTAGATAAGAGACAAATGGTTGCATTATTTTGAGATAATGACTAGCCTTTCCAAAGGAGGCAATCAGCTATTCATTTATCTCAGTGAGCAGAAGGATGACTGTGAGTTGAATGGGAGGCTGGTTTGCCCTCAACAGTTCCCAGCTTGACTTTTCTCTTTAGCTTAGTGGTTTGGGGGCCCCAAGATTTATTTTCCTTTTACCATACTTATATACTATTGAAATAGAGCAAAGGAGAAACCCATTTCAAAAACATGTGAAATCCTGTTAAAGAATAATTTATCACATAGCCAAAGATCAGCGACTCTTTCATTGACTTAAGCTTGTAAGGCCCAAACATAAAAATCAGTGACAGAAGAAGGACAATTACATATTTTTTCAGCTGCTTACTATGATCATGTCTTAAATGGCACAAATGTGAATTATACAGTCAAATGTGTCTCAACACAGAAAATAAAAAGACCAAGGAGCACTGGTTTATGGCTATTTGTGCTTCTTATTTTCTGAATGAGTAAAAAGAAGAAACTTACTAGAATATTTCTGAACTTAAAGGCTTATAGAAAAGTGTTGTATCTGCATCATTCATTCACACAAAAGAGATTTCTGTATTAATAGTTCTTATATATAAGAATAGAGCTAGTATTTCATGATATTATAGCGTGCTTACTCATCAATTATACTTTATGAAATGTTGCTCAAGACTGGGGGTTAATTCCAGGTAAAATATTTCAATTCAATAATCCTTTTCCTTTCATATTTTCCCCTAATGCCATTTTGACTCCCTATCTATGAAATTGAAAGGAAAACCAAATAGAAATTAAAATGATGGATATTTACATACCTGTTTCAAAATTATATTTGCTGATTCCAAATACAAAATATTCTGATATGGGAGCTATCAGAAGCTACTTTTATTTCTTTGGATGGTCATAAACTGACTGAGAAGAATTGAATGCATCACCTTCAGTACAACAAATATATGGACTTAAAATTTAATATAGAGTCAAATACACAGTTTTATAAAAAGTTTTATAAAGTTTTGTAAGGTCTATGTCTAAAATAATTTTTAGAGCAGTTTTAAGTTCACTGCTCTTGAATGACTGGAAAATACAGATCATTCCCACATATATTTTCTCCCTGACTGCCACAACCTCCTACACCACCACCAATACCCTACACTAGAATGGTATATTTGCTACAATTGATGGGCCTATATTGACACATCATTATAATTTCAAATTCATAGTTTACATTAGGGTTCATTCTTGGTGTTGTATATTGTACAGGTTTTGACAAATATATAATGATGTATATACCATTATAGTATCATACAGAGTAGTATCACTGCTCTAAAAATCACCTGTGTTCCGTCCTTATATTCCCTCCAACTTCTGACAACCACTAATTTTCTTACTGTCTCCATAGCTTTACCTTTTCCAGAGTGTCATTTAGTTGGACTCATACGATTTACAGTCTTTCCAGATTGGCTTATTTCACTCAGTAATGTGTATTTAAGATTCTTACATTTTTCTTGACTTGATAGTGCATTTCTTTTTGTTACTGAATAACATTCCATTATCAAGATTTACCATAATGTATCCATTCACCTACTGAAGGACACCTTGATTGCTTCCAAGTTTCAGCAATTATGAATAAAACTTCTGTAAACATCTATGTGTAAATCTTTCTTTAAACATTTTGGGGTAAATGCCAAGTTGTGGAATTACTGAGTCATATGGTAATAGTATGTTTAGTTTTGTAAGAAACCGAAATTTCAGACTGGCTGTACCATTTTTGCATTCCTACAAGCAATGAATGAGAGTTCCTGTTACTCCTCATCCTCACCAGCATTTGATGCTTTCAATATTATTTTGTTTTTAGTCTTTCTAAAAGGTATGTAACAGTCTATCATAGTTGTTTTAAATCTACCTAATACTTAAAGTTAATTTTAACTGAATATAATTTTACTGACAAACACACAATCAGAAAGTAATTGTTATAAGTTTATTCCCATTCCCATTTTTAATTGAAACACAGGTATCAAAAAGTGAAT
The DNA here is from genome assembly GCF_000001405.40 of Homo sapiens. Taxonomy (NCBI): domain Eukaryota; kingdom Metazoa; phylum Chordata; class Mammalia; order Primates; family Hominidae; genus Homo; species Homo sapiens. The sequence goes on along the minus strand of NC_000004.12, from coordinate 43,826,815 downwards.
AAGACTGTGTTTACAGATTGACTGGAGCAAATAATAACAATTGTAACAGAGTTTGTTTAATAAGGGCTAACTTTGCCAAGCAATGTTCTAAGCACTATAAATATGTTAATAAAATAACACACTTACAAGTATTTTATTAAATACCCTTGGCAAGTTATGTAGTTAAAAGCATAGACTCTTGAGTTACACTATTTGAATTAATATTCTGGCTTTGCCTATTAGTAGTTACGTGACTGTTATGGATTAATCATATCCCACAAAATGATGTGTTGAAGTTTTAACCCCTGTGAATTTGACCTTATTTGGAAAAAGAGCTTTCACAGACATAATCAAGTTAAGATGATGTTATCAGGGTTAGCCTTAATTCAATACGACTAGTGTCCTTATAAGAAGAGAAAAGCACCATGTGAAAAGAGAGACACATAGGAAGGACACTGGAGAGAAATGGCAGAAATTAGAGTGCTACAGCTACAAGCCAAGGAACATCAATGATTGACAGCCACCACCAGCACTAGCAAGAAGTGAGAAAGAATTTTACCGAAAGACTCAAAGAAAGGATATTTTAATATCCTGAAGACTTCTGGACTTTTTCCATCTGGGACAATAAGTTTCTGTTGTTTTAAGTCACTCAATTTGTCATACTTTGTATCGGCAGCTATAAAAAACTAATACAATGCTACTGAACAGATCAAATGACTTCCCTGTACCTAAGAGCTCTGCAGCAGAAATTGAATTCAGACTCAGGCACTCATATTCCAGAACTCATATTCTAAAGAATTCACTCCTATGTTATGGCATGTAAAAATGGTCAACATGTACACAGTGACAAACATGGCCAAAAATAATTCAAAGTACATGAAAATGGATATAAATGAATTACTCTTTCCAGAGAGTATAAAATATATTGATATAGTCTGGCCATGTTCTCACTCAAATCTCATCTTGAATTGTAGTTCTCATAATCCCCATGAGTAGGACCCAGTGGGACATAATTGAATCATGGGGGCAGTTACCTCCATGCTGTTCTCATACTAGTGAATTAGTTCTCACAAGATCTGATAGTTTTATAAGGAGCTTTTCCCTTTGCTGGGCTCTTATTCTTCTCCTTCCTGCTGCCTTATAAAGAAGTATATGTTTGCTTCCCCTTCCTCCATAATTGTAAGTTTCCTGAGGCCTCCCAGACACACACAACTGTGAGTCGATTAAATCTTTTTCCTTTATAAGGTACCCAGTCTCATATATTTTTTCATAGCAGTGTGAGAATGGACTGATACATATATGTTTAAATTTTCCTGTTTGTCTAAAGTTGGCATAAATTTAATCTCAGAAAATTAACATTTTCAAGTGACCTAGTAACGTGGTATTTTGGCACAAAAATTCATCAAACAATAAAAATTATACAGAAACTTATGAAATGCTTATGTTTAAACCAGGAAAACGAATACAATAGAGATACTTTGGGATATTTATGACTTCATTATGAAAACAATGATATATTTTTCAATCTCTTATCCCTCCACTTCTCTTCATCTCATCCTTTCAATAGAGAGTTTATTCTTCTTACTTGTCCAAATTCGTTTTGGGAGCTTGGGGGTGTAGGTTATTTACTTATCTTTTATTTATACACCCTACAAAATAACTTTATGTTTTTTTCAGAGGTTTTTTTTTTTTTAACGAAAGTGGCCATGAGAAAAGTTGTAGCATGCTAGTGATACAGTATTGTAAGTCAAAATGCAATTAGTAATCCCATACATAATTTAGTTACAATCTGGCTTTTTTTTTTTTTGCTAATTGATATTACATGAATATTGAGTTTAAATACTATATGTCAGAAAATAAAGATTAATTTCAGTAATATCTTACAATATCTGTATTATAATAGTTCGTGCTACCCCATTTCTAAGACAAATCATTGTGTTGTTCTCTAGTTTAGAATTTATTGGTGTCATAGGAAACAATTATGATTAAAACCCAATAACTGATGAAGAACTATGAAATAATTATCTATGTATCTGTAGATAGTTGGTTGATTATTAAAGACTAGAATTCTGCAGTAAGTAATAACATAAAATATGTGCTTTCCAGATTCTTGAAAATAAAATAAAACTTTAAAGTTTTGGTTGCCCAATTTACCAAAATTCTAGTTGTGAGAACTCATTTAATGGCAGAATTCCTGGAGGGATCCACTTCCATAGGTATTCAAAATTTCACGGTAAGATGAAGCCAGAATAAAAAAAAACCTGAATATCATTGCCTGGTCTTCAATTAATATTGCATCCAACAAAATGGGCTCAAGTTTATGTTTTTGATTTACAATGTAGAGTGTTATGAATAAGAAATCTGTGAAACTCATGGCCATATGTATCATTGCCAAGAATATCATACAGATTTCATGAAGACTGAACAGCAACATATTTGATGTACTTTAAATATTGTTTCCCACCCAAATCTTACGTTAATATATAATCCCAAATGTTGGAAGTGGGACCTGGTGGGAGGTGTTTGGGTCATGGTAGTGGATTTCTCATGGCCTGGTTCTGTCCTTGAGGTTGGGAGTGAGTTTTCATGAGATCTGGTTGTTTAAAAGTGTGTGGTACCTCCCCACCATCCCCACATGCTCCCTCTTGCTCCTGCTTTCACCATGTGACATGAATGCACTCACTTAACTTTCCACCATGAGCAAAAGCTACCTGAGGCCTCCTCAGAAGCTGAGCAGATAATGGAGTCATGCTTGTACAACCCCCAGTACCATAAGCCAATTAAATCTCTTTTCTTTATAAATTACCCAGCCTTGACTATTTTATAAAGAAAGATATTTTATAATAAATCTTTATAGCAATGCGAGAATGGCCTAACACAGAAAATTGGTACCAAGAGTGGGGTACAGTTATGAATATTCCTGAAAATGTGGAGGAGATATTGAAACTAAGTAACAGGCAGAGGCTTGAAGAGTTTGGAGAGCTCAAAAGAAAATAGGAAGATGAGGGAAAGTTTAGATCTCCTTGGAGACTGGTTAAATGATTATGACCAAAATGCTGATAGTGATACAAATGGTGATGTCTAGGTTGATGGGGTCTCAGATGGAAATGGGGAACTTATTGAGAACTGGATCAAAGGTCACCCTGGTTATCCATTAGCAAAGAGCTTTGCTGTCTTGTGTCCATGCCCTCAGGATGTGTGGAACTTTGAATTTAAGAGTGATAATTTAAAATATCTGGAGGAAGAAATTTCTTAATTTCTCTCTTTCTTTCTCTCTTTCTTTCTTTCTTTCTTTCTTTCTTTCTTTCTTTCTTTCTTTCTTTCTCTTTCTTTTTCTAAGACAGGGTCTTGCTCTGTCACCAAGGCTGGAGTGGAGTGGCACAATCATGGCTCACTGTAGCCCCATTTTCCCAGGCTCAAGTTTTCCTGTCACCTCAGCCTCCTGAGTAGCTGGAACTGCAGGGACATTCTATCACACCTGACTAATTTTTTATAATTTTTGGTAGAGATGGGGTTTCATCATGTTTCCTGGGCTGCTCTTGATGTCCTGGGTCCAGTGATTTGCCTATGTTGGCCTATTGAAGTACTGGGATTATAGGTGTGAGCCACCGTGCCTAGTCAGCAGAAGAAATTTCTGTGCAGCAGCGAAGTATTCATGATATTGCCTTGTGGCTATACTTGTATACTTGTATATACTATATACAGCCTATACTCAGAGGCAGGAGCAAAGAAATAACTCAACACTGGAGTTTATATTTAAAGAGGAAACAGTGTAAAAGTTTAGAAAATGTGCAGCCTGGCCATATGGTAGAAAAGAAAATCCCGTTTTCAGGGAAGAATCAGAGTAGATTGCAAAGAAACCACTTGCTAGAGATATTTACATGACTGAAAGAGAGCCAGGTGTTGAGAGCCAACACAATGGAAGCAAGGTCTTAACGGCATTTCAGAGATCATTAAGTCAGTTCTTCCCATCACAGGCTCAGAGGCCCAGAAGGACTAAATGGTTTCAGATCCCAAGTCCAGGGCACCATTGCCCTGAGCCACCCTAGGAGGCCATTTCTTGCATCCTGGCCAATCCAGTACCAGCTGTGGGTAAAAGGGCTCCAGATATAGCTTGGGCCATTGCTGCAGAGAGTGCAAACCATAACCTTTGCAGCATCCATATGGTGTTAAGCTTGTGGGTTTGTAGAGTGCAAGAGTGAAGGAGGCTTGGCTGCCTCCACCTAGATTTCAGAGGAGATATGGGAAAGCCCAGGTCTCCAGACAGAAGCATGCTGGAGGGGTGGAGACTTCACAGAGCACATCTACTGGGGTAATATTAAGGTGAAATGTGAGGGTGGAGCTCCCAAACACTGTCCCCAATGTGCACTGCCTAATGAGTCTGTGGTAAGGAGCCACCATCCTAAAGCCTCCCAGAATGGTAGAGCCATTGGCTGCTTATACCCTGATCCTGGAAAAGCCACAGGCAATCAACTCCAGCCCCTGAGAGTAGCCTTAGGGGGTGAACCCTGAAAAGCCAGAGGGTGGAACTGTTTAAGGCCTTAGGAGCCCACCTCTTGCACCAGTGTGCCAAATATCTGGGACATGGAGTCAAGGGAAATTATTTTTGAGCTTTAAGATTTAATTACTGCCCTGCTGAGTTTTGGATTTGTGTGGGGCATGTAGACCCTTTATTTTGACTGTTTTCTCCCTTTTGGAATGGGGATGTCAGCCCAGTGCTGGTACCCCATTGTACCTTGAAAATAAATAACTTATTCTGATTTTACAGGCTTATGGGTGGAAGGAACTCAGCTCAGATGAGAATTTGGACTTTGGACTTTCGAGTGATACTAAATTGAGTTCAGACTTTTGGTGGACTATTGAGGATGAATGGTTGTATTTCGAAATGTAAGAAGGATATGAAATTTGAGGGACCTGGGGAAGAATAACATGGTTTAGATATTTGTCCCACCCAAATCTTATGTTGAAATATAATACCCAATATTGGAGATGGGGTCTTGTGGAAGGTGTTTAGGTCATGGAAGCAGATCCTTCATGGTTTGGTGCTGTCTTTGAGATAGTGAGTGAGTTCTCACAAGATCTGGTTGTTTGAAAGTGTGTGGCACCTTCCTCCCTCCCACTTGATACCTCTTCCTTCTTCTTTACCATGTGACATGCCTGCTCCCACTTTACCTCTGCCATGAGTAAAATCTCCCTGAAGCTTCCCAAAAGGCTGAGCAGATGCTGGCATTATGCTAGTACAGCATACCAAAACAGTGAGCCAATTAACCCTCTTTTATTTATAAATTACCCAGTCACAAGCATTTCTTTATAGCAATGCAACTATGACCTAACACAGCATATCTTAGATCTTAACTCTAGGAAGAGCCATTTCTCTCTTAAGCAGTTATTTTAATTTTTTTCTGTTATAGTATTGCAAATAACAATTGTGACTTAGGGAAATTAATATTTTTGTTATTTACTATGATTAAGCACTGTTCTTTGTGCTTTATATGTAATAATATATTGGATTTTCACAGGAACCCTCTGAAATAACTATTATTTCTATCTCCCAGACTATCCAGTTGTAATATTTAGTTGATGATTGATAAATATGCTACCTTATTCTAAAAAACTTAAGACAACTTAAATAAACAACAAACAAAAAGGTAAAATAAAATAAAAGGTAAAATTAGTGCAATTTAAAAATGTGAATGAGAAAAAGAAGACAAAGCCATGCTCTGTATTCCTGTTCACTTTAAAGAGATGAACAGAGAAGAACTAGTTGTCAAACTCATTTCAATTTATCTCTTTATTCATGGGTACACAGCTAAATATATTTATCATATGCTCTTGGACTGATATATGGACATGAAACAGAGGTCTGACCAATAGAATGTGAAGATAAGTGAGATATGACAATTCAAGCCTGGGACCTAAATGCCTTACTTTTCAACTTTTATGCATTCTCTTGCCCAATCTATTGGCTTTATGGTGATGTAGCAGGCAATCTTAAAAGTCAAGAATTGCAGATGGACAAACTTTTGTCAATAAACAAGTCCTTGAAGGATTACAAATATAATACAAAATACAAAAAGAAAAATAGTGCTAAAATTGCCCAAGATAAATCAACTAGAGCAAAAGCACAAAACACATCTTATTAAAAATGATTATTGAGTGTGGAAGGTTCAGAATCATATAGTCTGGCTATGTAATGAATGAATGTTTGGCTTAGTTTGTAAACACCTTTAAGAAACTCAAAAGTAGAGAAGGATGGTCAAGATTTCTGGAGTACTAGTTCTCTCAACTCATCTTTTGTTGAATGTTGGGAGTCAGAGATTTTATGATTTTTTTCTGGATAAGTCTTTGAATGCAGATATTCTATGCTTCTATTTAAACGCAGAATTATGAGCACATAAAAATCAACTGGAAGGATGTTTAGGTTAATATCTCTTTTGAAAATTGAAGAATCTAAAGAGATATGCCCATATTGAGATTCATGTGAGACAATGGACAACATGGACAAGACTTTTCTGCAGAAAACAACTTGATGTATGTTACACAAGGGCAATCACACAAGAGAAATAAATAAAGCGTATTCAAATAGGAAGAGAGGAAGTCAAATTGTCTCTGTTTGCAGATGACATGATTGTATGTTTAGAAAACCCCATCATCTCAGCCCAAAATCTCAAGCTGATAGGCAACTTCAGTGAAGTTTTAAGATACAAAGTCAATATGCAAAAATCACAAGCACTCCTATACACCAATAATAGAAAAACCAGAGAACCAAATCATGAGTGAACTCCCATTCACAACTGCTACAAAGACAATAAAATACCTAGGAATACAACTTACAAGGGACATGAAGGCTCTCTTCAAGGAGAACTACAAACCACTGCTCAGAATAAGAGAGGACACAAACAAATGGAAAAGCATTCCATGCCCATGGATACGAAAAAAAAGTATCGTGAAAATGGCCATAATGCCTGAAGTTATTTATAGATTCAGTGCTATTCCCAACAAGCTACCATTGACTTTCTTCACAGAATTAGAAAAAAACTACTTTAAATTTCATATGGAACCATAAAAGAGCCTATATAGACAAGACAATCCTAAGCAAAAAGAATAGAGCTGGAGGCATCATGCTAACTGACTTCAAACTATACTACAAGGCTATAGTAACCAAAACAGCATGGTACTGGTACCAAAACAGATATATAGGCCAATGGAACAGAACAGAGGCCTCAGAAATAATACCACACATCTACAACCATCTGATCTTTGACAAATCTGACAAAAACAAACAATAGGGAAAGGATTCCCTATTGAATAAATAGTATTGAGAAAAGTAGCTAGCCATTTGCAGAAAACTTAAACTGAACCTCTTCCTCACACATTATACAAAAATTAACTCAGGGGGGATTAAAGACTTAACTGTAAGATCTAAAACCATAAAAACCCTAGAAGAAAACCTAGGCAATACCATTCAGGACATAGGCATGGGCAAAGACTTCATGACTAAAACACTAAAAGCAATGGCAACAAAAGCTAAAATTGACACATGGGATCTAATTAAACCAAAGAGGTTCTGCACAGCAAAAGAAACCATCATCAGCATGAACAGGCAACCTACAGAATGAAAGGAAGTTTTTGCAATCTATCTGTCTAATAACGGTCTAATACCCAGAATCCACAAGGACCTTAAACAAAATTTACAAGAAAGAAACAACCCCATCCTAAGCCAAAAGAACAAAGCTGGAGGCATCACACTACCTGACTTCAAACTATACTACAAGGCTACAGTAACCAAAACAGCATGCTACTGGTACCAAAACAGAGATATAGATCAATGGAACAGAACAGAGCCCTCAGAAATAATGCCGCATATCTACAACTATCTGATCTTCGACAAACCTGAGAAAAACAAGCAATGGGGAAAGGATTCCCTATTTAATAAATGGTGCTGGGAAAACTGGCTAGCCATATGTAGAAAGCTGAAACTGGATCCCTTCCTTACACCTTATACAAAAATCAATTCAAGATGGATTAAAGATTTAAACGTTAGACCTAAAACCATAAAAACCCTAGAAGAAAACCTAGGCATTACCATTCAGGACATAGGCGTGGGCAAGGACTTCATGTCCAAAACACCAAAAGCAATGGCAACAAAAGCCAAAATTGACAAATGAGATCTAATTAAACTAAAGAGCTTCTGCACAGCAAAAGAAACTACCATCAGAGTGAACAGGCAACCTACAACATGAGAGAAAATTTTCGCAACCTACTCATCTGACAAAGGGCTAATATCCAGAATCTACAATGAACTCAAACAAATTTACAAGAAAAAAACAAACAACCCCATCAAAAAGTGGGCAAAGGACATGAACAGACACTTCTCAAAAGAAGACATTTATGCAGCCAAAAAACACATGAAGAAATGCTCATCATCACTGGCCATGAGAGAAATGCAAATCAAAACCACTATGAGATATCATCTCACACCAGTTAGAATGGCAATCATTAAAAAGTCAGGAAACAACAGGTGCTGGAGAGGAAGTGGAGAAATAGGAACACTTTTACACTGTTGGTGGGACTGTAAACTAGTTCAACCATTGTGGAAATCAGTGTGGCGATTCCTCAGGGATCTAGAACTAGAAATACCATTTGACCCAGCCATCCCATTACTGGGTATATACCCAAAGGACTATAAATCATGCTGCTATAAAGACACATGCACACGTATGTTTATTGCGGCACTATTCACAATAGCAAAGACTTGGAACCAACCCAAATGTCCAACAATGATAGACTGGATTAAGAAAATGTGGCACATATACACCATGGAATACTATGCAGCCATAAAAAATGATGAGTTCATGTCCTTTGTAGGGACATGGATGAAATTGGAAACCATCATTCTCAGTAAACTATCGCAAGAACAAAAAACCAAACACCGCATATTCTCACTCATAGGTGGGAATTGAACAATGAGATCACATGGACACAGGAAGGGGAATATCACACTCTGGGGACTGTGGTGGGGTCGGGGGAGGGGGGAGGGATAGCATTGGGAGATATACCTAATGCTAGATGACACGTTAGTGGGTGCAGCGCACCAGCATGGCACATGTATACATATGTAACTAACCTGCACAATGTGCACATGTACCCTAAAACTTAGAGTATAATAACAAAAAAAAAAACATTAAAAAAAAAAAATTTAGCAACCAAAAAAAAAAAAAAAAAAGCATTTGATCTCAGTCATTTACATAATAGAATAAATATAAATCAATGAAAAAAAAAAAAGAAAGAAACAACCCCATCGAAAGGTGGGTGAAGTATATGAACACACATTTCTCAAAAGAAGACATTTATGTGGCCAACAAACATATGAAGAAAAGCTCATCATCACTGGTCATTAGAGAAATGCAAATCAAAAGCACAATGAGATACCACCTCATGACAGTTAGAATGGCGATCATTAAAAACTCAGGAAACAACAGATGCTGGCAAGGATGTGGAGAAATAGGAACGCTTTTACACTGTTGGTTCGAGTGTAAAATATTTCAACCTTTGTGGAAGACAGTGTGGCAATTCCTTAAGGATCTAGAACCAGAAATATCATTTGACCCAGCAGTCCCATTACTGGGTATACACCCAAAGTCTTATAAATCATTCTACTATAAAGACACATGCACACTTATGTTTATTGCAGCACTATTTACAATAGCAAATACTTGGAACCAACCCAAATGACCATCAATGATAGACTGGATAAAGAAAATGTGGCACATATACACCATGGAATACTATGCAGCCACAAAAAAGAATGAGTTATTGTCCTTTGAAGGGAAATGGATGAAGCTAGAAACCATCATTCTCAGTAAACTAACACAGGAAGAGAAAACCAAAAAGCACATGTTCTCACTCATAAGTGGGAGTTGAACAATGAGAACACATGGACACAGGGAGGGGAACATCACATACTGGGGCCTGTCAGGGGGTGGGAGACAAAGGGAAGGACAGCATTAGGAGAAATACCTAATGCATGTGGGGCTTAAAACCTAGATGATGGGCTGATGCGTGCAGCAAACCACCGTGGCACATATATACCTATGTAACAAACCTCCAGATTCTGCACATGTATCCCAGAACTTAAAGTATATATATATTATCTATATTATATATAATTATATATATAAATATATATAATTATTATATATATATAAAATGAACGGCAGGTTGTGGACTGGGAGTTGTACAGTGTATTAGTTTTTATTGCTGTGTAACAAATTACCACAAAATGTGTATAACACTCACTCGTTAGCTCAAATATTGTGGATCTAGTACAATATGGTGATAATCTTTACTGTGTTTCACAAGGTTGAAATAGTATTGGGTGGGTTGAGTTTGTGTTTGAAGGCTCAAGATAAATATAAGCTCCTGAGCTCGTTTAGGTTGGCAGAATTCTATTCTTGCAGCTGTAGGTCTGAGGTTTCCATTCCCTTTCTGGCTATCTGCCAGGGTTCATTTTGAACTCCTACAAGTTGACTACATTCCATGCAACATGATTCCTTCTGCATTCAAAGCTAGCTGCAGATAATTTCCCTCACATTGAATTCATCTCACACTTCTAATCTTTGACTTCTCCATGTTTAACATTTAGACCCAGATTTAAAGGGTTCATGTGGCAAGGTCAGGCTCACCAAGATAATCTATCTATTTTAAGGTTAACTGAATTGGGAATTTAATTTTTCTGTAAAATCTCTTCACAGCAATACTTAGGCTACTGTTTGATTGAATAAGCGGGAGTGGAAGTAGTTGTAGGTATACCAGGGCCAAGACTATTTTAGAATTCTGTCTACCAAATAGCATAGTGGTGATCAGAATAATTAGAAACTGGAAAATATAAAGTTATGTTTTCCTAATGTCAATCTTTGAAGTATGGAACATATTTGTGAACTATTTTTAGCCATTGTTGAGGATCACTTGCTTTTAATTGTCTAATTCTCTATGCTAATTTCATTCTCCCCCTTATATTCTTAGGTTATCTTGCTTTAAATTCAATGTCTATTCATTTTATCTTTTGTATTATATGTAAGTAGTACTATATCCTTTGTGAAAAGAGGTTGGAAAATAGATACATTCATAAAAAAACTTTGTTCTATGATTTCATTTTTCGAGATGATATAAAAAGTTGTGATTTTACCAAATGGAAAATAAGTCCTATGAAGAAAGTTGGAAAGGAATATTACATAGTTTCTCTTAGAGAAAATATATATGAAGACTGGTTAGCAAAGGATACAGACTGTGCTTCTCTCAAAGCTCTTTGAAATTTAGATAATTACCTAGTTGACATAATTCAGCTAATGGCTTTACTAGAGAAATGGATTTTAGCAGAAAACCATTTTATTTCAACACTCTTAGAATTCTATTAAAATAATTATTAACTGTTGGGTAATAGTTATCAGAGCTACAATAAAATATAGTAAATTAACATATTTGAAACTTTACAGGCAGTAGTTTTACAGTGCCTAGAAGTTATGTGAATATTAACAGAATAATAATGAAATAAATATAAGGTCTTTTTTAAAAAAATATACTTAACATATATCATGTAGCTTTCAAGAGAAGGGCAGAGGAAACACTATCTTTGAGCCCTTGAAATGTTTATTTATTCCAGAAAAACACTGAAATTATATTTCAGCTTAGAATGTCTAGTGTCCTTTTCAATTTAAAAATCACGAAACTGTATGCCTCAGTAACACTGCTTTATTGAAATTAGATACTGTGAAATTTTCAAGTTGTAGAAGAGTTTGTGATTGATGGATGTGCAAAGCATCGCCTTTTCATAATGCTCAATCTTTCTTCATTTGGCAGTAGAATCATTCTAGCAAGCATTATGCTCTGCTAGTAACTGTAGAAAAAAGTGAACTTAGAATCTCTAAAGGTAGTTATGCATTTCAAAACATATAAACATTGCAAAAAAATCAACCAGGTTTTCCAACCCTCTGTAAAGAAGGCGAGTACTTAACTCCCCTAATAATGGCATTGAGGTGTGTGTGTGTGTGTGTGTGTGTGTGTGTGTGTGTGTGTGTAAGAGAGAGAGAAAGAGAGAGAGGTGGTGGGAAAAGGAAAACATGCTTAACATTGGTCTATGTATCTATAAATGAGGTGAATACTTAAAGGATACCCCAATAGTATTTTTGGGGGTTAAGCCATTCGTTAAAATAAAAGCCTTCTTGTGTGGGTGATGTATTATTGCTTTTTTTGGAAGATGGACTTAGGTACTGTATTGGGAGAAATTTAGGCTTTGATATGTTACGCTACACTATTTGGATTATTTTTGAGAGTCAGGCAGAAAAGAAAATATAAATTCTGAAGAATATCTATTCTTTAAAAAAAAATTCTCTCTTCAAGTGAAATGTAAATATAGCAATTGGTAAAACAACAACAACAACAACAAAAACCCTTTTGGGGAAACATCAGATCTTCAGAGTTATTTGTTACCTATATGTCAAAGTAAATAATTACTGACAATACCATTTAACCAAAGTAATGACCCAAATGCTTCAGGTCCAGAGATATATATTTTTAAATCTACCACTTATTACTGATAATTCTATGGCAAACTAAAAATGTAAAATGAGCCACATGTGAACATACATTTATTTTAAAGATGTTTTCAGGGTTTTAAAATATTTAATAAATACATATTGAACAATGGAGGCAGGAAAAGCTAAAGATACAGACTCCAGAATCACAGGGCTGTGGCCTGGCTGTGAACTCTGTCACCAGCTATACTGTTTTCAGCAAGTTGCTCAAACTTGTTAAGCCTTAGTTTCTCAACAAGCGAAGAGGGGCAAATAATGCCCACGCATAGGGGTTTTGTGAGGATTAATCTCATATTTAATGAATAATGGTGAAGTGGCAACTGACTCGAAGACTGTTATACATACTAAGAAGGCAAGAATGAGCAAAACAGGTAGACCTCACTGTCCGCAGGGGACTTATATTCTAGTAGGTTAAATGTGATGAGAAATATAAAGCCTTTGTCACAGTGTCCGGCATGTTGTAGTCATTTAATAAGTGGAAACTATGGTTATTTTATTAGTTTTTAATAAGAATATATTTCATTATGAAAAAAGCCCACAAATCTGCAAAATTGTGAAACAAAATGACATTTATTAAGACAGAATGGGCTTTCTTAAAGAAGCATAGAGACCGGGCACAGTGGCTCACACCTGTAATCCCAGCGCTTCAGGAGGCTGAGGTGGGTGGATCACCTGAGGATGGGAGTTCGAGACCAGCCTGACCAACGTGGAGAAACCCCAACTCTACTAAAAATACAAAATTAGCCGGGCGTGTAATCCCAGCTACTCGTGAGACTGAGGCAGGAGAATCGCTTGAACTCGGGAGGCGGAGGTTGCGGTGAGCCGAGATCGCATCATTGCACATCAGCCTGGACAACAAGAGCGAAACTCCATCTCAAAAAACCGAAACAAAACAAAAAGAAGCATAGAACAAGCTTTGAGATTTTAGTACCTATCCCAAGTCAAAATTCTTTTGGAGATCATTAAGGCTTGGGTTCCTCATTTATCTCCAGTTATGATAGTTTTATTGTAAAACTACATGAGCAAGTAGCACCATATGAAAAGAAAGAACTGCAGATAACAAATGGGATTGAAGATCATCTTCTCTATTTCCTTGTCTTGTCTATATTAAAATTATGTATTGGTGTCCTTATAAACAACGAAGGGAAATATCTATATTAATTTAGGGGGAGGCAAGAAAGATGCCCCATTTGCTATCCCTGAAGGTTAACAGTTTAACACAGATATGACTGTCCCGTGAGCATGGCTACTTTTTCACTACTTTTTAAACCATTATTTTAAGTTCAGTGGTACAAAAGCAGGTTTGCTACATAAGCAAACTTGTGTCATGGGGGCTTGTTGTACAGAATATTTCATCACCCGGGTATTAAGCCTAGTACCCATTAGTTATTTTTCCTGATTCTCTCCCTCCTCCCAACCTCCACCCTCCATCCTACAGAAGGCCCTAGTGTGTGTTGTTTCCCTCTATGTGTCCATGTATTCTCACCATTTAGCTCCCACTTATAAGTGAGAGCATGTGGTGTTTGGTTTTTTGTTCCTGTGTTGATTTGCTAAGAATAATGGCTTCCAGTTCCATCCACGCTCTGCAAAGGACATGATCCTATTATTTTTTTATGGCTGCATAGTATCCCATGGTGTATATGTACCACATTTTCTTTATCCAACCTTCCATTGATGGACATTTAGGTTGATTCCATGTATTTGCTATTGTGAATTGTGCTACAATTAACATACACATGCATGTGCCTTTATAACATAATGATTTTTATTCCTTTGTGTATATACCTGGTAATGAAATTGCTGGGTTAAATGATATTCCTGTCTTTAGGTCTTTGAGGAATCACCACACTGTCTTCCACAATGGCCAAACTAAATTTTTAATTTGATTTTCTTATGTCAGTAATGTCTTTAATGGTTTATCTTATCTACATGGAATCCAAGATGCTCTTTAATATGGTAAATTAGAACATGTCAATTCCATGCCTAGAAATCTTACTGGATTTCTAGAACAGAAATCTTCCTTCTTCTCATGACTCCAAGATTCCAGATGACCTCGGATCTCTTATTATGCCATATTTCCATTGATCACCATGGGCCATTGAACTGGCCTGCTTTCTTCCTCTTGAACATTTCTGCTTATCACTATCTCCATTTTCTGTCCCTTCTGCCTTCAATTCTCTTATTCCAACAAGTAATGTGGCTAACTCTTTCATAATTTAGGAGCTCCGAGCTCAAATATTACTTCTTCCAAAGGCTTTCACTAACAAGAAGCTGAATATGAATCTGCTGTCTCATGACTATAAGGCAATAAAGACAATCTAAAGATGACTGATCAGAAAGATAGGAGTGTAGGTCCTTGATGATATCAGTCTTGAATGGCCCATCTTATGACTTCATTTTAAGAGATAATAGTAAAACCCTAATTTGTTTCAGCCATAGTGTGTTTTTTTTTTTTTTCTGAAGGGTGAAGGTGGGATTTTCTCCATGTAAAGAATCTTTGAGAATTAGCTTACAATGACAGAGTATAATTATTCATTATTATGGATGTACAACCCTAGTCTAATTAATCAAGTGAGATGAAGCAGATCATACATTATTACTATAAGTCTCAGGTTTAAGATAACTGGCACTTTAAATATGTTTTATGTTAGATCAAGTTGGAAAAGCCTATTTGAAATTTGAAAGGCTAAACTACACATAAATTATGACTGCTTTTCAAAAGCATTTAGAAAGAGAATATGTTTATTCTATATCAATAAATATTCATGGAGATAGAGCAGAATTTCTATTTGCAAACATGAGACACCTTATGTAATGTGCTTGGATACATAACAGAAATAATGAGGATCATCCCAACACTTAAATATAGCTAAGCAAATAATAATTTCTACTGACTGAGACAGATCACAGCATCACATAATCTATTGAAGCAGTGTATATTTCACAGTAGCTAGAAGAGAACTTGAAATGTTTCCAATACATAGAAATGATAAATACTCAAGGTGATGAATACTTCACATACCCTCACTTGAACATAATACCTTCTATGCATGGAACAAAATATCATGTGTACTCTATAAATATATAAAATATTATGTATCAATAATTACATATTGAACAGAGGTAGAAGACAAACAAAGATGGGCTTGTAGGAACTGGCTTGTTGAAAAAGGCCTTTAAGTGAGGACTGCCTGGAGGTTTGCTGTGTGGTTGTTGTGATCTTTGGGTTCAGCAAGGATAGTGAGATAAGCTCTTGGATAATACTAGGTTATATGCTTTTTATTGTTAGTGTCCTTCACTGGTATTAATTTGGATTTTAGAGGAAAACATTACCTTTTTAAAGTCCTGATATGGTTTGGCTCTGTGTCTCTACCCAAATGTCACCTTGAATTGTAGTAATCCCCATGTGTCAAGGGCAGGATGAGCTGGAGATAATTGAATCATGGGGACGGTTTCCCCCATGCTGTTCTCAGGATAGTGAGTGAGCTCTTATGAGATATGATGGTTTTATAAGGGGCCTTCCACTTTGCTCTGTGCTCATTCTCTCTCCTACTGCACTGTGAAGAGGTGCCTTCCACCATGATTGTAAGTTTCCTGAGGCATCCCCAGCCATGTGGAGCTGTGGGTCAATTAAACATCTTTTCTTTTTCTTTTTCTTTTTTTTTTTGAGATGGAGTCTCGCTCTGTCACCAGGCTGGAGTGCAGTGGCAGGGTCTCGGCTCACTGCAATCTCCATCTCCTGGGTTCAAGCAATTCTTCTGCCTCAGCCTCCTGAGTAGCTGGGATTACAGGTGCATGCCACCATACCCAGCTAATTTTTGTATTTTTAGTAGAGACAGGGTTTCACCATGATGGCCAGGATGGTCTCAATCTCCTGACCTTGTGATCTGCCCACCTCTGCCTCCCAAATTGTTGAGATTACAGGCGTGAGCCACTGCACCCGACCTGCATCTGGCCTAAACCTCTTTTCTTTGTAAATTACCCAGTCTCGAGTATTTCTTCATAGCAGCATGAGAATGAATTAATACAAGTCCTTAAGGCACATGTTGCCACTTTTCTTTTTAATATCAGTAAAACCAAAATAACACATCAAACAACTTATAGTTCAAGTAGAGTATAAAATTCGTGAATGCAAGAACTTGTTTGTACTTGTTTATATTGGCCAGCAATTTATCCTTAGCATTCAGCCTTCAGGCTGATATAGTTAGGACTCAAAAAGTTCTTGTTTAATAAATGAATGAACAAATCATTTTAAAAAATAGTTACCCTAATAATATCTACCACTTATAAAGTATTTGATACATGCCAGGCACTGTATAGACCTATGTATATAATAAATTATGTAAAAACTTTCCATAAATAAATAATATTATTCCCCTCATTTAAAAATTAAAATACAGTAGTTACAAGGAATCAAATAGTTTTCCAGTTATACATAGTAAGTATGGGCAAAGCAATTTAAACCATAGTAATCTGGTTCTAGATTATACACTCCTAATGACTTTACTATGTACTCTTTCTAACTTAGTGGGAGTTAATCCATTATTGTTTTCTTCTATATATTCTTTCTAACTTTTTACAAAACTATATGTACTGAGACACCACTTCTGCATTCATATATATATATGTATATGTATATATATGAAATATTTAAAGGAATATATTTACCAACCACTATGCATCCATTCAAAAACTACCCAGAAGAACTAGAAAACCATGTTACAAGTTGGTGAGGAGGTGGAGGGAAAAAATGAGGAGTTTTACCTCAGGAGATAGTATTTGGACAAGCACAACACCAGTCATAGTGTTTGAAAAGGTATCATAAAAATAGAGAAGTTTCTATTTAATGGTGTTTTATACAAAAAAACTATGACCCATGTATGTAAGAAATGATTTTATCCCTCCAGTGAAGCATTCCATAATGAACTAGCCCATTCCCTAATGTAGTGAGTTTCCTGTTATCTGGAATATGGAAACAGATGCTTAACCAGCACCTCCCAAGATTATTACAAGAGGAGTTTCTATAGTTCATAAAAGACTTGTCCTTATGATCTCTAAGAGTCACTCCCAACTTAGTCTTTAAAAAAATCTCCAATCATTGAAAGGAATTATATAGAAAGCAAATAACAAATAGGTATTTTTTGTGAGAACTTTATTACAACAATCATCTGGGAAGTACATATGTGCGAACATATACACATATACATTTATATGTGCATCCATAAGCTTTTGTTTCAAGCCCTCTTCAGATTTTATTTTTCATGCCCAACTTTTCCTCTGGTGTAAAATATACCGCTGGCCCCTATCTACTGATTTCTTACAATCTCTACTTAGATGTCTTTAGTTATTTCAAACCAAATAACACAAAACATTTCTTGATATTTTGAAAAGACATCAACCTTCATGCCAATAATCTGGATTTATCTTTGCTGCCAAAATAACTCTCACTCCTCATTCAATTCATTGTTAAGTCGTTTTTATTCTACTTCCTAAATATACTTTAGCATCTATTATCTTTTCTCTATCCTAATCAAAGCCACCATTACCTGTTTGCTTAACTGTTCTACCAAACCTCCTAACTAACATCGTGGTTTAGGAGCATTTTCTCTTACCTCCCCCAGTCCATTATCCACAACATAGCTGCAATGGTCTTTCAAAACAAAGCAAACAAACACACACCAAATCCCGTTTTACTCTTCTTCAGTTTAAAACTCTTTAATGGGTTCTCCATGTATTTTGGATAAAGTGCAGAACTCTTAACAAAGCCTAAACATCCCTGCATATGATCCTCCCTCCCTCTCTACATTCATTTCTGATCATTTCCTCTGGCTTTCTGCCTCATAGAACCATTGAATAATTTTCATTAGCTCGAATGTGTCATGCTCCCCACCACTGCAAGAACTTTTTACTTGTTCTTCCCACTGACAGAAATTATTGTGGACCTCCTCTCAACCTGACCCTGTCAATGGTTACTCATCTTCTTTGTCTCTGATTACATATCACTGTCATTAAAAAAAATGGCCCTCCAAACTCAATTTTAGGTTATGGCTCCCTGTTTTATACTCTTAGAGAACTCAGTGCTTACTTCCAAATACTTCTTGCAATGTAATTTAATGTTGTTTATGTTTTCTACTAGAATGTCAGCCACATGAGGGTAGAGAAGATCTTCCTGATTCACTCATTGCCATCTAGTACAGTGACTGGTTAACAAAAATGTCAAAAAGCTATTTGTTAGATGTGAGTATACACTTCTATCTGAGAAAAAAATAGGTGCAGCAAAAAGTAAAATCTAGGCAACTGCTGCTGAATGTTTTCTAAAGTAACTTCAGTACATTTTTAATTATGCTCTTTCATTATTTTTTTTAGCCGATCCACATAGCTGAACTAAATTGTTTATTTTTCAACCCATAGACATTAAATGTAAAAAGGAGAAAAATCTACAATTTGAGCTAGTGGACAAGCCAGAGACCAATGGCACCAGTTGCTCTTCCCTCAGAACTCTTGCTCCTATTTCCAAAGTAGAAAATGTCCTTGTTCTTGCTCCAGCTGAATGTAGGAGGTGAAGACTTTTTAATACCCTTCTTAGAACAACTCTTGGCTGTAGTCAGTTCTCTACGGTTGCTTTGCTTGTTCTATGAATAAATGTTTTTAGAGGTAGAGTCAGGTCTCAAAGTGCTAAGGAAAAAATAAATTGTGATCTGCTGTCACCTCACCCAATGACTGAATCATGTAACATGTAACATGTGACATGTAATATATACAACTGTTTTTCTGCCAATTTTCCAATCCTCTGCAGTTTCCAAAAGACAAGATTACATTGCAGTTGAGCATAAGTGTTGGGAAATATTGTTGTAGCTATATTGGAAAGTACAATCTGCCATAAGTCTCGCAGGAACCATTCAATTTAATTCTTCTAATTAAAGAATAAAGAACAAAAGAATAAAAGAAATCCTCAGGTCTGCACTATGTAGGAAACTACAAATGTTTCTAATTCATGGAGG
Organism: Homo sapiens; assembly: GCF_000001405.40. Classification (NCBI taxonomy): domain Eukaryota; kingdom Metazoa; phylum Chordata; class Mammalia; order Primates; family Hominidae; genus Homo; species Homo sapiens. The sequence goes on along the minus strand of NC_000004.12, from coordinate 43,807,242 downwards.
AGTGGATCCATATTTGCTTAAAATTCCTAGGGGCAAAATTCTCAGCTCAGAACAATTTCATGCCTAAACTAACTTTGGTTCCCTCTCTCCACAGTTCTCTAATATATTTTTTCTCATAACTAAAATGGATATTTTGGCAGTGTGGTCTAGAAGTCTCAAGTGAGGTGAATGGACATATAAGCTGACTGTCAAATCATATAACCAAGTGCTATTAACCCTGTTTCAAGTATAAAACATCCAGCTCCTATATGCTGGGCACAGTGTAAATAAAGTATAAAGAGGGGTAAAATATCATGTAGGGCACAACTGTTGTGTCTTTTAAAGACTAAATTGTTTTTGTTCTTGAATTACCACTGATCTTTTACAGACTCAAACTGAAACTGTTTATTCATACCCAGAGCTATTATATTATATTGAGAATATTGGAACATGATGGTTCAAAACCTGTGCTTTAGAATCATACTGTATTTAAATCTCAAACTTATTGCTAGTCTCTCTATGAGTTTGATAAGGTTACTTAACCTTTGAAATTCAGATTCCTTAGTGGTGAAATGACAAAAATAATATCTCTCAGAGTGTTTTTTTCTGAAGACTAAATAACATACATATAAAGTAGCATATTTCCTAAATAATGTAGAAGTTCAATATATTTAAGTATTATTATTATTGAGAATATGCTATTATTATTATTGAAAATTCATTATCCATTATCTTAAAAAAATCTTAGACTAAAAGATTTTACTTCAAAACATGTGGTTTTAACCTGGAAAGATTGTAATTTCCAGTTTCCTGCCATGATTAATGTATTGTCTTTTCATTTTCTTTTTACAAAAGCAGCAAAAGAGATGCAGAGAAGTTAAGGAGCTTTTCCAAGGTCAACCAATAATAAACTCAGAAGGCATAACTGAAACTCTCATCGCCTGTTTCTCAGTGTCATGCTTAATACTATACCAAGGTGATCCTCATAATGTAGATTATGATTACTTTTATTATGGCAATAAAGAACAATATGCTCTCTTAAAATATTACATTCTTTCTAAACATTTTTTTCTCTATAGCCCTAGAAAGAAGTTGAGGTAAGTATTATTTTGCTCATTCGTTAATGAGGAGTTGAAGCCTCATGGAAAGCTGGCATCCATTGAAGGTCACATGGCCACTTGATGATCACATTGAAAACAGCACCCAGTCAGCATTTAGTGTTCTCTCCATCACTCTAGGCTGCTCATGATAATATTAGGCCTTTGTCTTAGAACATAATGTTTTTCACGGCCCTATCATGCATTTTCCCAAATAGGTTGTTGAAAAGATTATAGATCTTTATGGCGGGGACTTCTTTGCAAATAAGTTCCCAAAAGTTCTGAAACAAAAAAGTAAAACATGCCACATTATTTTTCAATATAATAATGTATATCCTCAGCTCTGGCAGATTCTGTATCACAACAATGTGAAAGAGGTTGGTTAAGTTCACTATTTGGTTGACCAAAAGTCACTGGGATGACGGCACTGAATTCCCAACTTCTAAATTACATCATCGTGTAGAAATCATTTGGAATGACTGATTTTTCCAAGATTTAAATGTAATCTTTAGTTTATAAGATTTTTAATAAAATCATTTAAATGATGTCTATTTTGCCCTATGAAATAATTTTCTTACTATATCATACAAACACAAAGCAATACCCTGTAGGACACTCTCAATTGAATTGTCTAGAAGATATGTCAAATGGAACTCATGCTTTAAAGTCTCCCTAACAAGATGTCAGTGTTGCTGACATAGTACCTATGATAGCTTTTTATGCTCAAACTTCCAATTCTCAAGTAATCTATATTTTGTCATTATTTTTTCTAGTACATGTCAAGAAATCAATACTATTTTGATATGTAATATGTAAATGTAAGTGCAGCAATAAATTCCAAAAATTCTAAACTATAAGTAAATCGAATAAACATTTTTTAGAACATTCTTTTTATAAAAAGTAGATTTTACAGTTACTAGCTTACACAAAATTTACATAATTGAGTGAAATAAAATGATCACTAAAGTTATCATTTGAAGTCTATGGTAATTTACTTCTACTTGTCTTACAAGTTTAAGAGTTAGGAAAATTCATAGTAAATATAGTTTATATAGTTATGTATTGATCTAACAATACTTATAAATGAGGTCTTAGACCATCTACCTTTAGGGTGGCATTAGATTAAATAGTCATGTGATAGATAGTTTAAACCACAATATATGCAGGAAAGAAATAAAATATTATTTTATTATTGTCATCCTACAACTTAAACAAGTAGGACATTGAAAAAGGTTTCCTATAAGCCTAATTACCCTTTCATTATTATGTTTAAATTTTGTGTGGGTACATAGTAGATGTATATATTTATGGCTTACATGAGATGTTTTGATACAGGCATGCAAGGTGAAATAAGCACATCATGGAGAATGGGATATCCATCCCCTCAACCATTTATCCTTTGAGTTACAAACAATCCAATTATACACTTTAAATTATTTTAAAGTGTACAGTTGTTTTTACTGACTATAGTCGCCCTGTTGTGCTTCCAAATAGTAGGTCTTTTTTATTGTCTTTAATTTTTGTACCCATTAACCATCCCTAATATCCCTCACCCCCTACTCCCCACTACACTTCCCAGCCTCTGGTAACCATCTTTCTACCCTCTGTGTCCAGGAGTTTAATTGTTTTAATGTATAAATTTCACAAATATGTGAGAACATGTGATGTTTGTCTTTCTGTGCCTGTCTTATTTCACTTAACGCAATCATCTCCAGTTTCATCCACGTTGTTGCAAATGACTAGATCTCATTCTTTTTTATGGCTGAATAGTACCCCATTGTGTATTTATATATGTACCACATTTTCTTTAGCAATTCGTCTTTTGATGTGCAATTATTTTACTTCCAGATTTCAGCAATTGTGACTAGTGCTCTCAGAACAATGGCAGTGCAGACATCTCTTTGAGGTACTGATTTTCTTTCCTTTGGGTATATAACTAGAAGTGGGATTGCCAGGTCATAAAGCAGCCCTATTTTTAAGTTTTTGAGGAACCTCCAAACTGTTCCCCATAGTGACTGTACTAATTTTCATTCCCACCAACAGTGTATGAGGGTTCCATTTTCTGCACATCCTCGCCAGCATTTTTATTACCTGTCTTTCGAATATAAGCTACTTTGGCTTATACTCAAAATTACAATGATATCTCACTGGAGTTTTGATTTGCATTTTTTCGATGATCAATGAGACTGAGCATCTTTTTATAATATGCTTGTATGTCATTTGTATGTCTTCTTTTGAGAAATGCCTATTCAAATCTTTTGTCCAGTTTTTGATTAGATTATTAATTTCCTATAGAGTTATTTAAGCTTCTTATATATTCTGGTTATTAATCCCTTGTCAGATGGGTAGTTTGCAAATATTTTTTCCTGTTCTGTGGGTTGTCTCTTCACTTTGTTAACTGTATCCTATGCTGTGCAGAAGATTTTTAATTTAACTTAATCCAAACTGTCCATTTTTGCTTTGGTTCCCTGTGTTTGTGGAGTACTGCTCAAGAAATTTTTGCCCAGACCAATGTCCCAGAGATTTTTCTCAATGTTTTCTTGTAGTAGTTTCATAGTTTGAGATCTTAGATTTAAGTGTTTCATTCATTTTGATTTGATTTTTGCATAAGGCGAGAGATAGGGGTATAGTTTCATTCTTCTGCATATGGATGTCCAGTATTTATAGCACCATTTATTGAACAAACTGTCTTTTCCTCAATGTGTGTTCGTGTCAAAAATGAGTTCACTGTAGTTACGTGGATTTGTTTCTGAGTTCTCTATTCTGTCCCATTGGTCTATGTGTCTGTTTTTATGCCAGCACCATGTTTTGATTACTATGGCTCTGTAGAACAAGTTGAAGGCAGGTAACGTGATTCCTCTAGCTTTGTTCTTTTTGCTTTGGACATCTTTGACGATTCTGGGTCTTTTGTGATTCCATATAAATTTTAAGACCTTTTTTTTCTATTTCCATGAAGAGTGCCCTTGGTATTTTGATAGAGATTGAATTAAATTTGTAGATTGCTTTAGGTAGAATGGATATTTTAACAATATTGATTCTTCCAACTAAGGAACATGAAATATTTTTCCATTTTTTGGTGGCCTCTTCAATTTTTTTCATCAGTGTTTTGTAATTTCCATCAGGGAGATATTTTACTTCTTTCGCTAAGTTAATGCCTTGGTATTTAATTTTATGTGTAGCTATTGTAAATGGGATTTTTTTTATTTCTTTGTCTCACTGTTCACTGTTGGCATATAGAAATTCTAGTTATTTTTGTATGTTGACTTTGTATCTTGCAACTTTACTGAATTTGTTTGTCAGTTCTAATAGCTTTCTTGTGGAGTCTTCAGATTTCTCCAAATATAAGATCATATAATCTGCAAACAAGGATTTGACTTCTTTCCAACCTGGATACCATTTATATCTTTCGCTTGTCTGATTGCTGTAGCTAGAATTTCCAGTAATATGTTGAATAATAATCGTGACAGTGGGCATCCTATTAATGTTCCAGATCTTAGAGGAAAGGCTTTTGGTTTATCCTGATTTAGTATACTAGCTCTGGGTCTGTCATATATAGCTTCTATTATATTGAAGTATGTTCCTTCTATCCCCAGTTTTTTGAGCATTTTCATTATGAAGAGATGTTGAATTTTAGCAAATGCTTTTTCAGCTTCAGTTTAAATGATCATATGGTTTTCATCCTTTATTCTGTTGATATGATGTATCACATTGACTCATTTGAGCCTGTTGAATCATCCATGCATCCCAGAGATAATTCCCATTAGGTCCTGATGAATGATTTTTCTAATATATTTTAAAATTTAATTTGCTCGTATTTTGTTGAGGATTTTTGCATCAATATTCATCGGAGATATTTGCCTGTAGTTTTCTTTTTTGATGTGTCCGTCTGGTTTTGGTATCAGGATAACAGTGGCCTGTTGAATGAGTTTGGAAGTATTCCCTTCTCTATTGTTCAGAATAGTTTAGTAGTATACATGTTAGTTTCTCTTTAAATGTTTGGTAGAATTCAGCAGTGAAGCTATTGGATCCTGAGCTTTTGTTTAGTGAGAGACTTATTACAGCTTCAATCTCATTTCTTGTTATTGGTCTGTTCAGGTTTTGTATTTCTTCCTGGTTCAATCTCAGTAGGTTGTTAAGTGTCTAGAAATTTGTCCGTGTCTTCTAGATTTTTCAATTCACTGGCATATAGTTGCTCATAGAAACCACTAATAATCATTCAAATTTTGGAGTATCTGTTGTGATGTCTCCTTTTTCATTTCTGATTGCAATTATTTGTATCTTCTTTCCTTTTTTCCTAGTCTGCCTAAGATTTGTCAATTTTGTTTCACTTTAAAAAACCCAACTTTTTGTTTTATTTATCTCTCATATTGTTTTTTCATTTCAATTTTATTTATTTTTGCTCTGATCTTTATCATTCCTTCTACTAATTTTGGATTTGGTTTGTTCCCGCTTTTCTAGTTCTTTAAGAAGCACTGTTAGAGTGCTTAAGGTTTTTCTTCTTTTTTAATGTATCACACTTACAGGGATAAACTTCCCTCTGAGTACTACTTTTCTGTATCCCTTAGGTTTTGGTATGTTGTGTTTCAATTATCTGTTTCAATAAATTTTTCAATTTTCTTCTTAATTTCTTCATTGACCCGCTGGTTATTCAGGAGAATATTGTTTAATTTTCATGTATTTGTATCGTTTCTACATGGTTTGGGTCTGTGTCTCCACCCAAATCTCAATCTAATTGTAATTTTCAATATTGGGGGTGGGGCCTGACAGGAAGTGATTGGATCGCGAGGGTGGATGTTCTTTTTGTTGCTGTTCTTGTGATAGTGAGTGAGCTAACATGAGATCTGATTGTTTAAAAGTGTGTAGCACTTCCTGCCTCTCTCCTCTTCCTCCTGCTCCAGCAACATAAGACATGCTGCTTCCCCTTCACCTCTTGCCATTATTGCAAGTTTTCTGAGGTCTCCCCAGCCATGCTTCCTGGACAGCCTGTGAAACCATGGGACAATTAAACCTCTTTTTTTTATGAATTACCCAGGCTCAGGTATTTATAGCAGTGTGAGAATGGACTAATACAGTTTCCCATATTTCTCTCATTATTAATTTCTATTTTTATTCCATTGTGGTCAGAGAAGATGCTTTGTGTTATTTCAATTTTTTGAACGTTTTAACAGTTGTTTTATGACTTAATTTATGGTCTATCCTTGAAAATGATCCATGTACTGAAGAAAAAATGTGTATTCTGCAGTCCTTGGACGAAATGTTTTGAAAATATCTAAGGGAATTTGGATTCCCTTTGGTTTGGTCTATTGTACCGATTAAGTCCAATGTTTGTTGATTTTCTGTCTGAAAGTCCTGCCCAGTGTTGCAAATGCGATGTTGAAGTCCCCAGATATTATTGCACTGGGGCCTATCTCTCTCTTCAGCTCTAAAAATATTTGCTTTATATTTCTGAGTGCTCCGGTGTTGGTTGCATATAAATTTGAAATTGCTATATCCTCTTGCTGAATTGATCCCTTTATCATTGTATACTGGCCTTCTTTATCTACTATAGTTTTTGTCTTGAAATCTATTTTGTATGATATAAGTATGGCTACCCCTGGGGTATTTTTTTTTTTTTTGCTTCCCATTTACTTAGAATATCTTTTTCTACCCCTTTATTTTCAGTCTGTGCGTGTCTCTATAGGATAAGTGTGTTTCTTATAGGCCACAGATCATTGGGTGTGTTTTTTTCATACATTCAGCCACTCTGTGTCTTTTGATTGTAGGGTTCAGTCCATTTACATTCAATGATAGTACTGATAAATAAGCACTTATTTGTGTCACTTTGTTATTTGTTTTCTGGTTGTTTTGTGGTCTTCTCTTTCTTATTTCTTTCTTTCCTGCCTTCCTTTAGTGAAGGTGATTTTCTCTCATGATATGATTTCGTTTCTTGACATTTATGTTTCCTGTAATCATTGTATTTCTTTTGTTTAATGTTACCATGAGGTAACGGGTACAGGAAATACATGTTTTGTGTGATCATTGTATTTCTTTTGTTTAATGTTACCACGAGGTTTGCAAGTACTATTTTATAACCCATTATTTTAACTTAATAACAACTTAACACTGTTTACATAAACAAACACACAAATAAGCAAAGAGAAAACTAATAAAAACTTAGTTTTAAGTTTTGAAGTTTAATTTATGCCTTAATTTTACCTCCCTGCTTTGTAACGTTTTTTAGTTTCTGTTGTATCTTTTTGGACTATGTTTTGAAAATTAGTTGTAGTTATTAGTTTTGATGGGCTCATTATTTATTCTTTCTACTTAGGATAAGAATAGTTTATATATCACAGTAACAGTGTTATTATACTTTGTGTTTTTCTGTGTACTTACTATTACCAGTGGGTTTTTGTGCCCTCAGGTGATTACTTATTGCTCATTAATGTTCTTTTCTTTCTAATTGAGGTATTCCCTTTAGTATTTCTTATAGGAAAGACAGGTCTGGTGTTGATGAAATCCCTCAACTTTTGTTTGTCTGGGAAAGTATTTCTTTCTCCATGTTTGAAGGATATATTCAGCTTTTGTTTGTCTGGGAAAGTATTTCTTTCTCCATGTTTGAAGGATATGTTCAGCTTTTGTTTGTCTGGGAAAGTATTTCTTTCTCCATGTTTGAAGGATATGTTCAGCTTTTGTTTGTCTGGGAAAGTATTTCTTTCTCCATGTTTGAAGGATATGTTTAGCTTTTGTTTGTCTGGGAAAGTATTTCTTTCTCCATGTTTGAAGGATATGTTCAGCTTTTGTTTGTCTGGGAAAGTATTTCTTTCTCCATGTTTGAAGGATATGTTAGCCAGATATACTAATCCAGGGTAAATGTTTTCTCCTGCAGCACTTTAAATATGTCCTACCACTCTCTTCTAACCTGTTAAGCTTTCACTGAAAAGTCTGCTGTCAGATATATTGGAACTCCCTTGTATGTTATTTATTTTTTTGCTGCTTTTAGAATTCTTTTTTTTAAATCCTAGATCTTTGCGAGTTTGGTTATTAAATGCTTTGGGGTACTCTTCTTTGCTTTAAATCTGCTTAGTGTTCTATAACATTCTAGTACTTGGATACTGATTTCTTTCTTTAGGTTTGTGAAGTTCTGTATTATTATCCCTTTGAATAAAGTTAATATCCCCATCTTTTTCTCTACCTCCTCTTTAACACCAATAACTCTTAGATTTTCCCTTTTAAGGCTCTTTTATAGAATCTATAGGCATGTTTCATTGTTTTTTATTCTTTTTCTTTTGTCTCCTCTGACTATGTGTTTTCAAACAGCCTATCTTCAAACTCACAAATTCTCCTGATTAATCAATTTTACTATTAAAGGACCCTGATGCATTCCTCAGTAGGCCAAGTGTATATTTCAGCTCCAGAATTTCTACTTGATTCCTTTTAATTATTTCAATTTCTTTGTTAAATGTATCTAATAGAATTCTGAATTCTCTTTGTTATCTTAAATTTCTCTGAGCTTCCTCAATACAGTTTGAAGAATTTTGAATTATCTTTCTGAAATTTCACACATTCCTGCTTCTCCACAATTGGTCTCTGGTGAATTATTTAGTTTATTTGGTGAGGTCATTTTTTCCTGAATGGTGTTGATACTAGTCGATGTTCTTTAAAGTCTGGTCATTAAATATTTAGATATTTATTGTAGTCTTCACTGTCTGGGTTATTTGTAGCCATTCTTTTTGAGAAGGCTTTCCAGATATTTTAAAGGATTTGGATATTGTGATCTAAGCTATATCTGTTTTAGAGGGCACCCCAAGCCCCAGTAATGCTGTGGTTCTTGCAGACTATTAGAGGTACCACCTTGATGATCTCGGATAAGATCGGGGAGAATTATCTGGATTACCAGGCAGAGACTTTTGTAATCTTCCCTTAGATTCTCCCAAACAACCACAGTCTTTCTCTCTGTTTTGAGCCACCTAAAGCTGGGGTTGAAGTGACACAAGCATCCCTGTGGCCACCACCACTGGGACTGTGCTGGGTCCGACCTGAAGCCAGCACAGCACTGGGTCTCACCCAAGACCTCTTGTAACCACTCACTAGCTACTGCCTATGTTTGCTTAATGCCCTGGGACAACAATCATCAGATGGAAAAACTAGCCAGGCCTGTGTCCTTCCCTTCAGGGCAGCAATGTTTCCCAGGCCCCAGGTGGGTCCAGATGTGCCATCCAGGAGTCAGGGATTACAGTCAAACAACCTTAGGAGTTTATCTGGTGTTCTTTTTTACTGTTCTGAGCTGGCACTCAAATGACAAGACACAGTCCTTTCTACTGTTCCCTTCCCTTTACAAAGGCAGAAGAGCCTTACCCCATAGCTATTGCCACCCCTCACCATGGGGCGTACTGCCAGACTGCTGCCAATGTTCCCTTAAATCCCAAAGGCTCTTCATTCAGCTTTTGGTGAATGTTGCTTGGTCTGGGACTCACCTTTCAGGGTACTGGGTTCCCCTCTGCTTCAGGGCAGGTTTCAGAAATGCCATCCAAGGGTCAGGTCCTGGAATCAGGAATACCATCAGGCTACTTTTGTGCTCTACACTCCTGTGACCATGCTGTACCTAAAGCCAGCAAGTCTCAGAGGCTTACCCAAGACACTTGACATAGTATCTGGGTATCCAGGCTCGTTGTTCGGGGTCCAAGGGTTCTTCAGTTAGCAGCTGTTGAATGCTGTCAAGACTGACTCCTTTCCTTTAAGGCAGCACATGTGTCTAGAAATGGCACCTGGGAGCTAGGGCCTGGAACTGCTTCCTCATGACCCCGACTGGTGTCCTATCCTGCTGTGGTTGAGCTGGTATCCAATATGCAAGACAAAGTTCTTCCCTGTCCTCTTCTCTAGAGGAAGAAAGGGGTCTCTTTTAGAGCCACAAGCTGTGCAGCCTGGGGTTAGGGAAGGGATAATGCCAGCATTCCCTTGGTGGCCCCAGCTTATATCTCAGTATGTGACGTGTCCCCTAGTCCACTGTCTCTGGGCCTAGTTCAGCACTAGGACTCACCTAAGGGTTGCAGTTCTTATGGCTTAGACTGCCTTTCAAGTTTACTTGGAGACACAGAGCACTGTAGCCTTTGGAGGGGAGGTTTTCAGGAACTCAAGTTCAGGTAGCTGGGATAAGTAATTTCCCTCTGGTTAGGGCTGATTTAAATCCTCCCTCTGTGGATGGGCATTAGCTGAGTTTGGTCCAGATTTCCTTTCTGATCTACCAGGACAGCACTGAGTTCATTGCCTCACAATTACTGTGTTCTCTCTTCTCCAGGGCCCAGAGATGCTCTCTGTCCCATGCTGCCACTGCAGAAGGGTGGGGGTGGGGGCAGGGTGGCATAGGCATTTCAGTGTTTTTTCTCTCTCTTCAGTGCTTCTTTCAACATTGTGAAGTTAGAACCAGCTACTATGAGTGCTCATCTGATTTTTGGTTCTGGTTCTCATGAAGGTGTTTTTTTTTTTTTCTTTCTTTCTGTCTTTCTTCTGTGTAGATAGTTGTTAAATTGGTGTCCTTGTCGGTGGGGGGACAGTGATCAGTGGACTCTTCTACTGCATCATTCTGCTCCTTCCTTTTTCCTTTTCCCCTTTAATTTTGTGACTAAAATTTGATGGGACTCCTGAAAAGATGAAAAGGATACTTAATTTAGTTTTGAATATATGCTTACTCTTGGCCGATATCTCGCTATTATACACTTTCAGTAGATTGGTGGAGCCGAAATGAGTTAATTTATCAATGTCTTTCAGAGACCAGATTGTACAATACCATAATATACTTGGGAATGAAATGAAGGCTGGGTGTGGTGGCTCACTCCTGTAATTCCAGCACTTTGGGAGGCCAAGGTGGATCACCTGAGGTCAGGAGTTCGAGACCACCCTGGCCAACACAGTGAAACTCTGTCACTACTATAAATACAAAAATTAGCCAAGTGCGGTGGCCTGCACCTGTAATCCTGCCTCCTCGGGAGGCTGAAGCAGGAGAATTGCTTGAACCCAGGAGGCGGAAGCTGCAGTGAGCTGAGATTGAGCGACTGCACTCCAGCCTGGGCAACAGAGTGAGAGTCTGTCTCAAAAAAAAAAAAAAAAGAAAAAATCAAAAGTAGATATGTGTTTGTGTGCATTGTGAAGAGGATGTTTATACAAATATGCTAATACATACACACACACAATTGTTCTTTTAACCAAAAATTTGGGACATAAATGTTCAGAATTTTTTTATAAGAATACCAGGAAAAAAAGCTTAGACCTTTGAAATAAATTTCAACAGAGAATAAGATAAGTACAATCACCATAATTACATTATTGATTTTAGAAAAGCACTTCATAAATGCACTTCTGAAATACAGTTTAAATATATTTTTAAATAGAAACAAAAATAATCACTTGTAAAGGGAATTGATTTTTTTAAAAGTGAAAACTACAAAACTGTTATCATGAGAAAAAGTCACTGTTTTTCAGTGTTAATTGACATATTTTAAGCAATACATTAGCAATCTGTGTTATTTAATCTAAATAAATGAATTTGTAATTAATTGCTTTAAAATTAAATCTACGAGAATTTTAAAGTCTAGGTCTCACCTTCCCTAACATTTTTTAAAAAATTACGCAGATCTCTGATAAACAGTATTTTCTTCCTTGACATTCCATTTCTAGTCAGAAACTTCAATTCTCATACCATAGTATTTTTTAAAAATTTTCCTTTTGTCCTATAGTTCTTATTCAGATGTAAAACTTTGAATAAATTCTTCTTCTTTTTTTCTACTTAAATTTTAAAATTCTGAAGGCTGTTAATAACATCCCCATTAGAACCAAATTTTATACAATTCCAATTAATACTTTCAATTCAAGATCCCATCCTTTTCAGTTGTTCAGAATTTTTACTGCTTTGCTTTGACAAACTTCAATTTAACCACTTTTTCTCTGGATAAAAAAGTAACTAGGATAAAAATTCAGCTATTTTTGTACTTAGAAAAGCTTTCTAAAAGATTTTTCTTTAATCCATAGATTATTAGAGCTCCTAATGTATTTTAGAAGATATCTAGTCAAATTTATGCAAGATGTCTTTTAACATGCTATATCTCATTCAATCCTTACCACAAAACCACGACGTAGTTATTATTAATCCCTTTTGTATTTGCTCCATAAATAACTGGGATAAAAGAGTTTATCTAACAATAAATTGATATCCTCATTACATGACTCTGTTACTCTAAATTCTATGTTCTTTCATCATATTTTATTGTCTTCTTGCCTGAAGGGACACATGCCTATGACCATGATACTCCCAACCCAAAAGAGCCGAAAGGACTTGATCAAAATTAAGGAGTTAGTTGTAAAGACAAAGGTAAGATTAGATGCTGAGATTAAAAACCTCCAAGTCCAGTTCCTCCATAGTATCAGGCACCCTGAAGGACACTGAAGAACAAAGATAAATGGCACACATTCCCTACTCTTGAGGGGATCTCAGTCTACTGTAATAGAACTGTATTATTAATTCATTATGGATGCAAATGCTAGAATCTCTGGGAACAGAGAAGAGAGGGACTGTTTATGCTTAGGGAAAAGTGGGGAAGTTTGAATTGGATCTCACAAGCATGTGCATGAGTTACGCAAACAGAAAAGGAAGATGCATATTTTATAGAGACAGTGGCCTGTGCAAGAGTGAATAGGATGAAAACATGGAGGTGAAACTGGAAAAGTATTTTGGAAGTTGATTGTAAAATGCTTTACATGCCGTAGTGCAAGCTGGATATTTTGTGCTTTAAATAATAGGAATAAAAACCCATCACACCTCTTTTCTTCTACTTCTTATTCTCAGAGAAGTAATAGTTTCCAGTTCATAGTTTGAAAAAGAACACTGAAGGTATTATGAAAGATGGACATTAAATTACACTGATATTTATAAAATTAGAAATGCTTTATAGAACTGAACCCCCAGGGGAAATATAACAAATAGTTGAATTATTCTTTTTTAGCTTTTATCCTAATAAAGACTTGAGCTAATACCGTGTTTTGTAAAAATATATTATGGAAAGTTTATTTTCCTAAGATATGTATAACCTCTTAAAACAAAATTTTTAATCTCTAGGTTTAAAAATTAGAATACTGTAAAAAAATGAGGCATCATACATAATTGCTTCTTTATGCCAAACAATATGACTGGCATAACTTTCTCAGTGACTATTATTAATCATTAAGTATAACCGACAGTTCCTTTAGACTGAATTCTAAGGAACATTTTTATTTTCATATAGTAGATTTGTTTATAACCATCAGAAAGACCATACTGAGTCAGACTAATGATTCATTCAGGTTAGTATTTAGATACCAACATTGTCACTGAAGGCTTCCTTGTATTTTCTTCTCCTTAATATCAATAGGTGAACCACCTCACCCAAAAAATGAAAATTCAAGCTTCTCTTGAACCATTAATTAAAAATTTGTCTAATCACTTTTTGAAAAAGGATACAAAGTAGAGATTTAGTTAAGAAGGCTTGGAGAACAGGTAATTGCTTTCAAGCTCAATGTTAATGCCATAGATGTAGGATAATTCATAATCTCTGTGGCCCCAGATGAAGGGACTAGGACAAAGGACAGAAGGAACAGAGATAGAGATCTCATTTTTCTATGGGAAAAATGTTTAGAAATATTAAATAATTGACTGAAAACATTGGGGGGGGTGAATGAGGAAGAGGTTATAATTTGGCAGATGTTCCATAAAGTGGATTAAATATTAAATGACTACACTGAGACAATGGTTGTCAAATAGAGAGAAATGGCTCAAGGGAGAATAGTGAATGTATAGCTGGGAAAATGTTTGATTAGATTATTTGATATGTCTAATCCCCTTTTATTCAGTCAGATGTGAATGAATTAAATTCATTTTCTAATATTCTACTTTTTAAAGAATTATTTTAATCTCTGATTTGCAATAATTTATTGGATTAATTTAAAATTATTGTTTAATTTTTTCCCTCATATTTGGTTCAGGTTTAACATTTTAACAATAATATGTGTGGCTCTGGAGAATAAAATTAAAGCTGTTCTCAAATTCTGAAACTATTGCCCAGTGTGACTTTCGTTAGGTTAATAGTGTTTAGTTATATTCGTTCTCAAGTCTTCATCTCCTCAAGATGGAAATTTAATTTTTCAGGTGTACTTATGTGGAAAGCTTACTAATAGCACAATTACAATTTTAAGAAGAGTCTTTAATTTTAAAAAATTTATTATCGCAATAAAATTTTACTTCATGTCTGGTGCAGAAGACAGAAGTTTTAAAATTAGGTCGCATAAAGTGAATTCTTTATTATAAGCTGTCCAATTTGATACGTCTCTGGATGACTAAGGGAAGAACTAAGAGAGTCATCATTTTGGGAACAAATGTTTGGTAATGACGCTTCTATTCTGCCATTTGAATTTTCCATGAAGAAAAATCAAAGCAGCGCTTTTAATTATAGTCTCAAGTAATCAACACTGTTTAATAGAATTAAAGCAAGAAAACTCTTGAACTGAGTATTTAAAAATTTCCTTTGTGTTTGCAACACGAGCTCTGAATTAATCCAGTATCATGAATCCTGAGCTTCATTATCATAATTTTTCAATTAAAATTTATTATCCATTAAAAAGTACAGTAGTCCTAACATTTATCACTGGTTATTCCATCAAACAATACATGATGAAACTATTAGGTGAAACAGATTAAATTTAACTCTAAAAAGAAGAGAATATTTTATTTGCTTAGGTCTTAGCATATAACTACTCTTCTAAATTTTAATCTCAATCATAAGATTAAAGCTCCACGAATAGGTTTTGGAAAAACGTATGCTAAACATAAAAGAGCCTGCTTTAAGTAATATGTAAACAATTTATAAACCACAGGTTTACTCTGTTTACCTATTTATACGTGTACTTGTTGTGCCTGTCGTGGTAAATGACCCATATGTTGGCACAGTTACTTAAAGAGCTGTTGTGATTGGGGAGCCACAGTAGAATGGTGCTCAGATCAGGCTGCCAGGGTTAAACAATTCCACTATAAAAGAGATGAGAGTTTCCTTGCATGCCAACTTACAGTTGTCTGTAAAACATGCAAATTATTGATACCACCTGTTCTCTCCCTCTCTCACATCTATTTGAGCAAGTATTTTTTGGAAAATGTTGAAATGGCGTATTAACCCACGAATTCATCTCCAGAAATGAGAAGTGTGTTGGCATAATGATCTCCACAATTTTCAAAGAAAGTGCTACCTGGGTAGACACTGAATTTGAGGAAGGTATTTGAATCTTAATGCAGATTAAAACATCTTAGGAAGTAGAAGCTGACTTTATAGCTATACTAAAGAAAGGCAGACATACAACATTAACTATACTGGAAAACTGATGAAAGCGCTTGCAATTATTTATAAATGCTGCTGAACAGGTTTACATGCAGAACTATGCATAAAATATAAATAGGTTAGTAGGGCCATTTGAGATCAGAGTTGTTTAGCATGACTAAACACTCTGCTTTAAATGTCAAGAGTCCTATGGGAAAAGTAGAGGTATTGTGACTAATATTGGAGTAAGGCCATGGGTGGAATAGGTTAAACATATACATCTTATATGCTGAAAATCTGCCTCTTAAACTCTGGGTTCCCCATGTCACTTGCTGAGCCTGACCAGAGAGGTATATTTCTTCAGTCTTATATCTCTTCTCTATACTTTTCTGAAAGTTACATGGCCTCTTTAATTCCCATATTACTTTTTTGTGTGTCTTTCTTAAGATAATTTCATTTTCACTTTTATTGTAATAATTTATGCACATTTCTTTAATACCTTTTTTGTGAACTCTCTTGAAGGCATTGAAAGTACTTAATCATTTTTATATACCATATAACACATATAGTTTTCCTTTGCATAGAGTTGTTTTTTAAAAAATTCAGTGAAATGGGGGATGTATTCATAAGACCTGGAAGAGATGTAATTGAGAATATTTAGGAACTCCTTGGACATGCATCAGAGTTGATTCTAAAATCAATTTAAACACCTCATTGTGAGGAAAAGTATGCACTGATCACTGTAGTCATTAATAGAGTTTAGGTGGAGTCAAGGAGTTTTGGGTGATAGACTAATGTCTCTATTGAATAGTTTTAAGGAAAAACTACTGGAAGGTAAAATGAAATGAAGAATTTTGCTTTTACTTCAGAGTTTCTATCTTTGAAATTATGGCCATTACTAAGTTCTCTCTGGTGACATTTGGTACCATGGCTGGTGTAGAAGAAACAATGCGATTTAATATTACCATCACAATTACACAGGAAAAAGTCATCATAATGGGCTGAAAAGACATCAGGGTATAAAAGCTGGCTTTTCCATTTATTACTTATATTAAGTATTTCCTGAGCCTCAGTTTCTTCATCTGCAAAATGTGACAAATTCCATACCCTTTACTAATTTACTAAGGAAATACACATTTTAAAGACCTTACTACCAAGTGGTGTTAAGAGTGAAAGACGAATATGACTGCAAGCCTAGATAAAATTAGATTGACTCTAAATTTTTCTTAGTTATATATAACTCACCTCACAAAATGAAAATAGTGATGTGAAATCTTTTACAAAACTTGAATATGCTGTATGTAATATATTTGGTGGATTTTAATACTAACCGCATGATTTGAAAATGAATAGAATAGATGTGTATAAAATGTATTATAATAGGTTAGTACAAGTTTTAAAATTAAAAATGGCAATATATGTTTCCCTTGGTTATAACTTACTGTTTTATAATCAGGGATGATATAACATATATTTATAATATTTAATAATTATTATTGTAAATTGTTTTAATCCAGATAGGGTTATATTAAGTAAAAGTTTTTTCTTCAATAGTTCTCATACTAAAGTATTATGGGTAAAATGATATAGTGGCTAGAATTTGTTTTAAACTAACAGAAAGGGAAACAAGGATAATTTGGTGCGTATAGATAATAGATAAAACAAAATTGGCCAGTTGTTTAAATTTGTTGAGGCTGGGTGAAGGGTATATGAATTTAACTAGATTACTCTCTGCTACTTGTGTTTTTCAAAATGTTCATAATAAAAATTTGAAATAATAGATATAATTAACATTTGACTTCTGGATGATTTTTTGGCAGTGCTTTCTGGGAACCTGTTTCTCATCTCAAATAATACACATTTATAAGAGCTAGTTAAAGCTTGCCCACTATGAAGTTAAATAGGGCTGATCAAAATTTATAAAATGGAAAAGTCTTGAATAAGGTAGAGATGTCTGAAATATGCCAGCACCTTGAGGATGTGACTCATTGGTGAGATAGGGAAAATCAGCAGTACTAGCAAAAGGAAGAAGGAAGCTGATGAGGAAAGTGCAACAGCAATGAGGACTGGAGCAAGATGGATAAGCAGCAGTAATGCTAGTAGTAATGAGTTATATCGATGTGTGCAAAGGAAATCTGTCAGTCTTCCACAACATAAGTGAAAATGAAGACAGATATATAATAAGAAACACATAGTAGAGTTATGGTTTAAACAAATCAGAATAGAATTTTTGAAAAGCAAGATATTTCAAAACCCAGATGACAAAAGAAATGCATAGAATCTTGCATCTAGTATCCCAACGTCGCAAATTAATGCTTTGGTGAGATGAAATTAATACCTCAAAAGAGATTCTCATTTAGCTGTTTGTTTAGGAACATCTTTAGGAACAAACACTACATGCTTAGTGTAACTGTTTTGTACATTTCAAAATAATGTTCTTCACATTGTAAATGTAGTGATATATTTTGCACTAGAAAAAAATATAGCACCTTAATATCATAAGTTAAATCTCATACACCTAAAAAATGATGAAACCAGGACTTATATCCAATCACTTATTTCAGTGTACTGACTCTTACTCATGACCGTTTAGTTGATTAGAGATTCTGAAAAAGTCTTCTGAAATTATGTGCTTAAAAAGAGAACTCTTGAATAAGAACATATTAGTTCAAATTATGGGAAGGATTGGTCCTCCTGCCATAAAAAAGCAAAACTTGGCCGGGCGCTCATGCCTGTAATCCCAGCACTTTGGGAGGTCAAGGGGGGCGGATCACTAGGTCAGGAGATCGAGACCATCCTGGCTAACAAGGTGAAACCCCGTCTCTGCTAAAAATACAAAAAATTAGCTGGGCATGGTGGTGGGCGCCTGTAGTCCCAGCTACTCGGGAGGCTGAGGCAGGAGAATGGCGTGAACCCAGGAGGCGGAGCTTGCAGTGAGCCGAGATTGTGCCACTGCACTCCGGCCTGGGCAAGACAGTGAGACTCCATCTCAAAAAAAAAAGAAAAAAAAAAAAAAAAGCAAAACTGGACCATAAAACAAATCTCAACATATTTAAAAAGACTGAAATAATGTAAAATATGCTAGAAATCAATGATATTAAAATACCTACAAAATTTTCAATTATTTTGAAATTAAACATCAGAATTTTAAATAACACATGAATCAATAAGGCAAACGGGAGAATTTTAAATATATACACACATGCCCATTTAATTTTAATTACACCATTTATTTTGTAAAGTTGTAGATTCACATGTAGTTTTTACAAATAATACAGGTGAGCCTTGTTTAGACTTCAGTCAGTTTCCCCCAGTTGTAACATCTTGAAAAACTATAGTGTAATATCATAACTAGGATATTAACAATGTTAGAATGCACAACTTACTCAACTCTCTCCAGTTTTACTTTTAATCATTTATGTGTTTATGCAAATTTATCTCATGTGTAGGTTCATATATTCACCATGAAATCAAATTACAAAACACTATTGTCACCACAGGGATGTCTTGCATTGCCCTTTTATAATCATATCCACTTCTCTTTTGCTTTCCCCTCCTCCTTCTTACAACTGGGAAACCTCTAGTTCATAGTTCTCCATTTCTATATATATTTTTCCATTTCAAAAATATTATATAAATAAAATAATATAATATGCAGCCTTTTTAAGTTAGCTTTTTCCCACTTAATTATATTTACTAATTCAAGCATATTTGGCTGTTTCTGTTTTTTTTTACTATTATGAAAAAAGCTATGGATATTTGTGCACAGATTTTTTTGTGAACCTAAATTATCATTTTTCTGGGATTAATGGCCAAGTGTGTAATTATTGGGTAGTATTGTCATTGCACGTTTGGTGTTTTTAAGGAACTGCCAATTATTTTTTCCGTAATGGCTGTACTAATTTATTAATGTAACCTCTGCTGCTCTTTGTAAATTAGTGTTTGGCTAGTATATGACTTTCCACCCTTTAATTTTAACCAACCCATGTAATTGAATTTGAAGTCAGTTCCTTATAGACAGTAAATGGATACATCATCTTCTTTTTTTTTTTTTTTTGTTAATCCACTCTGTCAATCTCTGTCATTTGGTATATTCAGGTCATTTATACTTAAGGCAATTAGTGATATGTTAGAACTTGATTTTGTTACTTTATATTATTTGTTTTCTCTGTTTCTTATTCCTTTTTTTTTCTTTTCTTTTCTTTTTTTTTTTTTTTTTTTTTTTTTTTTTGCAATTGTGTAGATTACCTAGACATTTTCCTGGATCCTTTCTTGATTTTGTTATATTATATTTGAATGTGATTGCTCTGGGTATTGCAATGTATATATGTGAATTATCAGAGTCTGTTGGTATCAGCATTTTATTTGTTCAAGTGGAGTGGGAAAAGCTTACTTCCCTTTAGATTTCTTTACGTTTCCCACTTTTAAATATCATTACCTTGAGTATCAGATGGTATTGTAATTTGTTTACATATGATTAGATTTTGATTAGGTATGATTTATAAAACTCATATGATAAATTTTATTTTATATATTAATATTTCTTCACTTTTCATTGATCTGTCTTGTTCTCGAATTTCCTTATTTTATCATTTCTTTTTTAAAAATAATTTTCTTTAGCCAATCGTTAAGAGTAAGTCTTATGGCAACAAATTATTTTAGTTGTCTTGTATCTAATATATTTTCCCTTTTATTCCTACTGTTTGCCATTTAGATAATTCAAAATTAATAGATTTTTTGTTTCCTAGAAGTAATGTGTCATTTCTCTCAATGATTTCAAGACTTTTTTCTTTGTTTTTAGTTTTCAGAAGTTTAATTATGATATTATATTGATGTAAATGTATTTGAGGTTCACACAGCTTCTTGACTCTGTTGCTATATGTCTTCTGCCAGATTTTGGAAGTTTTCAGCCATTATTACTCCAAATACTTTTCTAGCTCATCTTTTTTCTCCACTCCTCCGGAACTCTGATAATATAATTGGGGGTCCTTTGTCATTGTTCCACAGGTCCCTGAGGCTGTGTTCATTTTTATCAGCCTATTTTGTGTTGGCAGTATTTTCTTATTGCTGTAGTAACAAATCCCCAAAATTTAGTAGAACAAAACAACACAGTTTTATTCTCTTACATTTCTAGAGGTCAAATATCACTCGGCTAACATCAAGGTTTTGGCAGGATTGAGTTTCTTCTGGAAGCTCTAGGAAGGAATACTTTTTCTCCTGTATTCCAGCTTCATTGTCCATTTTCAAAGCAAAAATCACATTTATATGACATCTGTTTACACCATCATATCTCCTCTGATCCTGAATCTCTTGCCTCCTTTTTTTCCTTTATAAGGACCTTTGTGATTATATTGAGTACACCCAGATAATCTAGTATAATCTTTCCATTTTAAGATCCATAATTTGATCACTTGTGCAAAGTCACTTTTGTAATGTAAATTTACATATTCACAGATTCCAAAGATTGGGACATGAATGAGGGACCATTATTCTATTAATGTCCACCCACTGGCTGCTAAATGTTTTTATTTGTCCCACATGCAAAATGCTTTCACACAACCCAATTCCAACATTCCTGAAAGTTTTGACCCATTACAGCATCAAAGTCCAAAGATCTCATGTAAATATGATCAGTTCAAAATTCCCAAATCTCATAATCTAAATCAATTATAAATAAGATTCAGTATAATGCATCATGAGACATAATTTTTTTTCTATCTGTAAATTTTTGAAACTAGAAAAAATGTTGGTGTTTTCTCCCAAAATACAGTTGTGAGCCAGGCACAGGATACCAGTTATGGGAATTTCCATTTCAAAAGAAGAAAATGGAAGAAAAAAAAATCACCAATATCCAGCAATTTTGAAATCCAAAGTGGCAAATTCCATTAAGCCTTGGAGGTAATCTTCCGTAGCTTCCAGCTTCATTTTCGGTCTCCTTTCTTTCTTTTCTTTTCTTTTCTTTTTTTTTTTTTTTTGAGATGAAGTTTCGCTCTTGTTGCCCAGGCTGGAGTGCAATGGCACAATCTCGGCTCACAGCAACCTCCACCTCCCGGGTTCAAGCCACACTCCTGCCTCAACCTCCCAAGTAACTGGGATTACAGGCATGTACCACCACGCCCAGATAATTTTTGTATTTTTATTAGAGACAAGGTTTCTCCATGTTGGTCAGGCTGGTCTCAAACTCCCGACCTTAGGTGATCTGCCTGCCTCGGCCTCCCAAAGTGTTGGGATTACAGGCATGAGCCACTGTGCCCGGCCTGTCTTCTTTCTTTTTAATCAGCACATTTGCGGCTGATTAGTTTTATCAGGCCGTTTCCTGCCTATATTATTTGGTCCTTTTTTTTTTTTTTTTTTTGTCTCTTTCAGTCCAAGCTGACAGTGTTTCTGCTTGTATCGTAACTCAAAGCGCTTGTGGATCTCTCATGCATGTCACAGAGATTCAGCCCATTAGAGAAGACAGTGGGCCTACACAGATCTTTCCTGTATAATCCCATCTTTATCCTGGCCTCTGCTGAGATTGCTGAAAAGACTCAGAAGTCACATGCCTAATCTAGTACCTTGATTTTCCCAAGGTACTAGAAAGAGCTTTAAAAAAAAAAAAAAAAGGGTTGGGGAGGGACAGCCACACCCTTTGCTTTTTCTCCAGAGCATGTTTTTAGTGAATCTCCCAATTTTAGCATCTTTTGCTCCCTAGATAGGCTGAAAATTTCCCAAATAATGAAATACTTGATCCTTTTTTCTTAAGGTTTTCTTTCTCAATTTATCTTCTTTGTTTTCTGTTTTGCCATAGCAGCAAGAAGACAGCAGGCCAAGGCTTCAATACTTTGCTTGGAAGCTTCCTGAGCTAAATATTCAAGTTGGTTGTTAAATATATTTTGCTTTCCAAATACCTAAAGGGCACAGTGCAGCTAAACTTTCCACTACTGTACATCAAAGACCTCCTTTCCTTGAGTTTCCAGTAACATGTTTCTTATTTCATTCTGAACCCTCATTGGTAGTACCTTTAACAACCATATTTCTACCACAATCTGTTCCTGATGATTTTGGTATTTCCCACGATGACACATGTTTTCTCTTTCCCACTCCCCCTCCCCTCCTTCTGAGTTCTTTCAAGTAAAGTAATTAATAACCATTTATCTCTACTGATAGTTTGATTAAGGCAATCTAGGCTTTTTCTATTAGGCTTCTCAAAATCATTTTTGGCTCTATCCATAATGACTTCCACATTTTAGATACATATTAGAGCAGCATCTTAATTTCAAACTCCAAAATCTCTGTTGGTTTTTCAGTACTGGTATACCAAATCACTACTCTGAGGAGACATTATTCTGACTACTACAAACTTTAGAGTACAATGATGCAAACGTGTTACCTTACATAATTCTCGCTGGACTAAAATCAAGATGTTGGTAGAATTGTACACTTTCTGGAGAATGTAGAAGAGAATTCATTTACTTCTAGAGGCCAACTCTATTTCTTGGCTTGCAGCTCCATCATTTATCTTCAAAGTCAGCAATCACACCACTATGATATCTATTCCTATTGTCACTTTTTCTTGTTTATCTCAGACTCTCTTAACTGTCTGTTATGAGGACTCTTGTGACATAGGGCACACCTTAGATAATCTAAAATAATCCCTCCATCTCAACTCTTTAACTTAATCACATCTGCAAAATTTATTTTCCCTGTAAGGTAAAATATTCACAAATTCCAGGTATTAAAACGTGGATATCCTTTGGGGACCATTAGTCTGTCTATCACACTTATGTGCTGCTTAATATAGGTACCTCCTTAAACCCATTCCCATTCTGCCTACCACATCATTGCTCGGAGTGGGTAACATTATTGACCCATCCTCACATTCATTGATTTTATCCTCTGTCATATCTGCTAACTTCTCATGTTAGAACAGGGTTCAGAAAATGCTGATTATAGATTACCTCCTTCTTTAGAGTGGGGAGACATATTACACTCTGTTGCTGTGTTTTTCCTTCAGCCCTGAAGTCCCAATCCAGTTTGCCTCCCTCTTTTCACCTTTCATAGTTCCTTTTTGTCTGCCTATTCCATATGTTTAGGATATATAGCTGTACTTAACAGGAAGGGAGAAATGAGTCTAGTGGGTCTATGGCATCAGCTATGGTTTGAATATCTGTACCCTCCGAAATTAATGTTGTGCTCTATTACCTGTCAGAAATGTATATTTGTTTTTGGGCTTTCAGAATTTCTGGTGTTGGACATATATTAAATGATAACTTTGTGATAAAAGCTACTTTTGTGCTTAGCATGGAATCTCATTGCAGGTATAATTACATTTTTGTAGTAAAAGTATAATCTTCAATATAAACATTCACACATGTACTCTATTCTTGCTTAAATTTTAAATTAAATTATATTTAAACCTACCTAGTTTTAACCTGAATGACAGTAAAAACTAAGCAAAAGGAATTTATCTGGATGTCAGGGGACAAAATTTTTCTAAGTAAACAAATTTATAAAGTACGTACATTGCTAGGACATTTTCAAAACAAAACCCCAAAAAGTTATGATTTATGTGCTGCAAGGAAGTTAGAAAAATTAAACTCAGAAACTTGTAAATAAAAAATAACTCCTAATATTAAACTCTAGGTAAGAGACTTTTAGAAAAATAAACATTAAATTTTCCATATTTATTATTCCTAGCATCTCTTGCCCATTGTTTAAACTTTAAAAGTGTTCCTTTAATCTACTTAAACAATTAATTTAAGGAAGCAGTAAAGCAAGTTAAGCACAAAATGTTTTCTTTACTTACAAATCCATTGATTATTCTTAACTTTTCCTTATACCACGAAAAGCTCATTCTTTTCTCTCATATTTGTTCTCATTTATTTGCTATAATTTCTTGAGTCTGCTTTTTATATTCTTACACTCATTTAACTGATATGATTAACACCTATCACAATATAATAGCCTTGCTCATATACTGTAATTCATATTCCATCTTTTAAAACATCTTTCATCTTAACTAGATTTTAAAATCCTCAGGGCAGGAGATCTATCTTATATTTGCCTCATGTCTTTTAAATGTGCATTCTACTTTATCTGACTCCACAATTATCAATTTCTAATTGATGAATTGTTCAGTGCAGGAAAAATCTAGCTCTGGAGCCACAAACTTCCCTCATGGATCTCTCACCACATCCATACTTAGCTACTTTATTTCTATGATTCACTCTCTATCACTGTTACATTTATGGACCACTTGAAAAATATTGTACTGTCATGTGTGCTGCGCCTTCTACTGGTTGTATTTTACTATTAATTAGTCAACATGATGATACTACCGTATTTGTTTGATTCGGAGCTTAGTTATCAGTATTTTTTATTGAAAAGTTCACAGAATTATAGAATATAATTGCTTAAAAATAATCCACTTAATGTCTCTAATAAGACTAGATGAGCAAAATTGTCACAAGTTTCAAACATAGTAGGCATAAAAACGTTGATTGTTTCAAACTATAGAACATATCTGAAAAGTTATAATATTATAAACTGAAGCTAAATTGAAAGCGACGGCGGTTCACATTAAAATAGGTAAACTCATTCAGAGATAAATCTGAGAGAAAGAGGTGACAAATTATGATCTCTGTTTGAAAATATAGTATCGGTCAGGATCCTGGTATAAAATAAATGGTACACTCAAATCTAGATAATTTGAAAATGTACTTACAAAGAAATAATTTACAGAAGTGTTTCTCACAAATGAGAGATCCTGAAGGTTAAGCTTTATTAGCTTTTAGGTAATTTTAGGCCTAAAAAGAATTCCATTTGTTAAGAAAGATTGCTATAGTCACATTTAATATATATATGTATTAATATAATATAATTATATATCTATGTATGCATACATAATATGTTATTATATATTATAATTATGTATTATAATACAGATATAATCTCTATCTAAATAAATACATAATATAAGTATATAATCATAAATTATATAAAATTTTGCTCATATGGACTTCAGGTTCTCTCACTTCCAAGGACCACTTCTGTAAATTATATGTATCTGTATATATTCCATTATATATAATATAATATATATTATGTGTGTACATACACACATTATTATATTAATAAATATATTAAATGTGACTATAAGAATTCTTAACACATAGAATTCTTTTTATAATATATGATATATGATATATTATATGTATTATATACATAATATATTATATATCATATATTATACATAATATTACATATAATATATATTATATACAATATATGTGTGTTTAAAATAACTGTATAATTATTTTATATGATATATTATATTATATATTATATATGTGTGTTTAAAATAATTGTATATTAAATAATTGTATAATTGTTTAATATAATTGTATAAGTGTGTATTTATTTTAAACATATATAATATAATATATTATCTATATTATATATAATATAGATAAAATATTATATATAATATATAATATCATAGAAATAAAGTAGTTAGGTGTGAATGTGGTGACAGATCCATGAGGGAAGTTTGTGGCTCCAGAGCTAGATTATATTATATATTAAATAATATCATATATATTATATTATACATTAAATAATACATATATATTATATTATATGTTAGATATTTGATATCTAATTAGATATTAGATATTAGATATATTAGATATTAGATATTATATAGATATTATATAATAATAGATATTAGATATTATATAATTTATAATATATATGTGTTTAAAATAAATATACAATTATATTGTGTAAAATTTTATGTCTTTGTGTGTGCATATATATAATTTTTAAAAATAAATATACAAATAGAGTCTAAATTATAAGTTGAAACTTATATGTATATATGGATACTTGTATACCCTCGAGTGAAATTTAGTCACATGCCCAACAATGTCCCAAGGAATGGAAGATCTTTCTTCCCGGTCATGATTGGTGTATTACAGTGAGAGTAATAAGGAGGAAAGGGCACTGTTGATGTTAAGGTAGACGATGTCTGCCAGAACAGCAATTCTTGATTCTCAGAAATTAATTTCTTGTATTCATTCCTGCAAACATTTATTAAACTATTACTATGGGTCAGGTACTGTTCACATACTTTTTATTGATGGCACCAGGATTTGGACCTGTTATGTTATTTATTATGTTATGTTATTCTTAATCAAATTGTAAATATTTAGTTCTACTATCCTTTCAAAATCAATATAATACTTCTGATATTTATACATTTAAGTTAAAATTAAGGTTTTGTTTGTTATAAAAACTCACTGTGGTGTTATTATTTTTAACAATGACCACTAAAGGCAGACATGGAAAATTAAGAATTTATTGTCATTAGTTTGGGTAAAATTTATTGAAGCTGTTGTGAAAGTGGAAAAAATATCTAAATCATACTTCCAAAATAGAAATGACAGAATCTGAGCATTGATTGCAGTTAGATCATTGCCATCTTTCTCTCCTTAGCGATCTATCTGCAATCAATGCTCAGATTCTGCCATTTCTATGGTCCTCAGCAGGGAGCTCCTCTCTGCTCATTGTTTTGTTCATTCTCTGTATTCTGACAGCTACACGGGAAACTCTGGGGCTCAGATATCGCTCTTCTTTCCTAATCTTCTCGCCTGTCTACCTATATCTCTGTTCAAACACATGATAAAATCTTAAACCGATGTATCTGAGCATTATAAAGCATCTACAGAGCTTACTGTCCACATAAGTATGGTTTTACTATTATGCTATGTTCATCAATATAACTTTACTTTTCGAGAAAATTCTTGACCAGAAAGAGAAATGTTGCAAATAATGTTAATGTTTTACTCCAGGAAAATTCTGGAAGACCTGTCAACTTCCCTATGAAAAGCTAGAAAGACAGTTTATACGTCAAGATTCTTTGACTTTTTGCTTTCATATCCTCAACTTGCTGTGTCCCCCAGTCGTTAACTATTATGATTCTCACCCACTCCTAAGCATGCCCTGAACCTCCTCCACTGCATCCCTGAACTGAAAGACTCACCTTAATCCAAACTCTAAAATCTCATAAATATGCCAAGTTTGCTGTTTCTGCTCTAAGATGGTACTAAGACTGTGGTAGTATTGTTCTCCTTTACTGCAGTAACCAATAAACTCACCTGTCTCATAAACATGTTTTTGGTGATATTTTAATAATCCAGTATTGAACATATCTAAAAGCAAGTATTTCTCCTTTGAACAGTTTCTGCTCCTCTTTGCTCTCACAATTCTATGAATTAAATATTTCCCTTTAATTTCATAGTAACTGGCTTTTCTCAGGGTTTGAAGAACCAGTGCACTAATTATGTTCATAATGAAAATAAAACCAGATCGCTTTTTAAGTTCATCTTCTTAAAGCTACTGCACTAAAACTGTACCTTTCATAAATAATTTAAATATTATTCTTTTCTTCTCTCAAACTGGTATGCCATAACTTTCTACTTGTCTTCTATTTATTTATAATATTGATATCAGCATTCGCTAAGAACAGACAGAAGAGGAACGTTTCCACCTGGCCACATGATTGGCACGAAGGCACATGGTCCAAGACAGGTAATTTAGGGTTCTCTCTTAAGCTTTCTCTGTCAAGTTATGGATTTTTTATTTTTTATTTTTTCAGTTGCTACTAACCAGGGATCATGCAAGTCAATGTGTATACTCTCCTCCATGTAGACAAGGGTTGGCTAACTTTTCTGTAAAGAGCTAAATAGCACACTTTTTGGGATTTGTGGGCCATTTGATTTCTGTCTTTATTACCCAGGTCTGCAATTGTAGCATGAAAGTCATAGACAAAATGTAAATGAAGTGGTAGTGTTCTATTAAAACTTTATTTACAAAAACAGATGGTAAGTTTTTGACAAGCAATTTGTAGTTTGTAAACTCCTGATTTAGAATCCACATGATAAACAGACAGGTCATGACTGCGTTATTTGATCACCAGAATTCATTTCTATTTATTTGCATTTGATACAACTTGATGTTATCACAGCCAAGAACAGAGAGATGCAGACTCTGATAATATGGTTTGAGATCTGTGTTAGTTACCTACTGCTGCATAAGAAATTACTCTAAAAAGTAGCAGCTTGAAGCAATACACAGTTATTACCTCTTAGTTTCTGTTTGTCAGGAATCCAGAAGTGGCTTAGCTTGTGTTTTAGTCTCAGGGTCTCTCATGAGGCTCAAATGGGGTTGGAGGATCTGCTTCCAAACTCACTACTTGTTTGTTGACAGGTTTCAATTCCATGTGGTCGGTTGACTGGAGACCTCACATTTTTTCCTATGGCATTTCCATGACATGGTATCTGCTTTCCTTTGGACAAATGACAGAGACCCAGTGAGCAAGAGAGTGCCTAAGACAAAACCACAGACTTCTGATAACATAATTCTGAAAATAACATCACTTCTGCTATACACTGTTGGTCACACATGCCAACCCTGGTACAGTGTGGGAGGGGACTACACAGAAGTGTGAATTCTAAGAGCCAAGGATCACTGGGCGTTACCTTGGAAACTGACTACTGCAAGGCCCTAGATGCATCCATCTTTAAATATGCCTGAATATTTCCCTGCATTTAAAAGTTAAAATAACAAGTATCTTTCTGGTTTAAGTTTGTTTGTCCCCTATAGTGATCAAGGTGTGTTTGTTTGTTTGTTTTTCCTTATTCTATAAACCTAAAAAACACAAAATCCGATTATGGTGGTTTGAAGAGAAGAGGGTGATCAAGGGAGGGAACTCAGGAGTGTGTATTAGTCTCCATAAGTAGTCAAATGGAGTGGAGGGCATCAAGAAATAAGATTTGTGCAGCTCAAGAAAGGAATGAAGTTAAGCTGAGTTCCTGCCAGCAAAGAGGACAAATAAAGGTGTTTCATATTGATCTATCTCTGATCAGAGATGAGACACTGGACATAGAATTAAAGCAGACTCTATGTCAGGTTAAGTTTATTTTCCCATGTAGGTTTAAAGAGCAGAAAATAGGAATCAGAAGTACAGTTGAGACAAATTGTACAAGATAATAAGACTTCAATGGGATCCAATACAAGCACTGAAACTACTCAAGAATATCTGTTATTGGAAAGTTCAAGTATGAAAAATGCATGTTTATTATAATAATATAAAACACATTTGCTATTTAATAGCTACAGCTACACAGTGGTTGAGACTTTCTGAGAAAATGTGAATAAATCACACCAACCAAGCCCAGAATAAAATACAGTTATAATATAAGAATATCATTAGGATTTGTCTTATGGCAATAAATCATTTTAATAAAACTGCTGTTAACAATGCACACTGAATAGCTTAAGTTTTTTTCCCCTCTAGGAGTTCTTGAAATAAACTTCTTGCACAAACTACATTAAAAAGTATTCTAAAAGACTGAGATGTATGATTTTTTTTTTAAATATGGAGTCTCACTCTGTCACCCAGGCCGGAGTGCAGTGGTGTGATCTCAGCTCACTGCAACCTCCACATCCCACATTCCAGCAATTCTCCTGCCTCAGCCTCCCAAGTAGTTCGGATTACAGGCACCCACCATCATGCACAGCTAATTTTTGTATTTTTAGTGGAGAAGGGCTTTCCTCACGTTGGCCAGGCTGGTACTCAACTCCTGACCTCAAGTGATCCACCGGCCTCGGCCTCGCAAAGTGCTGGGATTACAGGCATAAGCCACTGCTCCTGGACCTATAGGATTTTTTTAATACTAGGAGGTAAATAATTTTAAGTATATACACATGGGTAAAATGAAGAGTGCTACTAAAAAAATTAATACAAATATAAATACTTAGATATTTTCTACTAGTTTTACTAAATATTACAAAACAAAGAATAGATTTATAAACAGTCAAAGCAAATACAAGATGCTTCTAAATTCTGTAGAATTCTTTTATATGCACTGTCTACTCAGATAAACATTAACAACATTGACTAAGGTGAAAATGGCAAACTTACCCAATAACAATAATGTAATAATAAAGGAAAATATAATATCTAATTTACTAAATAATATACCATTTTAGTTGATCACAAGACAAAATTTTTAATACCAGCAAAGTAAAATATTCATGTAATGGTCCCTCATTACAATCATTTTACATTGTATTTGTCTAATGAAAAACTTCTTGTTCATACCAGAGTTATCTTATTGTTAATAAATGTTCTTAACTCAAATTACAGCTAAAATTGCCTTATAGGAAAAGGCATTTTAAACCAACATAGCGGTGAACATACTTTATTACTGAAATATACACATTTTTAGTGCCACCTATTGGTAGAAAAAAGAGATTTACATAGAATTATTTCATGTACATATTTGTAGAAATAGGTGATGTATAGTGAAAAAAAGCACCTTAAAAATATGAACTATTTTGAAATGGTTTTAAAATTTGCAATGGATTTGCTTATTGACCTATAAATATGATAAATTGCCCACTATTTAAGGAGGTTAATAATTAAAGAAAATAATTTCTGCATATGCTATTTTTTAAAACTATTTTAATTTTTGTGGTTTTCACATCTTTGCATTAAGAAGTTGAATATAAAATTCAGAGGTAGATTTGAATAGCTGGTTTTAATTTGTTTGGAAAAACATGTAACTACTGCCTATTGTCACATCCATGCATTGGTTAAATAACATAAATATTGTACTTCCTTGTTAAAATATCATATTTACATTGAATTTAGAAATACTTAAGCATAATCTTTGTCTGTCTTTGGAGATCCGATAACAACTTCCTTGAGAGTTTGAACGTTTGTTGACTGTTTATGATATATATTAGCAAAATATCATTACCATGCTATTAAATAGAGTACAATTATATATTATTAGGTACATTTTATCTGCTATTCATTCCTATTTTAAAAAATTGAAAAAGCATCCAAATAATGCATAAAATAAAATCTCAAATAAAATGCAATATGCCATTGGTAGTAACAATTGGCAGGGAGGATTAACTTCTTTTTTTTTCTATTTTTTCTTTTTTAATAATTTTTCAAGGATCATATGCTATTTTAAAAATCAAGATAAAATATTATTGAAACTAACTAGTGAATCTGTAGTAGTCCAATAAAAATTGACACAATGTCCAATTAATAACGAAAAAGTTGTGTCTTTCCAATTAACCAATAATATAAAAATAATTGGGTTTTTATTACTGTTGATTTTTAAAAAGTAGTATAGAATCATAGAGTTCAAATTTCCAATGATCCAGTGATTTATAACAAGTAAAAGCAATTAACAAGAGGGTTTTAATTACCAGAAAGTCTAATTTGTACCATACCTCTATCTGTATTAGAAATAATTTTGATTATATGACAAAGATCTTCTATAGGGTGTGCAGACACTAGGCAATTTTTTTTTTTTTTTTTTTTTTTTTTTTAGACAGAGTCTCACTCTGTCACTCAGGCTGGAGTTCAATGCCACGATCATGGCTCACTGCATAGGCAACAATTTTTGTGGAGCTCTTTTTATATAAACAATTTGGTGGACGGGGCAGTGGCTCAGGGGACAGTGGCTCATGCTTGTAATCCCAGCACTTTGGGAGGCCAAGGCGAGTGCATCAGTTGAGGTCAGGAGTTCAAGACCAGCCTGGCCAACAATAGTGAAACCTCCTCTCTACTAAAAACACACAAAAAAATTAGCCAGGTGTGGTGGTGCACGCCTGTAATTTTAGCTATTCACAAGGCTAAGGTGGGAGAATCGCTTGGACCAGGACCCTGGAAGCAGAGCTTGCAGTGAGCGGAGATCACACCACTGCACTCCAACCTGGGTAATAGAGTGAGAGTCTATCTCAAAACAAAAACGAAAACAGAAACAATTTGGTTTAAAATATTTTATAATTTTATGACCCATGTCAATGAAGATTAAAAAAATTGAGGGTGGAGAGAAGTACTTATGTATTTGTTTATTTTCCAGTGAATACACATAAACATTCTTAATAATGTCCAGTCCAGTCACCATTGCTTTCTGTTCTTGTCCAGGAGCCATCTTTTCACATTCTTTATTTTCAAATGCAATCTGCCTAGCTAATTTCATATCTTTAACCCAAAGGAAAAATATAACAATACTACTATTACAATGCCATGGCCTGTCAGAATCTATTTGTATTAAAACATTTAGGTCTTCTTGCTTCTGTGGTTTCCTAATGTCATTTATGTAATGCAGATTACATCCTTATTCATGGCACAGCATCATCCATTATGACACCCACGACTATTGGCATCAAATGGCTCTCAAAAGTTGTTACTATGGTTCATTGACAATAACAACAAATCCAATTCTTACCTAGATTATTCAGGGAAAGATAAATAATAATTCATTTCATGACTATGTTAAATTTAGTTTTAACATAATACTGTAAACGCAAAATAACACATTGTTCAGCCATATCTTCTCTAGAACTCTTTAGGCCACAATTACTACATTCCTAGGTTGTGATCAGATAATGCTGGCTGAACCCCTGTTTTCCACGCCACATTACCCAAGCAGGCATCCTTTACCTTGTTCACAACACCTCCTTCCCCTGCTGGCATCCAAAGCCATCACCCCAACCCTTCCATGGGCTGGGTACCAAGTGTCAGCTAGTTTTTGGGAATGGCTCAACCTGTATTTCTTTTGTCAATATTTTTATCGTGGTAAAATACACATAATATAAAATTTACCATCTTAACCCTTTTTAAGTGTAGAATTGTGTGGTATTAACATTCATAGTACTGTGTAACCATCACCACTATCCATCTCCAGAAATCATTTTATCTTTCAAAACTGAGACTCTGTACACATTAAACAAATCTCCCCATTCCTACCTTCCTCCAGTCCCTGGTAACTACTATTCTACCCTTAGCCTCTATGACTTGGACTATTCTAAGTATGTATCTCATGGAAGTGGAATCATAAGGGTTGACCTTTTTGTAATGACTTATTTCATTTAGCAGAACGCCCTCAAGTTTCAACCATGTTGTAGCATGTGTCAAAATTTGCTTCTATTTAATGGCTGGATAATATTCCATTGTCTCTGTATATAGTACACTCTATTTATTCATTCATCTACTGATGAACACTTGGGTTTTTCTCACAATTTAACTATTTTGAATAATGCTGTTATGAAAATGAGTGTGCAAATGTCTCTTGGAGACCTAGATTTTAATTATTTCGGGTATGTACCCAACAGTGGAATTGCTGGATCATATGGTAATTTTTTTAGATGTTTTGAGCAACCACTATAATGTTTTCCACAGTGACTACCATTTCACATTCCCACAACCAATGCACAAGAGTATGAAGTACTCGATATTATCACCAACACTTTTCTGTTATTTTAATGGTAGCCATACTAATGTTTATGATGTATTATGTCACTGTAGTTTTGATTTGCATTTCCCTAATTATTAGTGATGTTGAGCATCACTTTTTGAGATGGAGTTTAGCTCTTGTTGACCAGGGTGGAGTGCAGTGGTGCGATCTGGGCTCACTGCAACCTCCGCCTCCTGGGTTCAAGCGATTTTCCTGCCTCAGCCTCCTGAGCAGCTGGGATTACAGACATGTGACACCATGCCTGATTAATTTTGTATTTTTAGTAGAGATGGGGTTTCTCCATGTTGGTCAGGTTAGTCTCAAACTCCCGACCTCAGGTGATCCTCCCGCCTCGGCCTCCCAAAGTGCTGGAATTACAGGTGTGAGCCACCGTGCCTGGCCAAGCATCACTTTTAATAGTCCTTTGTCTATTATTGAATCAGGTTGTTTGAGGTTGTTTGCTTTTTGTTAAGTTTTCAGGAGTTATTAATATATTCTGGCTATTAATCTCTTATCAGATATATGATTTCCAAATATTTTTCATTCTCTAGGTAGCTTTTTTGTTCTGCTCTTTGTGGTTTTTAACACACAAAATTTTTAAATTTTCATGAAGTCATATTTTTCTAGCTTCTCTTTTGTTGCCAAATTTTGTTTGCCAAAAGGAAAACAAAATTTAGTGTTGTATCCAGGAAATCATTGACAAATTCAACCTTTGAAGCTTTTGCCCTGTTTTTTCCAAGAGTTTTATATTTTTAGCTCTTAAGTGTAAGTCTTTGATCCATTTTGAGTTAATTTTTATATATGGTGTTATATATGGTGTCCAGCTTCATTCTTTTGCACGTGGATATCCAGTTTTCACAGCACCTTTTGTTGAATTGACTGGTCATTCCTATTGAATGTTTTTGGCACCCTTGTGACAAGTTATTTGGATACATATGTAAGGGTTTATTTCTGGAATCTCTATTTTATTCCATTGGTCTATACGTCTGTCATTATGTTAGTACCACACTGTTTTGACTACCATATCATTGTTTTGTTGTGTTTTGAAATCAGGAAGTATAAGTTCTCCAGCTTTGTTTCTCAAAATTGTTTTGGTTATTCAACATCTCCTGGGATTTCAAATAAATTTTAAGATTTTATTTTAATTTCTGCAAAAATCATTATTGGGATTTTTATAGGGATTGCATTAAATTTGTAGATTGTTTTGGGTAGTATTGACAACTTAATATTAACTCTTCCAATCCATAGTTATGGGATACACTTCCATTTATTTTTGGGGGGCAGTATTGACATCTTAATAATATTAACTCTTCCAATCCATTGTTATGTGATACACTTCCATTTATTTATGGCTCCAATTTCTTTTAGCAACATGTTCAAGTTTTCATTGTACAAGTCTTGTTTAAGTTAATTGCTAAACATTGTTCTTTTTGATTCCCTTGGATGCAAAATTCTTTTCCTAATTTTCTTTCCAGCTTATTTATTGTTTATTGCCAGTGTATAGTATTGCAACTGATTTTTGCATGTGTTGACTTTGTATCCCGCTACTTTGCTGAATTTATTTATTAGTTGTAAAAGTTTTTCTGTGGATTCTTTATGGATTTCTGCATATAAGATCATATCATCTGCAAACACGGATAATTTTATTTCTTCTTTTCTAGTTAAATGTCCTTTACTTTATTCCTGATCTTATAAGAAAAGCTTTCGGTTGTCTCCCATGGAATATGACATTTACGGTGTTTTTTATTATACATAACTTTTTTTTATATTTAGGCAGCTTTGTTATATTCCAACTTTGTTTACTGTTTTTATCATGAAAGGGTGTTGTATTTTGTCAATGCATTTTCTGCATCATTTGAAATGATCATGTCTATTTTTC
Source organism: Homo sapiens (assembly GCF_000001405.40). NCBI lineage: Eukaryota > Metazoa > Chordata > Mammalia > Primates > Hominidae > Homo > Homo sapiens. The sequence goes on along the minus strand of NC_000004.12, from coordinate 43,771,670 downwards.
TACCTCATTCTGTTATTGCAGTATGGTATATTGGTCAATTTTCATACATTGAACCATCTTTGTGTTCCAGGAATAAATCTCACTTGATATGATGTATATATTCCTTTTAATATGCTGCTGATTTGATTTGCTAGTATTTTGTTGAGGATTTTGGCATCAATGTTTATAGGGGACATTGGCCTATATTTTCATTTTTAGTATAGTGTCTTTTTCTGGCTTTGGAATCAGGGTCATGCTGACCTCATAGAAAAATTTAGCAAGTATTTCCTCTTCAATTTCTTGAAAAAAAATTGAAGTAATGGTGTTAGCTCTTTAAATGTTTGGTAGAATTTACCAGTTAAGCCATCAGGCCCAGGACTTTTCTTTATTGGAAGGTTGTTTTTTGATTATTCAATATCCTTATTAGCTATAGGCATATTCAGATTTTTTAATTTCTTTGTGATTTAGTCTTGGTAAGTTTTGCGTTAATAGCAGTTTGCCCATTTCATCTAAGTTGAGTTTGTTGGTATACAATTGTTCTTAGTACTTTTATAATCCTTTCTATTTCTGTAGAATTGGTGGTAGTTTCTGATTTTAGTATTAGGGATCTTCTCTCTTATTTTCTTAGTGTAACTAGGTAATGGCTTTTAAATTTTAACAGTCTTTTCATAGAACCAACTTTTGGTTTCCTTGATATTTTCTATTGATTTTTTCCCTACTTTATTGTTCTATCTTCTAATCTCTATTGTTTCCTCCTTTCTGCTATTTTTCAGCATAGTTTATGTTTTCTGGTTCCTTGAGTTGTAAAGTTAGATGGCTGGCTTGAGCTATCTTTTGTAAAAAAATGCCTGCCACCAATTTCACTGCACTTAGTTGAAAGAGACAGAGAGGTAGCAATGTGGTTATAACATGGGCAAGTGCGAAAGCTCAGGTTCACACACAAAACTAGTCAGATCACTGCAGTAGCCTAGAACCCTGAATGTATTTTGTGTGAAATTTAAGTGAGCCTCACTCAAAACCACCATTTTTGGGTCTTGGATGTTCCTTGTGAACTTTACAAAGGCTAAGCCCAAACCAGCTCTTCTTTCTTACTTGACTTCTAGGTAATTTTTATCTGATTTCTTAAGAAAAGGGGATGCCGTCTCTTCTTGAATTCCATTATCATTTCATAAACACTATCTTACTCCATGTCTTGATAAATCATAGAGAACATAAATATAATTAAAAACTTTGGCTTTCGACTGGGTGCTGTGGCTCATGCCTATAATCCCAGCACTTTGGGAGGCCGAGGCAGGCAGATCACTTGAGGTCAGGAGTTTGAGACCAGCCTGGCCAAAATGGTGAAACCCCATCTCTACTAAAAATACAAAAATTAGCTGATCATGGTAGCAGGTGCCTGTAATCCCAGCTACTCAGGAGGCTGAGGCTGGAGAATAGCTTGAACCCAGGAGGCAGAGGTTGCAGTGAGCCAAGATCTCACCACTGCACTCCAGCCTGGATGACAGAGTGCAACTCTGTCTCAAAACAAACAAACAACAACAACAAAAAACAAAAACAAGAAAAAACTTCGGCTTTCAAAAATAAGTACATAAATGCTGGTTTTAGAAGTCATAAACTGGGCATTGATTCTGTTTTTATTGCTTTTGCAGCAATCCTAATTCTTCTAAAAGGCACGTGGAAGTCTCTGGCTAACAAAGAGTAGGTCATGAACAGAAAAGTAAACAAAAGTAAAAATGAACAGAAAAGTTTATAAAAAGCCAAACAATTAATATTCCAAACAGTAGTAATTAATGTTATTATCTTGCTCTGGCTATTTTACTATTGAATTTCCATAAGATTGTATTCAAATAATCACTCCTCCAGTGATTATTGTTTTTATTTTTGAATTGTGCCTACAGTAACTTGGGATTGCTCCTTCTAAGAAATTTGTGAAATAGATATTATAATGTGCACTTTAACAATAAGGAAGTGTATGACTGCTATTGTTTTAATGTTTGTCCCCTCCAAAATGCATGGTGGGATTTAATTGCAACTGTAACAGCATTAAGAGATAGGAACTTTACAAAGTGATTAGGCCATTGGGATCCATTCTTATGGGAGAGTTTAATATCTTAATAAAAGATATTTTTGGTATGGACTCTCTATGTTGGCCCCCTGATGTCTTTAAATGTGAGAATCCAGCATTTCCCTTGTCTTCGGAGGATACAACATGCAAGGCACCATCTTGGAAGCAGAGAAATCAGGCCATGGGCCTGCTGATCCCTTGACCTTGAACTTCCCAGCCTCCAGTATCATGAGCCAATAAATTTCAGTTTCTTATAAATTGCACAATTTCAGGTATGCCATTATAGCAGCACAAATAAATTGGTACCAGAGAAGTGGAGTGTTGCTATAACACAGCCTCAAAATGGGAAAGTGGCTTTAGAACTGGATAGTGGAATAGAAGCTGAAATAGTTTTGAAGTTAATGCTTGAAAAAGTCTGGTGAGGGTTCAGAAGAAAAGGAATGCTATAGGGAAAGTCTGAAACATTTAAAGATTACTTAAGTGGTTGAAAACAGTGTTGATAGGAATATGGACAGTAAAGGCAATTTTGCGGAGGTCTCAGATGCGAATGAGTAAAAGTCATCCTTGTTATACATTGGCAAACTACTTGACTGAATTGTGTCGATGACTTAGAGCTTTATGGAAGGTAGAATTTAAGATTGATAAACTAGGGTATCTGTCAGAAGAAATATCTTAGCAACAAAGCATTCAGGGTGCTGTGTGGTTTCCTTTAATTGTGTATATTAAAATGTAAGCAGATAGAAATGATTTAAAGACAGCTTATGATTAAAAGGGAAGCAGAACATAAAGATCTGGAAAACTCTCAGCCAGATCATGTAAAGAATAAATAAGTGTGTTCTAGATGGAATACCAAGAGTATGGCCAACCAACTGTTTGATAAAGAGATTACTATGGATACGAGGAAACCAGGTGCTATGCATTAAGACAATGGGAAAAAGACCCCCCAGTGCATTTTGGACATGTCTGAGGCTGCCCTTCCTATCACAGGCTCTGAGCCCTATTGCCTTGAGGGCAGAATTGTTTTGGAGATGGGCCCAGGGTATGCATGGGACCTCAGTGTTGTGGTCCAGTGTAACCTAGGGTCTTTGCTCCCCACATTCTGGCACAGTGCTTCTCAGCCATTATAGCTGTGGGTAGAGTAGGCCCAGGGCAGGCTTGAGCCACTGCTCCAGATGGTGCAAGTGGTGAGCCTTGGTGGCATCCAGTTGGTGCTAATTTTGCAGGTACACACCATGCAGGAGCTATGGAGGTATGGCTCCTCATAGATTTCAAAGGATGTCATAAAGAACCTTGGGGCACAAACAGACTTTTTTCAGGGGATGAAACACTGCAGAGATTCCCCACTAGGATAATGCCGAAGGGAGAAATGGGATCAGGGCCACCTCAAGACTCTGGAACTGTAGACGTACCAGCATGCCATGCCAGCCTGGAGAAGATGAAGGCACCTGACTCCAAACCACGAGAGCTGCTTTTTGGGCTAAGCCCAGCAAAGTCATAGGGGTTGGGTTTCCTGAGGACTTAGGGGGGTCCAGCTCACACCCCAGTGTGTCTGGAAGATGGCGTATAAAGTCAAAGATTATTCCCAAGCCTTATGATTTCATGTGCTGGCCCTGTTGTGTTTTGGGCTTACTTGGTACATGTTACTGCTTCCTTCTTGACTATTTCTTTACTTGGGAATGGGATGTCTATTTTATTCTTATCCACCATCACCTTTTGGAAGTATGTCACTTGTTTAATTTCATGGGCTCATAACTGGAGAGAATTTCCCTCAGGGTGAATTATGCTTTGAGTCTCACCGATATCTAATTTAGATAGGACTCTGGACTTCGGACTTATTAGTTGATGCCAGAACAATGTAAGACGTTAGAGGCTAATGGGATGGAATAAATGTATTTTGTATTTGAGAAAGATGTAAGTTTTGGGTGGTCAGGCCAGATTGCTGTAGTTTGAATGCCTCCTCCCAAGTTCATGTTGAGATTTAATTGCCATTGCAACTACATTAAGATGTGAGGTCTTTAAGATGTGATTAGACTACAAGCACTTCACCCTCATGAGTGGATTTAGTGCATTAATAAAAGGACTTTTCAGGTTGGTTTTTCTCTCTTGACCCTCTGCCTTCCTGCCATGTGAGAATCCAGCATTCCCCTGCCCTCCAGAGGATGCCACATGCAAGGCACCATCTTGGAATCAGAGAAAAGAGAAACTGGGCCCTAACCTAGGGATACCTTGACCTTGGACTTTCCAGCCTCCAGAACTGTTAAGTTAATAAGTTTCTGTTCCTTATAAATTACCAATAAGATACTTAATTTGTGGTGGCAGTATGTTAAGAAGTTTGAAG